>NC_000015.10:39337480-39640510 GCF_000001405.40 Homo sapiens | reverse complement strand
AATTACTCATCAGTGAATTAAGGAGGTTGAATTAGATGGTTCATGTGTAAGGCTTTCTGATTCTGTGACATTACCACAGGTCCCAAACATAATGCAGCCAGATGAGACCTCATTGAATGTTATCAGGATAATGGAGCAAGGAGGAGACCACTAATTATGCCCAGAGAAAATGATGTCTCTGGAGGCTGCTGTGGCTATTCCAGTTGAAGAAATTCTAATAGGTTAAAGATGAGAATTTTCAAGGTGTCATGAACAATGGATAACTGCTTACAGGAATTTCCAGAGATTAAGTGACAATTCTCTGTCTATTTTATGCTTTCATCTCTCCTCTTTTCTCACCTTTCAGCCTCTCCCTGTTAATTGACATTATTTGGGGTCCTAAGCGTGTTTTAGTGTATGTTATGTACATACATGGGGTTAACACAAGTATTCATTTAATTATTGTTTTACACGTTAAGTATTTATTTATTTCATCAACAAATATTTACTGAGCATCTTCTCTTTGCTGGGTACCCTGTTAGGTGCTAGGATTACAATAATACAAAGACAAACTTGGCTCTTGTACAAATGAGACTTACAGTCTAGTGGGAATAAAATACTATATTTGTTGTTTTGAGATGAATTTGAAATGACTAAACTTTTATAACTAAGTTACTCTGCTTATTTGTGGGCTTTCATTTTTTTCCTTTTACAGATTGTTAAGAATTTATATGAAAAAATAGTCCCCGTTCTTCCCTGTTGTACATTTTTGGGTATCCAGAGTGTGCTACTGGATACTCAACCCTTTACAGTATGTTCTTATTTGCATTTGTGATTTTAAACAGTAAAAATGCTCTCCATATACTGCTGTATACTTTATGGTAGAATCCAAAGAACTCTTTGGAAGACAGAAGGTTTCTGAGAGTCACAGGACTCATGAGAAACCCTAGCATATTCACTTGTGTTGCAGAGTTCCTATACAAAATATATTGTATGTAGTTCCTGACTGTAGCCTTTTAAAGAAACATAATTGTGGAGTTTTGTATACCAACTTCGAATCCATTTTCGTTGTTACTGCTTTTATCGCCTTGAACTAAAATTGTTTGTTTCAATTACAGACCAAGCTTGTGGTTTCCTAGATTGCTTTTCACTTGCTGGCAAGGGCTTGCAAAGAAGACCTACAAGAGCCATGTTAAAAACGCTTGAAAAAAAAGGTAGTCAGAGGAACAAGGAAAATGCTGCTTCTGCTTCATCACCTCCAGTGCTCAGTCATTTCTCTTAAATTCCTCTGGACTCCCCACAGGCCTTCTAGCTTTGGCAATGACCACTATCTCTGTAGCCTCAGAAAAAAGCAAAATGGTGAACTTTGGTCTTTGGTGTTAGTTGGGAACCAAGAGAATTCAGTAAATTTTTAACCTCTATGTAAAAGCCATTTGCTCTTTTTTCTCTTTGTTTTCTTTTATTGCTTTTAGTATTACTTCTGATTTCATGATATATCTCCGATATCATAGACTACATTTCAAATCTAAATGTATACCTTTATATTTTTCTTAATATAAAGCACTGGGTCTTAAATAAGTATTAGCTTTTATACTTAGCAATAAGAAAAAAAGGAATTTTGAAGTTTAAAGTTTCTATTGAAATGGAGCAAATTTGCTAGGCAAAACCACCCCCCACCACACACACACATGCACACACACACGCGCACACACACATGCACCCACACACGCACCCACATGTGCATGAAATAGGAAAATAGTATAGTCTCTTTGGTTCCCTGTTTGCCTCCTTGTTATTACCTTCTTTTCCCCTTTCTTCTTTTTCACTCTTCCTTATGGCCCATCTAAGCACATTTTGTTAAGTTATTTGTCTTCTAGATGTTGTCAAAACACACACAGTGAAATGGATGCATATATCCAAATGTTAACAAATGGATAAATTAAAATACTTATATAATACTCTGAAGATTGTAGCAAGAGAGAAGACTACATACCTGCTTAAGATGAGAAATCGCCGTGTGTTTCTATAGCTTCCAGATCCTCTTTTTTAACAAGGAGAAAGAACTTCCCTGCTCCTCACCAATGGCAAAGCGTCTAAAATCACTGAGTACTCACTAATTCCTCTGACCACTCACATATCTCCTGTCATTCTCCTAGAATTGAATTTCTGGTTCTCCAGTGTTGCTCCATTGGCTCTCCTCTTAGTTGCACTTTTTGGAGGGCAGATTGCTTTAACATGCTTTGCTATAATGTACTCTAAACATGCTTAACGGGAAGTGTGAAATCAGGTTATTATAAGAATTTTTCTGTTCTTTGATGCTCAAATCCATTCTAATTGGTAGCAAATGTTCTCTTGTCAGTCCTTGTAGAATTTTAAAATATTCTTGGGAAATCCTAACAGATATTATAAATACTTTTTCTGAATCAGCCTTATTGAGGGCAGAAAAAAGAATGAGGGATCAAGAGTATTATTTCCAGATTCTCTAATTTGCATGGTGAAACTCAAGGGAGTCTTTTCTCTTTACTTGCTTTCTTTTTATTCACTATAAAATATCACTAACTGCCATAGATGCAAAACACCTACAAATAAATGAAACTTTTGCAACATTCTGTTTTTCCCTTAGCATGAAAATTTTCCAACTTTGGCTCACATAAAAATTCATCTTCTTTTTCTGTAATGATGCTTCCCCAAAATACCAAGAAGATACCTACAGGGGTATTTGTCTTTTTTTTTTTCCTGGTTGCCTTACATATGATTTCTCTTCCCTTGTTTGGGAAGTTCCCCAGTTTGTGAATCTTAGCAGGATTCAGAGCTTGCCTCTCATCATTGAATCTAGGAAGTTCCACTATTCAGTATCACAGCCACCTTGGCTACAGGACATGTGCTAGACCTAGCCTATCAGGAATACCCACTCGGTACTAATGGACAGACTACAGAGAATGGGTGATGGTCTACTCAATGTGTACAGTGATGATAGAAACATCAGTTTACTGAAGTGGCAGTGGTGGCAGTTCCAGTAGTCGCATCCTGTCTCTGCTTCTGATGTTGGTGTAGTTAGCTCAGCTAGCTAGCTGAGTGGTCCAGTGGAAGGAGCAGCCTTAAATTCTGTGGCATGATTTTGGTTGTGATTGGGTAGCCTACTGTTGTTCCTGATTGTTTTCCAGTACCTTCCATAGCCTTCTCAATGATTATGTGGGAATATCCACCATCGTTTCAATTAATTCAGTTTCTGCTTAAAGCAGCCAGTCTTAGTTTTGTTATTTCTGTTATTTGCAAGTAAGAACCTAGATTGATAGGGAGTTTGAAACCAGGAATGGTTCCGGGAAATAGAACCACAGAAAAATTGGGGGAAGCTGGGATTGGTTTGTCTGGGTTAGTTGGAGCTGAAGGTAGTGAAAAATCCAGCTGCATAAGGGATAAGACTGACACCCCATAACATTTGGTGGAAAATTAGCAAATAAATCATCTGTGAACTTCTAGAATGAGTTGCTAATTGAAAGAAAACCTTTTGGGAACCAAGCAGGGACTTCCATGCAACAATTGCATAGGAATGAGGACTTGAAAAACTGGGCTGGTGTGATGGCTGCATGTAACGGTGGCAGACAGCTTAAAGAAAGGGAATATAAGCTCAGATTCCTAAATATTCTTACCTAAGGATGGATTGAAAAATAGGGACTTTCTACGAGTACACTAAAAGAATCTCTTTTGTACTATATATAAATATTACAAATTTATTTTGTAACTCTTTCAGGGTTAAAAAGTCAAAAGCCAAATGCAGTAATGCAAGTTGTCAACTAAGGATGTCATTTGAATTCACAGCTAGGTCCCTTATTTTGGTATTTGGTTTGGGTATTTAGAGAAAGAGTGGGACTCTGGGAACTAGAACAGGGGATATGGTAGGATTTGGTGAATTCAGGGCACCCCGAATCCCTAAAGTCCATCAATCCACCCTTGCCAGTTAGAGCAGCCCTGTGACCTTCTCTGATGAGGCTATTCGTGTCTTGATGGAATTTTCTGCCATCTGAAGGAGTTGCATTACAAAGGTAGGTCAGTTCTCCTTCTGCCCTACTCCCAGATGTGTAACTAAACTTAGATCCCAGAATGCCTCAAGACACCAATGACAAAGTCAAAGGTAGGAGGTGATAGCTTATGGTGCTAAAAAGTTGCAAGACTTTCCCAATTGATACTGGAAAATATTCTGGGGGAATATGTATGATAATGGATTTTGAAAGTTTTAGGTCAAATAGAGAAAAATACCACTTTAGATGGCTTGAATTTATTGCTATAAGAGCACTTAACCAGAGGTTCTGAATTCAGTGTACTAGCATAAATAGATGGCATTGATCTATTTATGTTTTCTTGACTGGTTGACCAAAACTGGGACTGTGGCACCAATGAGCTGCTAGAAATTCTGTCACGTACTACTATAAGAGCAAGAAGTCCAAGCACTTAGGGAGATAATATTGTTGGAGGGGATATATCATGGGTATGGAGAGCTGTATTCCAATTGTTTTCCTTGAGAGGGTCCTGATGAGATGCTCTTCAACAAGAGCCTAAGAGATACAGTGAGGAGGGACCAACTGGCTTCATTGGAAAAAAAAAATTTGGCTGTTCTCTGTAGACCTCTGATGCTTGTGAAGTATGGTACCGTTGAAATGGGACTCCCTAATCTTACTAGGGATATTAGGATCCTGGGGTAATAGAGCTTAAGCAGCAGCACCTTACCATCAGAAAGCAAGGTGGGTAGGCAGCATGGCTTCCATAATAGGCAGCAGGATGGGTATTTAATCAGGATGACCAGGAATCTTTGGGAATGGCTACTGATAATGGGATTCCTGTGACTGAAATGCATAGGTGCTTAGCTATGCCACCTGATTTTTACAACCAAAAAACTCTGGGTCTTCTGGCAAATGGAGGCTTGATTTAAGCTATTACAATAGGAAATCATAGCCCCCATCCGATTGTTCCCAGACAGGTCAGTTCATAAGCCCAACATCCCTTACATGGAACTAAGGTCAAGAACTTGCTAGATCCGGCCCTTTGAAAGAGTGTACTTACTAGAGTAATTGGGGAAATGGAAATATGGAGAGATTACTGGAACATGTGTCCTCTTCAGGATAAAGTTTCTAGTAACTCAATACATGCCTTGATCTTTGGTATGCATGTATCTATCTGGCAAATGGATTTTTTTTTTTTTTGAGACAGAGTCTCTCTCTGTCGCCAGGATGGAGTGCAGTGGCATGATCTCAGCTCACTGCAACCTCCGACTCCCTGGTTCAAGCGATTCTCCTGCCTCAGCCTCCCAAGTAGCTGGGATTATAGGCATGCACCACCATGCTCCAGCTAATTTTTGTATTTTTAGTAGAGAGGGGGTTTCACCATGTTGGCCAGGATGGTTTCAATCTTCTGACCTTGTGATCCGCCCGCCTCGGCTTCCCAAAGTGCTGGGATTACAGGCGTGAGCTACCGCACCCAGCCCAAATGCTTTTTTTACTAAAGGCACATAAGCAGAGAATAAACAGTTTGCTTGTACCTCATAGGGGCAGCAGAATAACTTCATTGCCTTGCTTTTAGGCCTCTATCTTCTTTTTGGCTCTGTGTTACCATTTTGTCTGCAAGGTTTCACACAGGGCACCATGTTAGTCCAATATATTGTGACATTGTGCTCATAGGATCCTGGGAGTAAGATACATTAGGTACCACTGATGTCTTGGTGTAAGATGCACATGTACTAGTGGAAAGGAGACATGGCGTCCGCATGACAGTGAAGCTTCATTCTCTATGCCTCACCATTTTCACAGTAATGATCACTGTGTTTTAGATACTTTATTTTGTTCTGAGAAGTAGCTCTAAACAGGCCACATGCTAGTGTGGTGAAGACAATGAAGAAAGGGGAAAATGGTTTGAGAAAGTTGCAGTTCTTGGCCAAAAAATGAAATTGCTGGATAAATCAAAGTAGAAAGTTACATTGACAAATAGGGCTGAGTTATGAAATGTATAATATGCTCTATCCAGGTGTTGCCAGATGAAGAGTGTTCAGCTGTGTTATACAGTGCTGAGAGGTCCAGTAAGATGGAGACTGAGAATGAACAGCTGCTGTAGAAATGTGCAGGGCATTGGTGTGATAGACAAGAGCAGTTTTAACGGAGTGGTGGACTAAACCCTGTTTGGGTTGAGTTTAAGAGACAATAGAAGGAGAGGGATTTGGTGATAGTAAGACCAATTATTTTAAGAAATTTTATTGTAAAGAAAGTAAGAGAAATGCAGTGGTGGGCAGAGAGAGGAACGGGATCAAAAGAGGGCTTTTCCTTAATATTGGAGAATAGCAGCTTTTTGTATACTCATGGGAAAAATCCAGTAGAGAGGGGGAAAGCAGTGACGCAAAAGAGAGTGGGGAGATTGCCAAAGCGATGACCTTGAGTAGGCAAGACAAGGTGGTCTCTTGTGTGCAGGTAGAGGGGACAGCCATCAAGAGGAGCACAGGGAGTCCGTTTAGTGACATGAGGGATGGTGGGGCACTGGGTACAGGTGCTGGTAGATGGGTGGTGGAGCTTGTGGAAGAACTGAGGGCCTATATGTAAGTTTCTGTATCTGCAAATTTGGAGGCTGTGAGAATCTTTAGATCGTTTAGGAATGTTGTTGGTTTACTCTGCTGTTGGAGTTTTTTCACCTATTGTCCAGTGTGTATGACAGCAAAGTCTGGTGTTTCATTTTACATGAAGATGATATAATCAGCGTCTATTACAACATTTTAATATTTAGCACTTAAATATGAACTATAGGTTGAAATAAATTAGAATAATAGTATGTGATGGCTTCAGTTTTGAAACGGAATGTTTAAATCCCTAATGAATCTTCAAATTTATATATTTATTCAATTAACTACGTCTAAAGATTTTCCTCTCCACTGGCTTCACAGTCCATATTGCAAGTTTTAGTGTAGAAGTTAGTTATAATACAGTAATTATACTGTGCATTAATAGGTTCATGGTAATTTATAAATGCAAAATTGATTTTAACGGGTCAGTCATGAAGAAGTCACCTGGCTTAATTAACTGTTGAATTCAGTTAAGAAATGCATTTTACGAATAAAAAAAACTAGATTAAGTTAATTAATTGTTTGGACATTTAAAAAGTATAGCCAGGCCGAGTGCAGTGGCTCACACCTGTAATCCCAGCACTTTGGGAGGCAGAGGCAGGCAGATTGCGAGGTGAGGAGATCGAGACCATCCTGGCCAACATGGTGAAACCCCGTCTCTACTAAAAATACAAAAATTAGCTGGACGCAATGGTGCGTGCCTATAGTCCCAGCTACTTGGGATGCTGAGGTAGGAGAATGGTTGAACCCGGGAGGGGGAGGTTGTAGTGAGCCGAGATCGCACCACTGCACTCCAGCCTGGCGATAGCAAGATTCCATCTCAAAAAAAAAAAAAAAAAAAAGAAGTATAGCCTATGTGGGGAAGATTTTGGACATTAAAAATGATAATTATAGGAGTGAAATTTATGTCTAGCAAAGGGAAGTACAATTCTGAGTCCATATCTCTGTGTTTTCATTTTTATGCTCCTTGTATTTCGACCTATCACCCTTCAATTAATTCTTATTACCCGATTTGAGAGAAATTGTGTTTTTGCCCTGCCTACTTGAAGTTAAAACATTAATTTGAAATTAGATTAAAAGGAAATAAAGGCTGCTCATTATTTTGTCTGACTTCCAAAGACAGTTATTTATTTATTTTTTTTTGAGACAGAGTCTCACTCTGTCACCAGGTTGGAGTGCAGTGGCCGATCTCGGCTCACTGCAACCTCTGACTCCCTGGTTCAAGCGATTCTCCTGCCTCAGACTCCTGAGTAGCTGGGATTACAGGCACACGTCACCATGCCCAGCTAAGTTTTGTATTTTTAGTAGACACAGAGTTGCACCATGTTGACCAGGATGGTCTCGATCTCCTGACCTCGTGATCCACCCTCCTCGGCCTCCCAAAGTGCTGGGATCACAGGCTTGAGCCACCATGCCTGGCCAAGACAGTTATTTCTATATTACAAAATCAGAAGTTGCCGGGCGCAGTGGCTCACGCCTGTAATCCCAGCACTTTGGAGAGGCTGAGGTGGGAGGATTGCTTGAGCTCAGGAGTTCAAGACCAGCTTGGGCAACATGGCAAAACCTCATCTCTACAAAAAAATTAAAAAATTAGCCGGGCATGGTGGTGCGTATCTGTAGTCCCAGCTACTTGGGAGGCTAGGTGGGAGAATAACTTGAGCCCAGCAGGTGGAGATTGTAGTGAGCCAAGATTGAGCCACTGCACTCCAGCCTGGGTGACAGAGTCGGACCCTGTCTCAACAACAACAACAACAAAGAAAATCAGAAGGTATAAAAATTTGAAGATTTAAAACAAATTTTCAGCCAAAATATTTTAGCATATTTAATTAGGTGATGTTTCCGACAACCACCACATTGAACATCTATTGTACTCGTCAGTCTTTATATAATCCATAATTCCATTCTAAATAAGTGACTCAGCACCACCATCTAGTGCAGAGGCCAGAGCTTGTGCTAGCTCATTGGAAATCAAAGGAGAAAATATTAACATGACATGATTAGAAAATGTTCACATGAAAGATGGGGGCTCTTTTTTGGTTTGCTGATTTGAAATATTTATTTAAATAAAGTAAATAAGGAGAGCTTTCCCTGTAAATACTTATGAACAGAAATGGTTTTCTGCCATGTTTGTGAGGCTTTCTATTAATATATATGTACTTGAATAGGTTTCTATAATTAAACCTAACCACAATCAAAGACTGTGATTATTATTCAGTTCTATTTTCACAGCAGACCAAATTAAACCTCTATGTCAGACTTGTAGTGAATATCACAGCAGTAGGCCCAGAATGCAGGCTTTTTATTACGCTTGGGCATTTTTGCAAATCTGAAGCATTTTTTCCATGGTGAGTGGACATGAAGTCTGGGAAGAGGTGTCTTCGTTACTTCGCCTCTGCCTGTAGGTGGGGTGAGTCATTGCCTATACAGGGTGATATGGAGAATACTTTCAGCACCCTTCCTTTCAACCAGTTTGTCTGTCTGTCTGCCCTTGCTGGGATCTGAGGTTTCTCACATTGGGGAGCTCTCCAGGAGTTAAAGCATTGCTATCTGCTGTGCCCAAATCATAAACAAAGGTTCATTAATTGCTTAAACCATTGTCATACAAAGTCATGTGGGGAGTGCGCGCTCTGGAAGGAACAAGACATCGGGGAGAGAAGAGGAGTTGGGCCTAGGATGGGCCATGGCCTAGGACCACTGGTCAGTAAGGGGACAGACTAAGAGCACTGAGTTTTTAGGGGTGCGATGTCACTGCAGAGGGTGGAGGAGCACCCAAAGAAAGCATCATGTAGTCAACAAAGCTTTGCCATGTGTGCATCTTATACCAAGGCTCTGTGCTAGGTATGGGAACACAGAGATGAGGAGGACCTGGTGCCAGCCCGAGGAGCTTACATCCAGCAGGGAAAGTAGATGCAGAGGGTACTGGGATGGCACAGCCTGATGCCCCAGGTTTGGGAGACACAGAGGGCAGCCGCCACCCACTGGTGAGGGATTCTTGTTTATACACTTGCCTCAGATTTATGAGTTGAGAGGGGCTCCCCTTACTAGGCTGCTCTGTGGTATCACATTTTCAGATGCCGGATAGAGTGTGGAGGGGGCATGTTATGGTACCATGCTGCTGCCAGGTGCTCCCCCTCGAAAAAGGAGTTTAACTAACTCTTGTAAGCATCTGTCTGAAGACAATTAGTGTGAAAAGGCCCTAACTTTATAGTCTGGCTTCATTTTTTTTATTAGTTCTGGGCCCTGGACCATTCAATTTCTCTGAGGCTTAGTTTCCTTATCTGTTCAATGTGGAGAATGATTTTCCAATTTTCCCCACTAGGTAGTTGGAAGAGGTAAATGGAATAAATACTGTATGTGGTGCATAGTAGATGGTCCAGGGCTATCAGCCCTGTTCCCTCCATGCCCCACCCCCAGTGCAACTGACTAATGACCTGGGCTGGTCTGGATACCCACCTAATAAGGGACCCGCTGACAGGGAGGGAGGTGGACGGATTCATCTCTTTCTTAAAGTTTCTTGCTCTGTGTGAAAGGGAAACTATTTAAATGTGTCATTTAAGAGAGGGTATGCATCAAGCTATTTAGATTCTTCTGAATTTGGATTCAGTTCACTACACAGCTTTTTTGGTTTGCTCTCTAGATAATTTAACTTTCATAATTTGGATCATAGCACAACTTGGAACTTCTTATTCACAATATAGTATCCTTATTCTCAGCAGTAGCATGATTTCACGTTCAGATTGGCAAATGTAAAAGGACAGTTCACTGAGCAAATATATTAATATGGAGCTTCATGTTTATGTAATGACGTTGGGCTTTGTGTGCTCTACAGAATGTACAGGGGTAATTAGATATTTCAGATACGTGTCTAGACAGGGCAGAGCTTCAGGAGCACTTGCTCAACCCTGGGAAATGCTACAAGTCACCCATTTGTGACCAGAAAAAGCTCTCTGTGATTAACAAGTTAAATGTGGAGTTAACTGTATGGCACTAGATTTATACCCAAGAGGAAAATCAGATCTGATGAAATTTGTCAGGACTGACCATTTGTCGAACCAGACTAGGCCTAACTTTGCCCAGTGTGGCCTGATTTGAGGGTGCTCAAAGTGATATCTTTCAAATATCTTTCTATCATCCAGCTATGGGGCTTGGATTCTATTCTTAGAATCACCTCTTCAGGTTAAGTCATTCTGATTCAACGAGGCTCCTATAAAATGTGAGTTTGTTCCTTGAGAGAGTTGTACATTGACCTAGATTGCTTAGACTCAGGGACAGTAGTGAGGAAGCACACCTCAGGATTTGATGTGAGGGCAACAGGAAATGAGTAAACATTTGAAATAGAGTTTGCTTCCTGAGGAGGGTGTGCGCAGGCAGAGAGGGCTGAGGGGCAGCCTGAGGAGTAAGAGAAAAACTGACTAATGGGGCACGTGCCCCTGTGCGTGGAACATGGGATGAACCTGGCTTAGCTTCAGCCCTGCGCTTGAAGAGACTCACCTGGTGCCCTGACTGGGATTATTTTAACCAAATGTAAAAGTATCTAGAAGCCAGCCCCTTTCTGGTTACTTTGTGGTTACTGCATACAGTACTTTCTGATGCTGAAGACTTAATAGTGTCAGCCTTGAAGTGTAAACCTTCCGAGGGCGATGATAGATGATA
The DNA here is from genome assembly GCF_000001405.40 of Homo sapiens. Classification (NCBI taxonomy): domain Eukaryota; kingdom Metazoa; phylum Chordata; class Mammalia; order Primates; family Hominidae; genus Homo; species Homo sapiens. Next base: position 39,629,280 of record NC_000015.10, on the reverse strand, counting down.
GAGAATCACATGCCAATCTTTACCTCTTGGGTGCCCTCTCCCAGCATCTCATGGCCTCTGTAGCACCCCCTCCCCAGCGCCAGGAATCTACAAGAGTACACATGACAGCTTACTCATTGTGAATTGCTAGTTGTGAGATCGTCCATAAAGCTCCATTCCTGGTATCCAAGAGAGATCTTCAAAAGTAGGGGCCAGTTGAACTTGGAAAGTACAGGCTTCAGTGTACAGCTTCCAAGAGAGGCCATCTGGCTGCTGCTGCTGCTGCCAGCTTCCAGACGGAAGCTGAGATTTGCTATTGATGTTCCAGCATTGATTGAGCTCCTGCCTCGTCTGCATCAGGCATGGTCCTCGCAGCTTCACGCAGGTATTTCATGCTATTGCAAATTGTTGCTTGTTAGTATTCCTCCCAACTAGTTGTTTGGAGTCAGCTAGTTGTTAGTATTTTTACTCTACTGACTAGAAATCTGAGACTTTGAAAGGTTAAGTGATTTGCCCAATACCAAACAGCTGGGGAATGAGAGAGCCGGAATCTAAAGTTAGAAATGTCAGCCTCCCCCTGCTAACTTCTGCTGTTGGTAAGGGTATTTCCTCTCCCTCTGGGGCTTTCTATTGCTTTCAGAGAGAGAGTTTGCAAGCTGAAGGAACACTTAACTTGAGAGGCTTTCCCAAATGGAGTATAAAATGCCACGAGGAAATAACTTAAAGATAGGGTGCTGGAGATGCGTCTAAGATGTGAAGGAATGTCACACATGTGCATGGCTCACCTCGCACCTCATTTTGATTCCTCAGTGGCTTTTAGGGTCTTCTCCTGCCTCACTCCTTTTAGCCCCCTGGCCTGGTCTTACACTCTGCCCATCCAGAATGAAAGCAGGCCTCCTACGTCTTCGCAGTGGACATGCATTGGCACTGAACAACATGCCGTGACCTCTTTTATACCTCATGCTTGTCATTCTTTCTGTTTATCTCGACACTCCAACCTAAGCTGTGACCTTGGCTTTCTCTCCCTGGCTCCAATTCATATTCTCCCTCTAGTGGTGCTGCCTCTGGCTGCCCTAGGTAAATCCTAGGCCTCCAAAGGATTTTCTCCTTTGACTCTTGCCTTCTTGGACAGTACTCTGCTGCTCTCGTCCCAGATATGCCAGTAGAAACCACCTATTAATCCATGAGCCCCAAGGATCCTGAAGCATCACTTTGCCTCCTATCTCCTATGGCGTTGACAGTGTTGGCCATAACCCTGCAGTACCTGCACCCAGCCAGTGCCAGCATGTGAGCCTTGTTGACAGTCTGCAGAGGCTGGTTGGAGCTGCTAACCCTGTGCTTCCAGGCCCACGCTGTTTGGTTTGGTTCGAGTTGCCCTTCAGAGCCCTGCCCAGCCCTGACTTGGAAGCTGTTGCTTATTGTGTCTTAGTGTGGAGCAGTGGGGCCTGAGGCAAAAGTATATTGCTGCTGCTTCATTAGTGAAAGCATCACCAGAGAAACAGAAGTGGGGAACAAGAGAAGTGAAGCAAAGAAAGAGAGTAAATATAAGAGCTGTATCATTGACCTGACTACTGCTTGCTAGCAAGTACAGCTGATTGATCTTGTGGGACATATGCAGAGAGATGCCATGTGGGTGACTTGTGGGACACATGCAGAGAGATGCCATGTGGGTGACTTGTGGGACATATGCAGAGAGATACCATGTGGGTGACTTGTGGGACATATGCAGAGAGCTGCCATGTGGGTGACTGCACTTCAGGGAGTCTTTCTGGGGGAAAGTAACTCCTTCACTGCCTTCCCTCTCCCCTTGGTCAAAGTCTGCCCCAAGGGGCATGAATTCTCTTGCACTTCTGGTTTGTACAAGCCTAGAAGTGGCCAGCTGATCATCCCACACCTTATTAGCAACTCACACCTCATCAGCAATAGACAAGAAATCCTGGGAAGGAGCCAAGAGGGGCTTGCTGTACCCATGGGTGACTTGAGGGGCCATGGCAGTGGCATCAGAAGTGACATCCAGGTCTACACCTGTGAGAGCAGCACAGGCCATGTTAGATCTGCTCAGCCTGGCAGCAGGCAAGTGCTCAGCCCGGCAGCAGGCAAGTGCACAGGTCTGGATGATGGGTAATCTGAATCCAGTCACGTTGAGCAGTGTAATGTCAGTGCAGCCTGGCCGTTTGACTTGTGTATGCTGCTGGGAAACTTCTTGGGCATGTAAGGAAATACTCAGTTTTCTTTTCCAGTTCCCAGGGTTGAGCATCTTTTTGAGGGGTCTCTCTTATATGGGTGGGGCCTAGCTGAGTGTTCTCTGTGATTGGGGTGAGGGGGGAAGGGTCCAGATAGTGCTACACTAGTGAGATGCTTCTCACAATAAGAGGCAGAGGAGCTGCTGGTGATCGTGGCACTGATCAAGTATTAAGGGCTCATGTCTCTGGAAAGCAGAAGTCCTGGTACCTGAAGCCTTGTCTAACTGTATTCATCCATTTTCACACTGCTGTAAAAATACTACGTAATTTATAAAGAAAAGAGGTTTAATTGACTCCCAGTTCCGAATGGCTGGGGAGGCCTTAGGAAACTTAGGATCATGGCGGAAGGCAGAGGCACATCTTACATGGCAGCAGGCAAGAGAGAGAGCACACGGGGGAAACTGTCACTTTTAAAACCATCAGATCTTGTGAGAACTTTCTCACTATCACAAGAACAGCATGGGGGAAACCACCCCTGTGTTCCAATCACCTCCCACTAGATCCCTCCCTCAGCACATGAGGATTACAATTTGAGATAAGATTTGGGTGGGGACACAGAGCCAAACCATATCGCTGACCTACGGGCAGACTGTGCAAGGCCAGGTACTACCTTCCAGGCCATGCCACATCTCCACCTTCTTTCAGCACCAGTACAAGGTGGAGGGTTTTGGATACACTCCCCTGACCTGGCCTTAAATGAACCCCTGTTTGGGAAGATCCTTTACAGACACAGCACCTCCATCTTCAGGCCAGCTCAACACAGAAGACACATGTTGAAGATCCCAGAGACAGAGTTCTGAGGATACCTTCTCTTCAATTGTGAAGTTTAGATGATATCAAGCAAAGTATTTAAAGTTCTAGAGACTCCTGTGGGCATACATAAGTTCTTTAGGTTTCATTTATACCAGATTTCTCCAATGTGACTCATCTATCAGCTGATTTCCTGCAAGAGGGTGAGGTTTAATCTGGATCCATTGGAGGTTAAGGTATTTAAATAGCTAATGGCCTCCTTGACTACTGACCCCATCACAACCTTCCTTGACCCAACTTATCTCTACACAGTAAAAATAGGCATCATCAAACTGAGAGTACAGAAGGCCTTCACCCATGCAAATGATACTCATAACTAATAATAGCCAATAAACAGTCTTGCCAAGCAGTGGGAGCTAGCTGCTCTAAAGTAACAAACTGGATCTACTTCCCGGAGTAGGGGGTGGAGTAGGTTCCAGTTCCCTCGGAGCATGAGAACTACTCAATCAGGGGCCCCTTTTTAGGCTCTTTATGCAAATCTGTGCACCTCATCTCCTGGCCAGGCTTTTTTAGCTGGGAGTTTGGGGCAGAGGTGCCAGGCCCCCTCCAGCTGTAGAGCTGGGCCCCAGACTTGTTTCGGGAAAGGAAGTGATAGACATGTGATAACAGGGCCATTCCGGCGACTTGCTCAGAACAAAGGGCATCTGATCCAAGTGGACTTGCTGTCTCTACTGCTAGAAAACAGCTACTGTTGGCAATCCTCAAATGGTAATTGTCCCACAAAATGAAAACATAAGAGTCCATTTTCACCAGTCACCCTGTTAGAAAGCAAAGTCACCCTGTTAGAAAGCACAGTCTGGCTCTCCTGCCGAGCACCTCCACACTTTTCTGCTTATGTCCCCGGCAAGCCATGTTTCTAGCCCTTTTTCAAATAGTAGGACTTGAGAATCCTACCTCCTGCTTCTAGCTCCCTCGATCCATGCTCATCCCTAACTTACACACTGGGGTCCCGCTGGCAGCCCACCTCTCTCATTCTGGTACATAGAAACAGAAAGCTTGGATCCTTGAAGCCATGGAGCCAGCCCGGGCACCTGGGCCACGGGAGACGAGCCATCACAGAATGCCCAGGGCCACAGCAGCCTCTCACCAGGCAAACCCATAAGGCAAGCCCTGCCTCACCCGGCTGTTTGGGGAAGATGGGTAGCCTAGGCATGGGTGGGGTCTGATTCTGCACGGTGACTTTGCCATGCCAGGCCCCACATAAAAAGGGCTTCCCACACCACCACAACGTTCATGACCTCGCTTCAGAGCTGTTTGCCGTGACCTACTTCACACTCAGTATTATTCTGTCCACTGAGCCTCCTGGCTGCTGACCTGGGAGCTGACTCACTTTCCTGTTTACAGCCTTGCCTCAACCCTCACTCTTGATGGTGGTTTACATAGTTTCTCTGGCAATGATATTTGCTTCCTTTTTGACTAGAGTTCAGATTCTCTTCTGGCCAGACAGCCTCTGACTATTCTGGTGAAAAATATGCCAGATTGTCCCTGGCCCCCAGGACCCTTTGTCCTTGGTTTGGCTTCTTAAGAGCAGTCTACCTGCCGGACTTGCCTTTATATGATTGGGGTAGCCTCAGTGTAAGAGAGGAAGGTGGGAGAATGGAAAAGGGAGGGAAGGAGCTAGGAGAGGAAGGAAGAACAAGCCCTTTTCTCCTATGAATCCTTAGCGCCATTGATACAGACATTAAAATGAACACCAATTATTTTTCCCCCTTGATTTTTAGATGTGTTTAATCCAAAAGAGCTATAGCAAGTGATGTGAGCCTATTGTGAGCATTCAGACTCGATAGTGCTGTTCTGTAGCCTAACTGGAGTGCCTTTATTTTTCTATGCACAGGTAGGTATTTTCTGACAACTAGTTCTACATTTATATCTCAAATAACTCTTCAGTGAGTACCCAGATTTAATGAGATCAGTGAAGTTTGGAAACACTTCCATCATTAATCTTGTAGTTGACTATAGAACTAAATTAAGTGGCAGGTTCCTTCTGATGGTTACGTACTTCATAGTAATTATAGTTCAAAAATATGATATTTTTGAATCCCTGTTCTGTTGATACCTTCTTGTTTGGGAAATCACCTTACCCACAGCCCTGCCAAAACCTTGGGCTTGGATGGTTGTGTTTCTACCATGTGACCCTCAGTTCAGATGTTTGGACCAGTGGTGGACACTTGAACCTGACACAGGCAGTCCATCAACCTGGCCAGTGACCAACCAGGTTATCTTGCTTGAAAATTTAAGCAAAAGAATATAGAGAGCTAAAGGACATAGTCAGTTGTTGGTGGGTGTGATACTCTTACAGAGTCAGTTCATGCTACATAGGCAAGCTGAGGTTGTGAGAAAGCAGAAACCATCAATAAGCAGAGAAAGCTGGTTTGCAGAGAAGAGGATGCATCAGGCAGGCAGTGAGTGAAGAGATGACATGGACCCAGAAAGACAGATGGGGCACATGACTGGTGCCTGGTGGTTTCTCAGCTCTAGACTCTGAAAGGCCAGTCTATACTCTTATTTCCTGCTTGTCGTTGTCCATGAAATGACTTCTTTGATCTTACAGCAAACCTCAACCCTACCACCTCTTTTTTTGACATAAGGGTTTCTGTTCCTTATAGCCAAAAAACCTTGACTAAAATAGACTACTACGGAGGTGTTGCCAGTAGTGGTTGCAATAGAGAGCTATAAACTTATATCTTCGTCATTAAGCAAACGGTGGAATGTTTTTTAGTTGCTTATTTGGAAGTAGAACTAGGTGTCATTAAAATCTGTGTACATCCATATTCTCCTTGTTAATCATTTAGAACATTCTAGCTTTCCACCCTTTTCTCACTTGTGATAATGGTATTGGTTTCATAGGGTGGGTCTTTAGGAGTGCTGTTTGGGGGAAATAAAAAACACCCGAAGTAAGCTTACATCAAAGGACAAGATTGCTTCTGCTGGTTTATAATGGGTAGACTTTCTGATTATCTGCACCAGGGACATAATCTTGATTGCCTTGTCAAGAAATCCATTGCCCAATTAACTGGAGATTTTTATGGCTGGAGAAACTCCGGATATATAGCATAGGAGGTGGGGCAGGGATGAGAGTGAGGTAATCCACAGTCTGTGTTCCATCTCCAGCAATTACAAGTTGCATTCCTCATCAAATTTAGCTTCTACATCAAACTGGCATTTATCTGGGTGGAGATGTGTAAACAGTGGGTATCCTGGGAATGGAGCTGTGGCTGGGTTTTTTTTTTTAATGAGCTAAAAGAGAGGGCACTATATATGTTTGCATAAAACATACACTGTGTACATTTGCATAAAACGTACACACAAAAGCCAATCTGGGCAATAAAGTCCCAAGTTAAGTAAACTGTTCTGCGGGGAGAGTTTCTGTATCTGATAGAATGGACAGAAAAATGAGCAGCAGTTGGGAAAAGGACACTTGGAGGGTGGTAGAGGGAGAACTCATTTACAGCGAGTGGCAGTGTAGCCATGTGGCTAGACACTTAGGTTCTGGACCCAGACTACCTGGATTCAAATTTCAAGTCCACGGTTTAGAAGCTATATGACCTTGGAGAGGTTACTTCATTTCTTAGTGCTTCAGTTTCTTCATCTGCAAAGTGGAAATAACAATAGTTTCTACCTAATAGGTTTATTGCAAAATTAAAGGAATCAATACATGTATTATGCCTAGAGCAGAGTCTAGTCTGCTTAGTGAATGCTACCTATTTATTATTATTCTGTAAGACATAACCTAGTGTGCCAACCAGATGCAAGATGCAGCAGAACTAAAACTGCATGTGTATTCTATTCTTTTCCTGATGAAAAATCCAATAGATTTACTCTTTTACTATGAAATGTGTGTGTATTGGCTGAAACGAGAAAGAAGATTCATAAAAGAGCTACTAAAATGAAGGTGGGAAGAGAGGGGCTTTCATATACAGAGTGAAAAGAGATTGGGTTCTGGCCTGGAAAAATGAGGACTGAGATGCACTATGTTGAGTTTTATGAAGGATAGGAATAGTATGAATAATAACTTGTTTATGGAATACTGGGAAATTAGAGCTGGCACGAAAGATGAATACTTTGAGGTGAATACTTGAACAGATGGTTACTTGACAGTGCCTGCACAGTGAGTGGTTCAGTTATGGTGCTTATTAGCTCAGAATTTTTGAGAGCAATCTGGAAAAAGGCTGTGGGTTAGATGATTCCTTAACTATTGAGGGCAGTTAGGGATGTTTGTGATGGAGCCCTAGTTTAGTTCAGTTCAGTATTTGTAAATAAATTATATCAATATAGTGCCTTAAAAAATGGTTTAAGCACTCTAATCATTCAATTCTCATGATAGTCATTGACTGAGCTTTGACTGTGGGCAAGACTCTGCTGGGAATCAAAAGATGAGAAAGATGGGTCGTGTTGAAGTTTCCAATCTGTATTGCACCCAGAAGCAAATTAAATTAATTTGAGGGCTTAATGTATTTCATTTGCTCTTACTTATATTTTGAGGCCAGAGAATTTTTAGTTATTTTATAAGAGTTCGGGATTGATATTGTGAAGGAGCTAAATAAATAAAAGTTCTCTTTTTGCTATTATTTTGTTTTCATAACTCTACCCAGGCTACACTCTAAAGTGAGTAGAAAAGTTTATTTTAAAATTTATTTTTATTTTTAGTGTAGTTGTTCATAAAAAGCAATTTTAGAGTTAGAATTTAATGTAGAGATTATCTTCTAAAGTTCCTCATTTTACAGATAAAGGAGATGAGCCCCTGAGAACTCAGGTGACATGCTCAAGGCAGCAAAGCTTGGATAGAAGCCCAGGTTCTAGTCTTCTGTGTTTTCTTTCCTATCCAGCTGCTTCCCCCAGGAGGATCAGGGTAATTGTAGTCCAGCTTATTTCTGTGTACACACAAGCTGAAATGTGTAATGTTTTATCTCATAGTGCCCAGAAGCAATTTACCATGAAGCCAGTGAAGATTCAGCTCAGGGCCTCTCACTTATAGGAGCTTTGGGGTGGGAAGAGGAAGCCAGGTTGCAATCAGCAAACATTTCTGTAAGCACGTCTGGTCAATGACCTAAAGAGATACTGTAAGAAATGGACTCAACCCTCCCCAAGACCCCAGTAATTTGTTGTGATCTTTTTCACATTCTAAAATAAAAGAAACTCGCTTTTGTACCTAATTTTGAATTTGTAATTTTGTATTTTTTTTTTTTTTTTTTAAGAAATGCCCTTCTCTTGCTTCAAGATTATATAAATTTCTGGCTCTGTGAAACATGGGTCAGCTTCTGATGTCCAAACATACAATCACCTGGGAATTTCATTTAAATATTTTAAATTTTATTTCTAAGTGCATTTTTATTAAAAAATTTGGGCTGGGCATGGTGGCTCACGCCTGTAATCTTAACAATTTGGGAGGCCGAGGTGGGTGGATCACTTGAGGTCAGAAGTTCAAGACCAGCCTGACCAACATGGTAAAACCCTGTCTCCACTAAAAATATAAATATATATATATATATATTAGCCAGGTGTGGTGGTGGGTGCCTATAATTCCAGCTACCGGGGAGGCTGAGACACGAGACTCGCTTGAACCCAGGAAGCAGAGGTTGCAGTGAGCCACGATTGCGCCACTGCACTCCAGCCTGCGCGACAGAGCAAGACTCCATGTCAAAAAAAAAAGAATACATTTAAATTACTTTTATTTTTATATTTAATTTTAACTTTTGTTATAGTAATAAAGAAAAAATTGTGTTAAAATGTTTTAAATAAAAATGGCAGCCCCTTGCCTCAGCCTTCCCTACCCCTTGATATTTTCTCCAGTTAACTGCTTTTAAATCTTTTGTGTTTTTCCTAATTTTACCTCTATATTATTTATTAATAACTTACTTTCTTAATTGATTAGTTTTAGACATTATATATTGGGTTGCTGTAATGGTAGGCAATAATTTAACTAATAAAGTGCAAACACCCCTTGTTTCTCGTCACATTTCCCCAAAATAGTTAAGTCACAATTTTTGCTTACCTTAGTCATCAGTATTTATATTATCATTGACTGTGTAAATATTATTCACAGCAGAAGCAATTATTAGCCTATGGCATCCTTTCTCATGTAACTTTTTGTTTGTCCTAGACTTCATAATTATCTTAGTTTCTTTTGCCTAATTTTCTGTGTATATGTCACTGCTTTTCCTTTTTTTTGTAAAACTTTTTGTTTTCCCCAGAGTTCATAATTGCTTTGATTTTCCTTCTGCTTCATTTTCTGTGTATTTAGCCAAATACATCATCAGAACTGCCAAACATCTATCATATCAATATTACTTTTGGAAATGGTCAAGCATATTGGATAATCTACCAATCCTCCCTCCTACCCTTTTTTCCCTAGAGACCTCCTCCTGCTCTAATATGGACTGATTTTTTTTCTAGTGTCTAAAAATTTCATCATAATAAGGCTTTGATGAGGATGTTTGGTAAGGATGACACTCAGCGGGCTCTTTCTAAATCGTAGGGAATTGTCTACACATTATATGTAATTTTACATAAGCAAAGTTTGAAAGTGTGTTTTAGGTATCTAATGTCATAGAAGGACTTCCTTCATTTTCTACTTGACTAGGTTTCCATAGTAGGGTGGAGATAATGCTCCTGATTCTGGATACAGATGGATAAAATACTATATCTGGATTCCTGAAATGCCTAGTGACTAAAAGTAGAATTTGCTAATACATAATTCTAATCCTATTTCTTGCCATATATATTAACCTTAGGGTCAGTCACCTGAATTTTGAATTCCAAATCTCAAATCCTATTTCTTGACATGTATATTAACCTTAGGGTCAGTCACCTGAATTTTGAATTCCAAATAATTACTAAGAATATATTTCCAGACAATTTCTTATTATCCTCATACTCATAGTGACACTTGCCACTGTAAAAACTAGTTTTAATATAGGTAAGTTAAACATAATTTTAAACAATATTTTTTAAACATGGCACAAAATTGTTTTACATATTAGTATTTATTAGTTGCATTAGAAGCTTTACCTAATAGTGGAGAATTAACTATACTAGTATCAGTAATAGCTTTTTATTTCAGTACTTTACATATGCAGAATATTTAGTTATTTTTTACTATGTACCTTCAGAGTAGGCCAATAACATTATTTTACTTTGCTGAAGTAGAAATTAAAGTCATTGAAATTCATGATTAAGTTTTCTTATGGGGACTTCTTGTTCTCAGATAATTCATCCCCCTGTAAAGGAGGATTAGTCTTTTCCTAGATAATCCACATGTAAACCATGGAAGACACTGATTTTTTGGGGAAGTAGACATTTTTTTTTCAGTGTGTTTCACTATATTTTAATCTCATTCCTTTTTGAGATTGTTGCAACTCAAATGTTATGGTATTCAGCTGAAGTCTTGTGGGACATGGCTCTCTACTTTCATTTGATTTTTAAAAATTTATTTCCTGAGAATATTGCTGAAAGAAAAAAAATGTTTTTAAATATTTAAGGTCTTGGTTGAAACACTTAGCCCTGGTAACCTTTACAAGCAGAGATTAAGTATGCATGATCAAATCATTCTCCCCAAATACACCGCCTCTGGAATGCCCCTGGCCTCTGCCTAGACCTGTAGCTTTGCAGCAACGACACATTGCAGGATGCACCACCCTTCACCCTTCCTTTTCTGTCTTCAGCAGTATTGTCCACTGATAGTTGTGGACAGACATGGGAGTGCTGAATCCCCAGAGGTAGGGGTAGTCTGCCTTGTATGCCAATTTTTTTCCCAGTAAGGAATTGGATGGTGGTGGGATTCATGCTGAGGGATGGGTGGGGTCAGAGAAACACCAACCAAAGATTTTGCCAGGATTATGACATTTCCCCTACAGTTTTGGATACTTTACAATGAATTATTTTTCTATTTTTATGTGTTGTGTAAGGGGTTACTTGCATTTATATTTGTATTACTGGATGCCTACCAAAAATAAATGTGTTTACTCAGTCAACTGACTATGTAATCTTTTGGTTTGTTTCATCAGTTAGAGTCCACATCATGTCTCTCTGAAGAACAGTTAAAGTGTCTTCTGGATGAATGCATACTTAAACAAAAATCCATCATTAAACTTTCTTCAGAAAGAAAAAAGGAAGACATTGAGGACGTAACACCTGTGTTCCCCCAGCTTTCCAGGTCCATCATCTCTAAATTGCTAAATGAATCAGAAACAAAGGTCCAGAAAACTGAGGTAGAAGATGCAGATATGCTTGAGAGTGAAGAATGTGAAGCTTCTAAAGGCTACTATCTCACTAAAGCCTTGACTGGACATAACATGTCAGAAGCTCTTGTCACTGAAGCAGAGAATATGAAATGCCTTCAATTTTCCAAGGACGTTATTATTAGTGACACAAAAGACTATTTTATGTCGAAGACTCTTGGCATTGGGAGACTGAAAAGGCCCTCCTTCTTAGATGATCCACTGTATGGTATCAGTGTGAGCCTTTCATCAGAAGACCAACATCTGAAACTCAGTTCTCCAGAGAATACAATAGCAGGTGAGGCTTGGCGAACATGTGTTTTGGTAAATAATTCTTAAAAGCACCTCAATATAAAGGTATTATGGTTTAAATTAGAGTCGGGTAAGAAGGTATGTTTGTAAGTCACAGGTAGCGTCAATAAGAGTATGCAAACATAAAACCTATTTCCCAATGCTCTTATGAAATCAAAGTTGAGGTTAGTACTCTATGAAATACGTTATTCTTGATGGTAATTAATTGTGTCATCCAGAAAATAATGTTGGTTTCACAGGAAAAGAGAAATTAGTTTGAATGGAGAGAAATACTTTGAATAGATTTGCTTAGTATTTCAACTTCAAACTTTAGTATTTTCAAACTTTAGTGATGAAAATTTGTTCTAAGGAATGAATTTAAAATGTAAAACTTGTAACTCATTGTGGTTATATTAGTTTCTGTATGCAAACCTCCTCTCCTGAGCCACTCCTATGTTCTCAGGTGTTTCGTCACGATCTAGTGTTTCATCTTGCAATGGTCATGGTACAGGATACAACAATAACTAGTTTTCGACACAAACAAATATTCAATTATTTATGTTAGAAATCTGTGTAACAATTGGTGAATCTATTTAAATAGATTCAATTTTTACCTCTATTGTAGATTACTCTAAAATATATTGGCTATTACATTTCTATCTATTAATCTATTCCTTATTAAATCTATAATCCATTAACTCTGAACTGAGTCAGATTTCGGTTTTGACTTCCATTTCCTTAGTCACCCAGGAGCAAAATCTGAGTCATCACTGAATTACTTCTCTTTCTTGCTTCCCACTTCCAGTGTTCAGGTGTTGTTTGTTCTATTCCTGCGGTGTCTCTCATGCCCATCCCTTCCTTTCTCTTCCTACAACTTCAACTGGACCAATGCCATAACCCTTCTCCCAGACCTCCCTGCCTCAAGTCTCTCTTCTCTTCCTACCATTGTTGACAACCACTAAACGAATTTCCTTAAAGCACAGCTTTGATAACCACACTTCCTTCTATGGCTCTCCAATGCCTGTTGATCAAAATCAGAATTCCTTAACTTGTTCAGTGTCTCCATGATCTGACCTGAAGTTCTTTTCCTAATCAATCTCTAAGTAGTCACCTAAATGTTATTCAGTGTGTAGCTAATCTGGTCTAATGATTTCGGTGATTTCCTAGCTTCTGCTGTTGTTCAGGCCCTCTTCTTCCCAGAAATGTTCAGGTACCCCTTCAATGGTATTTGAATTCCAACCTTATCCTCTCTGATTGTAGCCTTCCCTGGTCCCCTCTGTTAAGTTTTCTGTCTTCTGTGAATGTCCAAGCACTTTGGTTTCCTATAGGATCACATACACACTCACCTTCTCTTCCTTAAAACTGCATAACATTTTTAAAAACAGAGACTCTATCTTGCAATTCATTGTTACATTTTCCATGGTGTCTAAAGTGCTGCCTTAAGCCAAGTGCCTGTTTAATAAATAAAAGAATTTAAATGTATAACCAGTTTTAGAATAAAACACTGAAAATATGGTTCACATTTATTCTTTACATTACCAATGAAAGTAGGTAATGTTGCTTAAGAATTATGTAAGTCACACATTCTATATAAATATTTGGATTTTTTGTTTCTTACATGAAATTTCGCAAGCTGTAATTTTTAAATTAATATTTTTTAGATTGGCATAATTATATACATTTGTGGGGTAAAGTATGATGATTTGATGTATGTATACAATGTGAGATGAGTAAATTAAGCTAATTTACATTATCTATCACCTCACTTACCATTTTTTTGTGGTAAGACACTTGAAATTTACTCTTAGTTATTTTGAAACATACAATATGTGATTAATGACTGTAGTTACCCTGCTGTGCAATTCATCTCAAAATTTATTCTTCCTAAGTGAAAACTGGTACCCTTTAGCCAACAACTCTCCATTCCCTTTTTCCCCCTCTTCATCCCCCAGCCACTGGTAACTGCCATTCTACTCTCCACTTCCATGAGTTTGACTTTTTTTTTTTTTTTTTGTATTTTTAGTAGAGATGGAGTTTCACTGTGTTAGCCAGGATGGTCTTGATCTCACCTCTTGATCTGCCCACCTCGGCCTCCCAAAGTACTGGGATTACAGGCGTGAGCCACCACACCCAGTCTCTTTCATCTTTTGATAATAGTTGTTATAACAGGTGTGATGTAGCATCTCGTTTTGATTTTAATTTACATTTTCTTAATGATTAATGATGCTAAGTATTTTTTCATGAACCTGTTGGCCATTTTTATGTCTTCTTTTGGGAAATGTCTGTTCAGGTCTTTTGCCTATTTTTTAATTTTTTTTTTTTTTTTTGCTATTGAGTTGTTTGAGTTCCTTATATATTTTGGATATTAACCCCTTATCAGATGTGTAGTTTGAAAATATTTTCTCCTACTTCACAGATTGTCTCTTTACTTTGTTCATTGTTTTCTTTGCTGTGCAGACACTTTTTGGTTTGATATAATCACATTTGTCTATTTTTGCCTGTGCCTTCAAGGTCGTATTAAAAAAAAGTCACTGCTCAGACCAATGTCATGGAGCATTTCCCCTGTTTTATTCTAGTAGTTTTACAGTTTTGGGTCTTATATTTGTGTCTTTAATCCATTTTGAGTTGATTTTTATACATGGAGTGAGATAAGGATCAAATTTTATTATTCTGCATATGGATATTCAGTTTTCCCAACACCATTCCCCATTGTGCATTCTTGACATCTTTGTCAAAAATCAATTGACCATAAATGCATGAGTTTATTACTGGGCTTTCTGTCCTGTTCTGTTGATTGACTTATCTGTTTTTATGCCAGTAGCATGTTGTTGCAATTATAATTGTGTTATACTTTGAAATCAAGGAGTGTGATACCTCCAGCTTCTTTTTTGGTCAAGATTTCTTTGGCTATTCAGGGTCTATTGTGGTTCCATACAGATTTAAGGATTGTTTCTTTTATATTTCTGTGAAAATGACATTGGATTTTTGATAGGAATTGCATTAAATCTATAGATGACTTTGGATAGTGTGAACATTTTAACCATTAATTCTTTCAGTCCATGAATATGGTACATCTTCTTTTTTTTTTTTTTTTTTTGAGATGGAGTCTTGCCCTGTCACCCAGGCTGGAGTGCAATGGCATGATCTTGGCTCACTGCAACCTCCGCCTCCTGGGTTCAGGCGATTCTCCTGCCTCAGCCTCCCGAGTAGCCAAAATTACAGGTGCGTGCCACCACGCCCGGCTAATTTTTTCTATCTTTAGTAGAGACGAGATTTCACCATGTGGGCCAGGCTGGGAACATGGGACATCTTTTAATTGATTTGCTTTTTCTTCACTTTCTTTCATCAGTGTTCTATAGTTGTCAATATATAGTTCTTTCACCTCCTTGGTTAATTTTTTTTATTAGAGACAATTGTTAATGGGATTGTTTTCTTAATTTCCTATTTAGATAGTTTGTTCTTAATGTATAGAAATGCTCCTGATTTTTGTATGTTGATTTTATATCCTGTAACTTTACTGATTTTTTTTTGTCACTTCTGACAGTTTTTTGGTGGAGTCTTTAGCATTTTCTATATACAAGATCATGTCATCAGCAAAGAGAGATAGTTTCATTTCTTCATTTCCTATTAGGATGCCTTTTATTTGTTTTTCTTGCGTAACTCTGGCCAGGACATTAAGTACTATGTTGAAAAAAAGTGGTGAGAGTGGGCATCCTTGTGGAAAAGCTTTCTACTTTTCACCGTTGAGTATGATGTTAGTTACAGATTTATCTTATATGGCCTTTATTATGTACTTTACCTCTATACCTAATCTGTTGAGAATTTTTATCATGAAATGGTGTTGAATTTTGTCAAATGCTTTTTCTTCATCTATTGAGATTATCATATGGTTTTTATCCTTCATTTTATTAATGTGGTATATCCCACTTATTAATTTGCATATGCTGAACCATCCTTGCATACCAGGGATAAAGCCCATTTGATCATGTGAATGATTCTTTTAATTGCTTTTGAATTCGGTTTGCTAGTACTTTGTTGAGGATTTTCACATCTGTGTTTATCAGGGATATTGGCCTGCAATTTTTTTTTCTTGTGGTATTCTTCTCTGGCTTTGGTATCTGGGTAATGCTGGTCTTGTAAAATGAGTTCAGAAGGCTTTCTTCCACTTCAGTTTTTTGGAAGAGTTTGAGAAGCACTGGTATTAGTTCTTCTTTAAATGTTTGGTAGAATTCAGTAGTAAAGCCATCTGGCCCTGGGCCTTTTTTTGATAGGAGGCTTTTTATTACTGAGTCAACCTCCTTGCTCATTAGTGGTCTGTTCAGATTTTTGTTTCTTTATGATTCAGCCTTGGCAGGATGTATGTGTCCAGGAATCTGTTCACATCTAGGTTATCCAATAAAATATCT
Source organism: Homo sapiens (assembly GCF_000001405.40). Classification (NCBI taxonomy): domain Eukaryota; kingdom Metazoa; phylum Chordata; class Mammalia; order Primates; family Hominidae; genus Homo; species Homo sapiens. Next base: position 39,613,335 of record NC_000015.10, on the reverse strand, counting down.
AGGTTATTATATGTTGGCATATAATTTTACATAATTACCCTTTGTATTTCTTTGGTATCAGTTGTAATGTCTCCTCTTTCATTTCATTTTCGTTTTGTTTTAAATAAGCAGAAGTTTTGAGCTTAAAGACTTTAAAAAGTATTTGTTATTGCTTTCTAATCGCACAACAAATGTAAATTTGTTGAAGGCTATTTGAAACATACAGAAAAGTGTAGAAGATAAAATCATTGTCCAGACCTATTCATTGTTAATATTAACATTCATCTTTTTTCTAGTTGTGTATTTTAAATTGTCTTCATATTCTTCTTATAATATATTCTGATATTTTTTTCTTTTATATTTTGAGCATTCTGTGTTATTAAATATTCTTCTAAATCATTCATTATGATGGCTGCAATGTATCTTATGATGTATCATAATTTAAGCATTTCTTTATTTTTGGTCGTTTATATTAAGACTTTTTGTATAAGCTAAAACTATCATGAGACAAAAATATGGTCATAATCATTATCTTCCCATTACATGATGGTGTGATGAGTTCAGAGGATTTGATTTATTTGAGTTTTCTTTCTTTCTTTTCCTAGTTAGTCTAGCTAAGGGTTTGTCAATTTTGTTTATCTTTTCAAAAAGCCAATTCTTAGTTTTGTTGATTTTTTCTATTGTTGCTAGTCTCCATTTTGTTTATTTTGGCTCTAATATTTGTTATTTTCTTTCTTCTGCTAACTTTGGACTTAGTTGGTTCTTTTTCTAGTTTTTTGAGGTTTAACATTAGATTGTTTATTTGAGATTTTTTCTTTGATAATAAGCATTTATTGTTTTATATTTCCCACTTAGAACTGCTTTTGTCAGCATCCCATTAGTTTTGATATGTTGTGTTTCCATTTTTGTTTGTCTCAAAATATAGTTTGATTTCCTTTTTTCCCCCCTCTGACCTATTGTTTGTTTAGGAGCATGTTGTTTAATTTCCACATATTTGTGAATTCACCAAGATTTCTTGTTATAGATTTCTAGTTTCATGCCACTGTGATCAGAAAAGATACTTGATATGATTAAAATCCTCTTGAGTTCATTAAGACTTGTTTTGTGGCCTATCCTGGAGAATGTCCCATGTGTGCTTGAGAAGAATGTGTATTTTCTTGCTGTAGGGTGTGATGTTTTGTATATGAATGTGAGGTCCATTTGATTTAAAGTGTAATTCAAGTCCAATGTTTTCTTATTGATTTTCTGTCTAGATGATCTCTTCATCATTGAAAGTGGGGTATTGAGGTCCCCTACTCTTATACTATTGCAGTCTATCTCTCAGATCATGTAATAATTGCTTTATGTATTTAGGTGTTCCAGTGTTGGGTGTGTATATGTTTACAATTATGTCCTCTTAATGAAATGATCCCTTTATCATTATATAATGACCTTCTTTGTCTCTTTGTGTAGCTTTTGACTTAAAGTCTATTTTGTCTGATATAAGTATAGCTAACCCCTGCTCTCTTTTGGTTTTCATTTGCATGGAGTAACTTTTCCATCCCTTCACTTTGTCCATGTATTTTCTTACTAGTAAAGTGAGTCTCTCACAGGTAGCATATAGTTGGCCTTTTATTACTATTTTTTCAACCCATTCAGCCACTCTATGTGTTTTGACTAGCGACTTTAATCCATTTACATTCAAGGTAATTGCTGATAGGTAAGGACATGCTACTGCCATTTTGTAATTTGCTTCTGGTTGTTTTGTAGAGCTGTTGTTTCTTTCTTCCTCTCTTGCTACTTTCCTTTGTGGTTTGATAATTTTCTGTGATGGTATGCTTTGAATCTTTTCCTTTTATATTTTGTGCAACTATTACAGGTTTTTATTTGTGTTTACCATCAGGTTTATATAAAACATCTTGTACAGGCTGGGCATGGTTGTGCATACCTGTAGTCCCATCTACTTGGAAGGATGAAGTGGGAAGATCACTTCAGCCAAGGAGTTTGAGCCCTGCCTGGGCAATATAGCAAGACTCCATCTCCTTAAAAAATAAAAAAAAACAACAACAAAATATCTTATTATAACAGGCTATTTTAAGCTGATAACTTTTATCACATATAAAATCTCAATACTTTAACGCCCTCCCCCCGACAACTTTTATGATTTAGATGTAAATTTTACATCTTTTTGTAATTTGGATTCCTTTAACAATTTATTATAGCTGCATTTGTTTTTAATAGTTTTGTTTTTTAACTCTCATAATACAGAGAAAATTCCTTTACACATCATCCTTACAGTATTATTCTGAATATGACTATGTCTTACTTACACCATTTAGTGCTTTTTGCTTTTATAAGTTTTATGTATCAATTAGGAGCCTTTTATTTCAGCTTAGCTCCCTTTAGCATTTCCTGTTAGGCAGGCCTAGTGGTGATAAACTTACTTAGTTTTTGTTTGTTTGGGAAAGTTTTTATTTATCCCTTATTTCTGAGGAATAGCTTTGCTGAGTTAAGTATTCTTGGTTGCCAGTTTTGTTTTTCTTCTACACTTTGATTATATTATCCCACCCTTTTATGGCTTGCAGGGATTCTGCTGAGAAATCTGCTGGTTGCTGTTTTGGGACTCCCTTGAATATTATACATTCCTGATCTCTTACTGCTTTCAGGATTCTTTGTCTTTGTTTTATTTTAATTTTAATTTAATTTTATTTTAAGGCAGAGTCTTGCTCTGTCACCCAGACTAGACTGCAGTGGCATGATCCTGGCTCACTGCAGCCTCTGCCTCCTGGGTTCAAGCGATTCTCCTGCCTCAGCCTCCTGAGTAGCTGAGACTGCAGGCACGCACCACCATGCCCAGCAAATTTTTGTATTTTTAGCAGAGATGGGGTTTCACCATATTGGCCAGGCTGACATCGTGATCTGCCCGCCTCGACCTCCCAAAGTGCTGGGATTACAGGCATGAGCCACTGCGCCTGACCGTCTTTGTTTTTTAATAGTTTGATTATGATTTGTCTTGGTGCACTCATCTTTGGCTTGAATTTAATTGGAGATCTCTGAGCTTTCTATACCTGGATGTTGTCATATTTCCACAAATTTTGGAAACTTTCAGCCATATTTTCTTAAATATATTTTCTGGGCCTTTTTCTTTATCATATCTTTCTTAGAATTTTATTATAAGAAAGTTAGTTTTCTTGATGGTGTCCCATAGATTTATGTAGGCTTTCTTCATTCTTTTTTCATAGCTCTACATTTTTTTCAGGGTCCATTATTGGGGCTTTATTAGTTTCTTTTTGTTGTGTCACATTTCCCTGATTCTTTCTAAACCTTGTTGTCTACACATTTGAGGAAATGGCCACCTCTTTTGGCCTTGAAGGTTTTCTTTCACAGTGGTAGACCTTCACTAGTTAGTTTAGCATTTGATTATGGATAGGCCAGCTGGTAACAACCCCAGACAGGTACACCTTGCTGTTGGTGTTGCTGTTGGGCCAGCCTGCTGGCTGTTCTTTGAGGTCAAGTGGAACTTCTGGCTGTGCTCTGTGGTCTGATGAGACAGATCACTAGCTGGACTCCACAGTTAAGGTGGAGCTACTGGCTGGGCTCTGTAATAGCCTCTGATTGCACAGGGTTGCATGTTGTTTTCCCTGGCTGGGAAGTACTGCTGTTTTTAATCTGTAGCTGGGCAGGTCTGTGTGCTGGGCTCAGCGACTGGGTGAGGTTTCTGCTGTTGTGCTCAGCCATTCAGGATGGGCCAGGCTATCGTCTAGAGAAACACATGGATGCAGGCTTCCCTCAGGGAAGCCTTAAGCAAAGCACTGAGGCTTTGTGGGGTCACCATGCAGCTGCTGGGGTTGGGTGGGGCCAGGTACTTTTGTCCATAGATATTCATTCATTGACCTGCACTTGCCTCCTAGCCTGGCAAGCCTTAAGCAGAACATGAAGGCTTGGTAGGGTTAGGCTAGTTGGCTGCTGGGGTTGGGTGGGGCCCGTTGCTACCCTCCTTAGGTAATCACTGACCTGCCCTTGCTGCCTGGCCTGGGGAAGGCTTAAGGAGAGCACCAGAGCTAGGTGGGGAAGCTGGCTAGGGAATGAAGCCTGGCAGATCAGTTGACTATACTTCCTGCAGGACAGTGCTAATGCTGTTGGCCAGTTTCTCTGGTGGAGTGCCTCCATTGGCTAGAATGCAGAGCCACTGCAAGATCCATGTGCTCGTTTCTGTGAGTCTCACTTTTGTTCTTTGTTTCTGGCTGATCCTAGGTGGTCTAGCCCTGCCTGTACTCCCAGTGTTTCCCGGGAGATAATAATGAGTGGGCTTCCTGCTCAGGGTCCCAGAATGTTGGGGAAGCTGAATGTTTGCCTCTCTCTTTTCCCACTGTAGAAACTCTGGGCCCAGGGGAATCTTCTGTGTGTGGTGCTGTGCTGGCTTGAGGTGTGGCAGGGTTTGGGGGAGTGGTGATGTGGTCAAAGTGAAACCATTCCTCTATTCCACTTACCCCTTGAATGAGGCTTTTTTCAGTTATGTGGTCCAAGGGGGTGTCTCAGCTTTTCACGTTCAGGGAGTTCAGGAGTATTAATGAAGATATTCTTGTCTGTAAATAGTTGGTTGGATTTTTGTTGGGGGTATGGGAGCTGAGCAACACCCATTCTGCCATCTTCCTGAGTAGAACTTCCAGCTGTAATGTTTTTATTTAGCAGCAGAGTTCACTTACAAATGCAATTCAGTTAGATGGGTGTGGTTTGCTTTCTTCACACCAAAGATCTTCATTTAATAAATGAACTGTGAAAACTTTGTTCTACTCTGAAATTGAAGTATATTGTCCTTCTTTTTGGATAAAGTGTTTTTATTAGAAAGTATCTGAATCTCCTCTGACTTCTGAAATCAAACTTACAAAATTGGATGCAATCATTTCTTGTGTATGGGATCTCATTCCCATGGAGTCCATATATAGGGGGGTTTAGAAAAGTAATTTGCTAAGATATGACTTTATTTTTATGTGAACATGAGTCACACTGATGCATATCTGTCACTGGGTAGAGCATGACAAGATGGAATGAATTGGAACTTAATGTGACTTAATGGAAAGAAGCTATGGAGACATAGAACATGGCTCTGATTATACCAGATAATGTTAATATGCAATTATAACAATTAACCCTGTGACTATGATTAAGGTGTCTTAGGTGTGAATATGTGAACCATATTTTACTTTCTGTTTATTACATAATAAGCTCTAAGGAATAGGTCTTACATTATTACTTTGAGCATGTTAGAATATCTGAAGTTGGAGTTTTACTAACCTCATTATTTATAATTATTAAAATAGCTTGCTGATCAATTTTATTCTAAAATACTAAATTGTCCATTATGTGCTTTCTACAAAAGTGTGCATCAAAACTGAATGCTGTGTCAGTTTTCTTGACAAAAAGCCCTTTGAAGACATAACTAATGAGGAGTTGCTGCGTGTTTGGCTGTTACATTTCTGTTCTACCTCCTTCTCAGGAAATAGATACACAAGAGTGTGATTCGGATTAGATTTCTGGAAGCAGACAGGAAGAAAATAAGAAAAGCCATTTATTGTTTTCTCTTTCAATAGCAAGTATTACTGATACGTAGTTGTCTTTTCCTTGATGTGCTGAGGTCTGTTCCAACTATTTCAATTGTGCTTCTAAAAGGCAGAGTCAGATAAGGCTTCAAAACTAAAACCAAACTCAGTGACCTTGAAGACCAATTTAAATGGTGGTATTGAAAAATAAGGATTTGCCTATCAGTTGTATTAAAAATTTTCAATGTGAAACACATTATCAATGTTTGTGCTTTAAGCTTCATGGTAACCAGTATTATTTGAATTTTTGAATACAAGGTTCAGTAAATTCAGCATTGTACTCACTAGTTACTGGGGTTTTACGGGACAAATAACTAGCACTCTTCTCTTCCCCACCCAGGTCAGAACCGACTGAGAGAGAGATAGATTCTGACAAATGGAGATCAAGGAGGTTCGCTTTATTGCTAATGAAATGTAGAGGATTGTCATGATCCGGGTGGGCAGCCAGACAGGCTTCCAATGCTATGCCTTTAAAATAAACGTACTCACCCAGTCACTGGCAGAGATGGAAAATCTCAGGCATCATCTGTGGAGACCTGTCCATGTAAAACCAATAGGGTGGAGGAGCGAAGCATGGAGCCTTGGGGAGCAGGGTCAGGTGGGAGCTGGGTGCTGACTCCTGAGGAGGCAGGGGCTGAGCTGAGCATGCCATTTCATCTCCCAAACTTAGCTTCCCACGGACAGTGTGGAGGGTGTGAAGTGAGGCCAGGATGCTTCCACTGCAAGTTCCTCCTTGTGGGAGCATGAGGAGAGTGGGGATTAAGTGTTGTCAGGTCACACTTAACCTCAGAGACAATCCTGAATGTACTGGCACTTCCGAAGCAAAAAGGATCAGGTCTGTGAGTTAGTCTAGTATTTAATCAAATTATCTAATACTGAGTTGCTTTCTAGGTAATCAAAGCAAAAGCCACCTATGCTTGTATAGTATTCTCCCTTCCTACTAAGCATTTGAGCTAATTATTAACAGAAATTCATAAAATAAAGATGAACATGGTATTAGCAAATAACAAACATAGTAAAATAGGGCAAAAACGGACACAAAATCAGTTGTGCAGTAAAAAATGGGGACAGAACTGCACTAATTCTTTAAGAAAAACAAAGTGGAATTTCTCGTTGGACCTGTTGAGTGAACAGTATTCTTGAAAAATTGTATAAGTTAGCAGGGAGGAAGGGATAGGGAGTTATTGGTTAAAGGATACAAAATTATAGCTTTATAGGAGGAATAAGTTCTAATAGTCTATAGCACTGTAGGGTGACTATAGTCAACAATAATATATATTTTCAGATAGCTAGAAGAGAAGGTTTTGAATGTTCTTAACACAGAGAATTGATAAATGAGGTGATGGGTATGCAATTTACCTGATTTGACCACTAGACATTGTATGTATTAAAATATCACTGTGTATCCCATAGATATGTACAATTGTGTGTCAGTTTAAAAGCCTATAGTAAATGCAACAAGAGTCATGTAAGTTTTGTTTTCTTTTTAAAATAATACCCCTAAATGAAAACTATAGTGGCCAACTGTCTTGGATTGCTCAGAAGTGTCCTGGTTTTACCATTGAATGTTCCATGTTCCAGGAAATCCTCAGTCTCTAGCAAACTGGAATGGTTGGTCACTCTAAATTGAAACTGTGAACATAAAACCAAAGAGCAGATTAGTTACTCAAAGGACCAAATTAAGGGAGTCCAAGTAAGTAGCAGAATCCCAAGCTAGAACCTAGATTAGCAGAGGGAGGGTGGCCTACCACCCACCAGTGGGAAGTGGCCTAGTGGTTAGGAACATGGGTTCTGGGTAGGGAAGACCTGGGTTTGAATCCTTGCTCTGCTGCTAGATGGAGATCTTAGGTAAGTTAGTTAATTTCTCTCTCTCTCCTCTACACCTTGGTTTCCTTGTCTATCATATAAGATGGCTTAATACCCTGTAGGGTTGTAATGAGGATCAAATGAGAACATTCAAATAAAATGATTAGCTCTGGGACTGGACTTGGTTGGCTTACATGGCGTTTAACATTGAACATTGTCAGGAGATTTTTCCATAAAAGGCTAGATTTCTGACATTTCTGACAAATCAGCAAGTTCTACCACCACCCACGGGAGCTGAGTAGCAGATGCTCCCCTTAGAAGGCATGTGTATTCTCCAAGAGGACACAGCCCCCACCTAGCCCTCTCTACTTCATGGGCTTGGTCCTTTGGAGACATTGAATTTCCATTCCATGTTGTAAGTCTCCTCTGCTTGTAGTGCAATCCAACCACTGGGAGCTTGTTAGAGATGCAGGGCCCCTAAGGGCCCACCCACAACCTAAGGCATGAGAATTTTCATTTTAATAAGATCCCTGGTGATACTTCCCGGCAATAAAGTTTGAGAAGCCCTGTTACAAACTGCAGAGCATTATTCCTAACCACAGTGAGTATCAAGATCATCTGGGGAGTTTTTTGCTTGTTTGTTTTCTAGCTGTGTCCAAGGACCTATCCAGACTTGCTGAAATCAGAGTTCCTGGGATGGAATGTCCAGGCTGCTAAATTAATGCTAGGGACAGGATTTCACTGTGAACACTTGAGAACTATAGATTTCAGTTTAGATGAAAGAAAGCTAAGTATGTTATCTTATTGGGATCCTCAGATAAAAAAAAAGTTCTACTAATAATGACGACTATATAATCTGAATATACTTGAGGCTGAAATTTTGCCCATTGATTGTAACTTGCTGGATGAGGCCTGGTTGCCGGCAGATTGACTTTTGGTAAGGGTGTTGCAGTGGTTTGAAGTGGGTGTGTGTTGGTATATGTCCTTAGTCATACCACCTGAACAGTTTCAAGGGAACTAGATTGTTTGAGAAAATTTTCTTTGTTATAGTATAGTCTTACTGGTTTGCAGGAGAGCGGTGAGATTCTAGAAACAGTGACCCTATTAGCTGATCTTTTCCATTAAAAATATTTTGGATTGCTCTTAGGGAAGTCCTTAACTCATCATTGCCTTAATAGTTTTCTGTTTGTCTCAAACAGGGTGTGCCTTCAGACCTCATAGTTACTATTTGTTAAATTACTTTTCCAAGGCTACACGTTGCTTCTTCAATGCCCTTAGTGACTTAACCTCCCTTTGTCTAGTCAAACCAATGCTCTTCCAGAGTTTATTTGGTCAAAATATCAGAGATGCCATATTAGAAATTTCTAATGTGAATTCATTTTTTAATATAAAACCTTAGTGTATAGTAAGTTTATATTTGGTTAATTTACATCTTCAATTTACTTTCAACTAATTTTCTTTAATTCTTCTTGAGGTAGACTTTTCATATAAATATTTGCTGTTGATCATTTTCTCTATCATTTTAGCAGTATAAAATGAACAAAGGCATGCTTGAGAGTTTTGATATTTAATTGTAATGTCCTTATCACTTTATCAGTTATTGGAAACTTCTGGTTCTGTTGCTTCATTCAAATTGGGTAAAGTAAAAAGTTACTGAAGATCCGCTATTGTGACTGTAAACTAGGTCTATGGACTAGTGGTGTCAGCATCAACTGGAAGCTTGTTAGAAATGTAGAGTCTCAGCCGGGCACTGTGGCTCACGCCTGTAATCCCAGCACTTTGGGAGGCCCAGGCGGGCAGATCACCAGAGGTTGGGAGTTTGAGACAAGCCTAACCAACACGGAGAAACCCCATCTGTACTAAAAATACAAAATTAGCCGGGTATGGTGGTGCATGCCTATAATCCCAGCTACTTGGGAGGCTGAGGCAGGAGAATCGCTTGAACTCGGGAGGTGGAGGTTGCGGTGAACTGAGATCATGACATTGCACTCCAGCCTGGGCAACAACAACAACAAAAAGAAATGTAGAGTGCCAGGCCCACTGCAGACCTACTGAATCAGAGCCTGAATTTTAAGATACCCCGCAGGTGATTTGTGTGCATGTTACAGAGTGAGAAGCTCCGGACTAAATGGTTTACTACTTACTTCTACTTTAGGATTATCAAAAATAAATGGTGGTAGTGAAAATAATGTACAGAAAGTACCTTTTTTCCCATCTGCTGAATGTCTGCTTTTTTCTTCTTAAATTTCTTTTTAACGAAGATACTGCTGCATCCACATTGTCTTGTGATCTCTCCAGCCATCCATCTTGTCATTCTTTTGGGCAACCTTCCTCTTAGAGCAAGCATGCCCTGGGACCCTCCCTTGAGTTCTCTACTCTTTCTTCGTTAATATTTTGTTTGGAGACACATATAACCAGTATGGAACTATCTATGCTTTGCATACTTTTGATTGCCCAGTCTCTCTACTTCCGTCTGCCTTGAGCCGGCCTGGCATTTAAGCTATACTGAGTCTGTTCCTTAGCCAGTGCTGCCTCTTACCTCTGGCTGCATGTTAGAATCACCTGGTGAGATTTAAAACAGATTAGCAGCTTGGTTCCATCCCAGATGAATTAAGTCAATTTCTAGGGGTGGGTTCTGGCAGCAGTCATTTAAGTCAGTTTCTGAGATCAGGGTCTGGGTGATTCTGCTGTGCAGCCATGCTTTAAAACCCCAAGGCTCCATGCTATTCATTCATCATCCATCTGCCATCCATTCATTCATCGATTTACCCCACAAACATTTCATGAGATTCTCCTGTGTATTAGATGCTTTTCTAAGTTCCAAGAGTTTTTCACCTCAGCACTGTTAGCATTTTGAGTTGGACATTTGAAGGGCTGTCTTGTGCATTGTCGGGTGTTTAATGGAATCCCTGGCTTTTACTGACTTGATGTCAGTAGTGTCCTCTGCAGTTATGACAGACAAACATGTCTCCAGACATTGCAAAAAATGTTCTTTGGGGGCAAAATTTCCCCCAGTTGAGGACCGTTGTTCTAGGTATATTGATGAAAAATTTTTTGTTACTCAATCTAGTTCTATTGATGAAAATTTTTAAGTGCCTAAAGACAGACACTTAATTACAGTAGGGTGGGACAAACATAGTAAGAGCTTCAGGACAAAGTACATAGACAACACTATAGAGGGATGGGAGGTGGCATTTAAGTTGTGCCTCCAAGGATGAATGGTTATTTGCTGGGTGGGCAAAAAGAACACTCCATAGTGAGAGAATAGCACTTACGAAGGCGTGGAATTATGTCCCATCATCTCCCACCTCATGCATGGGGGTATTGTGATCCACTTTTCATTCATCCCACCTGCCTCTACATCCTGTTTAATATTTCTTCTCCATGTGTTGACAGTACCACTACATTTATCACTTTGCTCTGAAACTGCAAGTCATCTGCCCTTCATTACAAGGTTGAGTCTTTTTTTAATAAGAACTTTATTGAGATATAATTCATATATTTGTATTAGTTTCCTATGGTTGTCACAACAACTTACCATGACAGAAATTTATTCTCTCACAGTTTTGGAGGCCAGAAGTTTGAAATCAAGGTGTCACCAAGGCCACACGCCACCTGGAGGCCCTAGGAGAGAACGCTAGAACGCTTCCATGCTTCTTCCAGCTTCTCCTGGCTATGGGCATTCCTGGCTTTGTGGCCACGTCACTCCAGTCTCTGCCTCCGTCTTCACATTGCCTCCCTCCATCTGTGTGTGTTAATCTCCCTCTGTCTTTTTTGTATAACAACACTTCTTATTGAATATAGGGCCCACCCAGAGAATCCAGGATGATCTTCTTATCTCGAGAAGCTTAATTTAATTGCATCTAGAAAGACCCCTTTCACAGGTTGCAGGGATGAGGATGTGAGTTTTGGGGAGCCACTGTTCACCAGCTTCCTACAATTCATCCCATTAAAAGTGTGCAATTCAATTGTTTGTAGTATATTTACAGAGTTGTACCTCCATCACCACTATCAATTTTTTATTTTTTCCACCCCCGACAACGCAACATTTTGGGTATTAGTAATCACTTCCCATTTTCCCCAACCCCAGCCCTAGGCAATCACCAGTCTTTCTGTCTCTGTGAATTTGCCTAGTCTGAACATTTCATATAAATGGAATCATACGGCATATGGCCTTTTGTGACTGGCTTCTTACATTATGTCTTCAAGATTCATCCATGTTGTAGCATGTATCCATACTCCACTCTTTTCTATTGTTGAATAAGTCTCAATTATATGGATATATCACATTTTGCTTATCCATTCATCATTTGATGGACATTTGGGTTGTTTCCACTTTTTGGCTATTACATATAATGTTGATATGAACGCTTGTGTACAAGTTTTTGTATGGATGTATGCTTTCATTTCTCTTGGGCTTATACCTAGAAGTGGAATTGCCAGGTCTATGGTAACCTTCTCAGGAACTGCCAGACTGTTTCTAAAGCTACTGCACCATTTTCCATTCCTGCCAGTCGTGCATGAAGGTTCCAGTTTCTCCTGTTTCTCTTTGTCTTTTTAAAATTTAGTTCTATTGTCAATTCTGCATTTTCTGATAACCTTCTCACCAAGGGTAGAAAAATATTTCCATTCCTTTTCTGTTAATGTCACAATTTTTTTTCTCACTTCAAGAAATGAAAGGCGATCAGCTCTTATCTATTCTACATATAACATTTACTTTTGGTCTCACTGTACTTCCCAGAAACTTAGTAGAAAGCAAAATATTAACTTCTGTGTGTGTCTCCACATCCATAATCATTTTAGCTCCAAAACCTGTAGTGTTCTCCCTGAGCTGTAAGCTCAATGAGAGTAGGCGCCCTGATCTTTCTATTTTTCTCGTAAACTTTGTCTGCAGCTCGTGGTGACTGTTCAGTAAGTATTAAATGAGAGTGTGATTATTGCCTCATGTGTAAAGGGATTTAATATTTTATAGGCTGAGTTGTTTTTCTTAATTATGCATACATTTCTGAATCTCTAATAACTGTGGTTATTGTTTTTATGTGCAGATGAGCAGGAGACTAAAGATGCAGCAGAAGAATGTAAAGAACCCTAATCAAGGACTTGCTGGGTGTGCTTTTCAGAAAGTTGGTAATGAAGTTAAATTAAATTTCTTATTGAATTATTTGAATTCAATGAATGCACTGCAGAGACTATTCTTTATTGATTTTGACATTTGGAGTCGCTCTTTGTGGATTATATTTCCTTGATATTTTTGAGACTTGGGGTGTAATTGTTCAGTGGTTTTTGCTCATTAAAATTTCTGGGACCATTGTTTATAAATTTATTGCTAATCTTACAGTATTAGGATTCATTATAAAAACCAACATTTTAATGTATACGTGTTAGGGTAAAACTCGTTGAAGTGCTGTGATTGTCCTGTATTCAATTTTGTATGTTTCACCTCTACTGTGATTCAGACAGATCATGGTGGTCACTGGGAATTTTTGCTGTGGCCCTGCTTTTCCTTCTTCCCACTTGTCTCATGTCTGTGAAACTGGTACAACCTGCCATAAGATGAAATGAATTGTCTCAACAAAGCAATATTAGAAGAGCCTTTACTATCTTATTGGTGATGACACGTTTCTTAAGTAGGAGTTTGAGTGAATTATTTGATATATTACTTTGTTAATAATAGTTAACAATAGTTTCTTATTTTCTTTCAGAGTTTGGGCCTTTTAGATTGCATCAAATAAAGATGAGCTACTTTAAAAGACAGTCTGCGGTACTATTTGAAGAGAGATGGTTTAGTTACAAGTCAGTAACTTAGATTCATGAGAAAATTTTGTGTTGACATTCCATAAGATGAGTTGGCATTAGAATTGGAAGTCCAGTTTATTTCTGAATCAAAAAATGAGCGGGCTATTGTGCTGCCTTTAATAAAATTTGAGTGATGTATACATAACATTGTTTTTGCTGGCACATGTTCATCCACTGATACTGAATAACATTAATGATTGTTTATATGGAATTTCCTTGACTTTTTAAAATGAGGAATTCTATAGCTACTATTTTCAGAGGTATTGATAGGCAGTTTCTTTTTCCAGACACTATTTCAGTTTACTATTTGTTCATTTAAAATAGCAATTGTTCATGCTGATGTCAATGTGCTACGTATAATTTATCTTGATGCCAAGAGTTTTGCTGTGGGATGGAAGTATAAGTTAAAAGTTGTGATTTTAGATTCTCATAGGAATGCCATGAGGCACACTCTGTGTTTTAGGGTTTGGGTGGGAAGAATCAGAGGGCAAAGGTGATATGGGTGAGAATTTGTTGTGGGGCAGAGAGGGGCCAGTGTTGTCCGTCAGCGTTTCAGAGGAGTTCAGCTTTCTAAATCTATGCTTTTCTGGTATTTGATGTTTGTATGTATGAGAGAGAGAGAGAGAGAGAGAAAGAAGGAGGAGGGAGGGGAGGGGAGGGTAGGAAGGAAAAAGGGGAGGGAAGAGGGAGACAGAAAGAAACACAGAGTAAAATTATTTCTAGACTTGCACTGCAAAGGGCTTATGACTTTATAGTTTGCTTCTGCCAATGATATTTGGGACATAGTGAGCCTTTCTGTTATTTAGGTAAGGGGGAAGAAAATAGAGTTATTTTAAGTAATGAATTCTGCCATAAAAGAGGTGGGACCATTCACAGCATGTCAACTGAAGGTAACTCTAACAAGGACTGGTAACTAAGTCTGTAACGTAATTCAACAAAAAGCTTCCGGATTTTTTTTAAAAAGTCACCCTGATTTAGATAGAAAGTGTTATTAAAAATAGATGTTTTTATTTTGGATTTCCCTTTAGGGCTTAGTGTTTGTCCGGAACAAGGTGAAACCCCGTCTTTACTAAAAATACAGAATTAGCCAGGCTTGGTGGCGGGCGCTTGTAGTCCCAGCTACTTGGGAGGCTGAGGCAGGAGGGAGAATTGCTTGAACCGGGGAGGCAGAGGTTGCAGTGAGCCGAGATTGTGTCACTGCACTCCAGCCTGGGCGACAGAGCAAGACTTCATCTCAAAAATAAAAAGAAAAAGAAATTATAGAAGAGAGAGAGAGCCAATTTATTTAAGGAATGAATTCAGGAGCTTAATACTGGAGGCTTTTCTACATGTGACTCTTTAGAAAAAAAAAAACTGCTGGCACCACCTTTATTGTATGTACATTCTTATAAGACCTGGAGTTTATTGCTCTTCACTCGAGCTCTCCCACAACACATGACAATAAACTGTTGGAGGAGGAAAAAAGCTATCATCTCGATGACATAATTTTAATTTTTAACAAGTCCTTTATTTCAGTACAACCTGATTATTTGAAGGTCAGTCTTAGGGTGAAACTGGAACATGCCTGGAAGAAAAGCTCCTCTTTCCAGTCACTTTTTCTGTCTTATCTTGGTATTTTCAATCAGTTTTGCTTCACTATCCAAGAATGAATTAGAATTATCTCCCAGCACTTCAAACGTTGAACTCTTCTGATAATGAATGATGGTATTTAATTCTTTGCCATTTCAAAGAATTATTTCCTTCACATCAGTTTTCCTAACTCCACAGCTATTATCAACACTTTCTAGTTCCTGCTTCTTCACCTTGGTACTATAAAATGATTTGGCAATTTACATTTGTATGTGATCATGGCTACTCAGAAAGATGAGTATTTATAGAATGAGAGTGAAAATCAACAAGGAAGATTTTATCTCACCCAGCCAGTCCTTTCTAGTGTTTAATAGACCTCAAAGCCAGACCTTTAACCTACTCATAAAATTTCTTCTTTGATCTGTTTTCATTAAAACTGGAAATTAACTGGTCAGTATTCCACATTCATAATTAGCCCATCCAAAAATCAAGGTCTGCTTATTGGTACACTTGGGCCTTTTCTTCACATGATAATTTGTATTTAGACACACACGCATTTATGGATTCCTTCCAAATTTTACATTTTTTAGTCTTCTTTTTTGATTAAACTTATTATTCCTTCTTCAAGAGGAGGTATCTGTAATGCTTGGCTCAACATTGCAAGGACAGCTCCTCCCTCATCCACATTTACTTCCGAAGTGTCTCCACAACATGCAATCGTGTTGCCCACCCAAGGCATCATTCGTGGGTCAGAAAATGTCGCTGTGAGAGTTGCGTGTGCTTCAGTGTTTTTCCCTTTGTTTTCATACTGCACTTTGAAAAGGATTCAATGACATCTAATGACCTTAATAAGAAATTTTATTCTTATGGGGGCCCTTGACTTAGGGATAATTTCTCTTTTATATGTTTTTGATATGGCAGGCTAATGTATCATTTTGTTCTTTTATTCCACAAACGCAGCAAATTCTAAGCCTAGGCCTGAGCAACTCAGTCTTTCTCAATCACATACAAACTGTGAATGTTGCTATGACTTACTGTAATTTATTTTTGTATATGCTATATTGATTTATGAATGGTATTTACGCATATACTTCATGACATAAAGCCAGTAGAGAACAAATAAGCATGGATACAGTAAGTATAAATATAAATTTCCATATGATTTATTGTTGTTCCTTGTACATAAGAAACAGTAATATACAACTTACACTGCTTTAGAATGTAAAATGGATAAAAATGTGTACAAAAAAAAGCACATTCCTAGAAAAAGGTATTGGCAAATAGTAAAAATGGGAGGTCAAAAGCAAAAAAAAAAAAAAAAAAAAACAAAACAAAAAAAAGAAAAAACCAACAATTCTTCAATTCAGTGTGCAAACATTATATAAAAATAGAAATACTAACTCTACAGGCAGTATTTCCTGATAAATTATTTAAATAGCATATCTACACAATCTGAGATATCTATTCCAATGGCAATGAGAAAATAATTTATAAAAATAAAGCAATGGTATACCAGATGATAGAAAAAAAACATAACTTTCAGAAATTGTATTTAACATTTCAATGCTATTTCCTTATTGGGAATACTTCTCTGCAGAGTTTTTATGCTATGTACAACACTGACTTTTTAGGTACTACAGTAGCTTTAAGTTTGTTAGACACTTAAACTCTTTCCGCTTGATCCAAAAATTCTTTACTCAGTCACACAACAAATGAGGTAATATTTGTATGTAAGTTTCACCTTTTGTCATTTTTTTCTCTTTTGGAAAAATGAAAGAAAAAAGTGTATATGCTTTCCTTCTCCCTGGAAATATGCACAAGGGATGGGGTAAAACAGTATTGAAGACCTCATGGCTTTCTTTGCAATTTAAAACATTTGCAAATGGATAACCAACTAATTCCACTTGAAAAGATAAAACAGAGAAAAAAAGAATCCCATAACATCCACTCTGAGCACAAGGGGCAGAGCAGCTTATTAGACTGATTTTCCTTGTGCTGTTCTTGCAAGAGATTTGCTGATAAATGTCAACTACTTGCTCTCAAACACTTTCCGTATGAAGCCTAAATTTCCAGGCAGAACAGAGTTAATAAATAATCTGTATTTACAATCTTACAGTCACGAAGACTCTCAACAAAGATGACATGGATAGTCTTTACGCTTCTTCCTGTTCCATGAATAATCCTTCAGCCAGATCTTCCAGAATAAGTAAAAAATAAATATTTTACATCGTAAAGCATTTAAAAAAAATCTACATTCCAAAAGAGAGAATTAGAAAACTCCATGATAATTCAGGAAAAAAGAGAAAAGGAATGTTTTAGTTAGGTTGATAATAATTTTGTGCCATTGTAACCATAAAAATATAAGCACGGCTGCCCCTCCTTTGGGAGGCAGCTGGTGCTCACTGAGATGGTAGGTTTTCCTATTTTCCTGCTACATCTGCACAAGCTACATCTAGAATGAAGCCACCAATTTCAATGTGACCAGGCAATGGCAGCCAGCACTGCCTTACACTGGTTTGATTCTGATTCCCTAATTCTGGCCACTGCAGGTGATGAGTAAGGGTGGGGATCAGGGAGGAAGTCCAGAAGCCAGTCTTTGTCTCCCTTTCCTGCTTCTATTTAAGTGCCTATTTACATGGGTTAATCAGCTAACGCCAGTCAGCATCATGAAATCCAGCAATAGTCTTTCAATCCCCTGAAAATGACTTAGTACCGAACATGTAACAGTTCCTCCATATTTTCTTCATACAATCGTCTCGGGTATGCGCCCTCCCCTTAGTGCTTTGGCCTCTGCTCCCCGTGTTCCTGAAGGAGGATGTCAGGGTGGTTTTGTTTGCTAATTCTAGTGAGTCCTCCCTTCTCTGACATGCCTGAAAATGCTTTTGAGTCCACTGCTCAGAGATGGCCTCACAATAGCACCCTGCTCTGTGACAAAGGCAGAGTGGAATGGGCACCTTCCCAACTGAAGCAAGTAGATGCTTTTTCAAAAGGAAACCAAAGCAATTGTTTATATGCTTGGAAGATGTCTTATTCATTGGAGGCTGAATGCTGAGTCTGTTTTTGAAAACTGCATTTTCTTGAGGCAGGTCGCACGTTCTAGGAGTCCACACTGATGCAAGCACAGAAAAGAAGGAAGCCAAGGAGAAGTGATCCTGGGGGTTTTCTCAAGCCCATAGTTCCAGAAGGTGCAATACCAGCATTGGTTTATGATCAGTCTTTCAATCAACAATTTGATGATTAGGGATCTGTTAAATAAACAAATATAAATAAATATACAAATGAAAACTAATTCATAAAAGCATAGACATCTTAGTTAATAAGTTAACCACATAGGAATAGCTCTACTTTTCTAATGACAAAAGCCTAATTTTAAGGTTGTTCAAGCACATTAGCATTTAATTTTATTAGCTGACATTGATGCTAGGAGACCGACACAGCGTGAACCTTCCAGAACATATATTATGCTTTCCAAAGGCTTTCAATGTTAACAGTTTAGGGAGTCTTATTTTAAAAATTTGGACTCAAAAATTACATTAATAATTTAGATTTTTTTGAGTAAAATCAACCATCTTTCTCTACTGTCATTGATCTTTTAGGTATCTGGCCTTGGCCCAGTAAATATATATTAAGCACTTATTTTGTGGTAGAGCCAGTGTTGGACTCAGCGAGCTTAAGTAATGACTAAGTAAAAAAGAATGAGGAAAAAAAATGCTAAGTTTAATAGTGAACATTAATTTAACATGCCAATATGAAAGCAACATTCCTCTCCCTTCTTTGTATACAGGGAAAAGTTGGGAATGCTAACTCGTGCTGTGATGGCATGCATAAAACAATAAGCAGTAAGATATATAAATATATAATTGTAAAGAACAGTATTATTAATGAAGTCCAAATTATATAGGAGCTTTTCTGCAGCTTACCTTTGCACTGTGTATGAGGAGCACAGAGATTGCTAAGCAAACTAATATTATAGCTAAGGACTCAGGAACTCATAAGCCACAGTGCCTAGGCATTATTCCATTTTTGTCCTTGTGTCCTCAAAAGCAAAATAGAAATAACCCTGTCTCCAAAACAGTCTTTACACTGGACTCCCCCATAACCGTCATCCTTGATATTAGTCTGAAATAGAGATGTCCAGTGTACATTCATGGTGATGTTGCTCTTACCTCTACATTCGTATTTCAGGTCAGAGAAGAACACCATTTCTTGAGAGAAGACAAACAACCCTAGTCTACCACCAGCATAGGTTTTATCATAGATGGGTCCTGAGTCAGCCATGATTTTCTTCCCTTCATACATCACCACTCTGCAGGGAAAAAAAATCTTGTTTAGTGACAATGCTATTTAATACTTTTTGTCTTTTTGTCCCTCAGTGTGACTGTAAGTGAAAGTGAATCAGTATGATCGTACCTAATGAAACCCGTCTTTGGCCTGTGGCTGAGACGCCATCTGTAGGCGGTGAAATCTTTCCAGCCTATGTGACGAGGGTCATGCCACAGGGTGCGCACCTGAAGGAAAAGGAAAAGGAAAGGTTGAAACACAGCTCCTTCAGGTAAAGATTTCTATTTCATTCCATCAGAAACAATGCTTGAAAGGTACTGAGCTGATCTAAGTTAGAGGGCTGCAATGGGGAATTTTTCCAAGTCCTCTCATATTTGTTGTGTGCCACTGAGCACACATATAAAGCAGACAGAGAGGAGGGAAGGAGGTTTTTTTGTTTGAAAAGGCTGAAGGCACCTTAGGATTTGCAGGGCAATTCTTGGTCAAGCTCCCTTTTCAACACTATTATGTTTTTACAAAGCAGAGTTCAATGCTGCAGCTGGTGATGCTGGGAACTTTCTAAGACTCCCTGGTCAGAGTCTTGGTCAAAGCACAGCATCCCCAGTGCTAGTCAGGCACCCATAAGCTCTCTCTCTGTTCCAGGGCTTTGCTTCTTACCTGGCCAGGGGTGTTTCCTGTGTGCCACAGGGCGTTCCGCAGGTGCTCGCCAGGCCCTGTGGTGGAGTTTACAACTTTCACAGAAAGGCCCGAGTATCCCTGAGCCCTCGTGGGGTTGGTGTCCCAGTAGGACTGGGTGACTTGCTTCCACATCACAACATAAAAGCGGCTGCTGGACTGGTAGCCAAAGACAAATCCAGCATAGTCATCGTCCCTTTCGGTGTTGATGAAGAAGGTGCCACTGAAGTCCACAGCATTAAACTCATCATAACCTGGAAGAAGAGCCCAGAGCCAGGTTAAAACCTGCAGCCTTCAGAAGGTTCTCCATCATGTTCCTAGACATCCTCAGCACCCACAGGGATAGGTACAACTGCCAGGTTTTATATTTGTTTTTCCCCATGTATGCATCAGTCTCTTAGGATCTAAGAACTCGCTACTCACCTACAGCGAGTCCAGGATCACAGTTGACAGTCTGGACGAGTTCTTTACCCTGATGGCGTACAACCCAGTTAGGGTCATTTTGGGATGTCCCTTTGGGGTCCAGAGGAATCATCTGGAATCGGCGGAAATCGGTCTCACTGATGTCAACATTCTCAGGACAGATGTCATCGATGTCTGGCACACTGTCATGGTCAAAATCATCTTTGCAGGCATCACCTCGACCATCGCCTGAGGTCAAAAAAGCAAGAGTTCAGCAAAATTCTAAAGTGCTATTATTATTACTGGTGTCAGAAATGTCACTATCTTGTCTAAGTTGGCATTTGGTCCCTTCATCCTGTCAAATGCTTTGAGCCTTGGTTTCATTTCTTCAATCTACACAGCTGTGCCAGCAGTCCCTGTCTTAGAAAGTGGCTCCCATGACTCACCGTCAGAGTCCTTCTGGTCGGGATTGGGCACGAGTCTGCAGTTGTCCTTGTCATCAGGAATGCCATCGTTGTCATCATCGTGGTCACAGGCATCTCCCTTGCCATCTTTGTCATGGTCAGCCTGGTTGGCATTGGGCACATAGGGACAGTTGTCCAGATTGTTCTGGTGGCCATCTTCATCAATATCCTGATTGTTGTCACAGGTATCTCCAATGCGGTCTGAGTCAGAGTCCAGCTGAAAGAGAGATGTAAATGGAGGGTAAATTGCAGTATAAACCATTCATGTTAAAGATAACTTATGCCCCCACCACAGGGAAAATTCTCCATTGTTTGATACAGCCAGTGGGGTGTCATGTCTATTTACACACTCCTGCAGAAAGATAGCAATAGTAGCAATTACATTTTAAAAGTTTTTTTCCTTTATCTTTGTTTTCGTATAAAAATCTGAGAAGGGATAATTTAAAAATGTTTTACATATAAAACTTTCTAAATAAGGTCAAATAGAGTGATATTTAATTACTAAAGATGAAATGAAATGTTAACTGTTTACATCTTAATGTTAAATGAAATTTTCTGGATACTTTATAACAGAGAATTTCCTTAGAAGGTTTCAGTTGTAAAACTGTTGACACGTCGACTTCTCTGAAAAGTCCTGAAAAGATGGAAACAGACCACTGGTCCCTGTGTTGTATACTGTCTGGGTAATGTTTATGACAGGGATAAATTACTTTGGTTTTGGATGTATCCTTAGTTTGATGATTTTCTTATAGCTAGATTACATCATTAGCCATGAAAATGGTTATTTTGCTTATGCACATTTATTTTTCCATCTCTTAGTATTACATATGATTAATATTATTGTACAGTTGTCAGTCACAGATGTCTGCTTTGTATAATTTGTCTTAACAATGGTAGACGATGCTGAGCAAGTCCAGTAGCCCTTCTTACAGAAGGTAAGACTGAAGTTACCAGATCTTCATGCTAAAGATCTGTGAGACTCTGTGCAAGGAGCTCACATCAGGCAAATTATTTACATGAACGTATTCCAGTTGGCTATGAGAAGCCAGGGAGCCACAGTAATGAAAGTGTTTGAACTTTGTTAAGCTCATTTTTCAAAGGCCATGAAAGGGATATTCCAACAGTTTACTGAAAGACTCTGAAAGGAGTCCATCCACCTACCTGATCCGGATTGTGTTCCAAGGGGCAATTGTCACACTGATCTCCAACCCCATCCATATCAGTGTCTCTCTGGTCCACATTGTAGACGTACTGGCAGTTGTCCCGTTCATTGAGGATACCTGAAGAGAACAAGGGACAAATAAGAGCTGGGCTCTCCAGCCTTGGATGTTTCCACCAAAGTGCATACTAATAGCCAGGACTAGACAGAAGTACGTTTGGAAAGCTGTGCATGTCCCTGTCTCCCGCGGGCCCTCTGATCAGGCAGCACCTTACCGTCTCCATCAATGTCTGCAGCACAGGCGTCTCCTTCCCCATTGTTGTCTGTGTCTGCCTGATCTGGGTTGTGGTTGTAGGGACAGTTGTCACAGCGGTCTCCCACATCATCTCTGTCATAGTCATACTGAGCTGGGTTGTAATGGAATGGACAGTTGTCCTGCAAAGAGAAGAAATGGAGCACTTAACAATGTTGTCCTTGAAAACAGCTCAAGCCTCAAACCATGTGCATAATATGTCTAAAACTGTGAAAATCAGCAATACTTTCTACCTAGTGGATAGGCTAATTGATCACTCAGTGTAAAACGATCACTACAAAAGTTAAAAGGACATAGTTAAAAAAATGGATCCCTGTGGGTTAGAAGTTAGTGAGATGTAGAATATAATCCCATCATCTCAGTTCATAGTGTGCCCAAAGTCAATTTTACTGTAATTTCGATGTGACATTTGAAATGAATCTAGGGAACAAAGTGGCATTTGTTTATGCATTATAATTTCTCAAGTACAGAGAAAAACAGTTCTGATGAAAAACAAAACCCTCATTTAAAAATTCTCTTGGCAACATCTACATCCTTAAACTACTGGAACACAATGAATAATTTCTAATTATCCTGTGTATTGATTTGGTATATTTTTTGCTATAGCCATGTAATTTCCTTGAATCCCAAAGTGTTTCAGGCTGTTGCTGAACTGAAAAGATGAAAAAGGGATAGAAAACTGTTTTTACCCTGTCATCTGGAATTTTATCATTGTCATCGTCATCATCACAGGCATCACCAATTCCATCCTTGTCATAGTCTTCCTGCCCTGAGTTGGGAAGGTTGGGGCAATTATCCTAGGAAAGAGAAGATATATATCACTGCTTCAGTTGCCTTCCTCATGCTGAGCTCATGCACGAGGGAGTGTACCTGGAATTCCAAATAGAAAAAGAACAGAATTTGGCTCAGTAACAGCATATTTTTTTTATGGGAAGACAAGAAAATAAAACTTTTCTTGGGGGATATACATACAGAATTTGTGTAAATGCTCTAGGCTTTATAGATGTTGTGAACACAAGTCATGCTTTGCTGGTATTTGGATAGAGTACTGAACTTTTTTTTGGACAGAAGAGTTGACTATGGAACACAGTTGCCCAAAAAGAGCTAGCCCTGTTCATGTTTTTGGCACCAAGTGATTTAATTTTAATAGGAATTAGTGCCCCTCTCCCTTTGGGAGATTTAATCTTTCAGTTTCATGTCCAAACTTTAAGTATTTAAAATTCCTTAGCCTGTGTTTTGATAAGGTGATGGGCCCTCTTTCTGGAGGCACACAAAGGACCTGGCTCTACCTTTTTGCAGTGGTAAGTCGCATTGGCCACGCACACCAGGTTCTCATTGGGCCAGCCATCCAGGTCTGTGTCCTCCCCGCAGATGATGCCATTGCCAGCGTAGCCAGGCTTGCACTCGCAGCGGTACATGGGGTCGCTATAGTGGCCCAGGTAGTTGCACTTGGCGTTCTTGTTGCAGTCGTGGGTCCCATCCGTGCAGGGGTTACGGGGCTTGCACACCTGAGGGTACACCATGCTGCTGTTACACAGAGCTTTTGAGAATCCTCAGATATCATGGAAACAAGAATCCAGATCCCTGTCATCTCTGAGTAGACAGAGGCTCCATTTGGAAGAGTGTGGGTTACCTCTGTCCCTCCCCATTCTCCCTGAGGCTATAAGCAAACTTTGCTTTATGTTTATTTTTCTTGAATTTGCTCAGCACCTAGGCGTTTACAAGTCCATCTGCTCACAACTTATTCCAGAGCAGCATTTTTAAATATGGAAGACTGTTTTTCCCCTGCAGGATTTACCATGGATTTTCTAATCACGTTTCTAAAACTAGACCGTACATTCATCTCCTCGCCCTTTTTTTTTTGGTGAAGGGTATGAAATTACATTCCTCCCGCTCCCAGTTATTTTGGTCAAGGACAGCTCTCCTGTCCTCTGGTTTACTCGTCTAGTTGACTGTACCTGTTTGTTGGCCGTGGCATGTTCGACACCCTGGCCGAAGGGCTGTGAGCCGGTGAAGCGTGGGGGGCAGGGCAGGCAGTTGTAGCCGGGGTCCGTGTTCTCACACCGGTGCTCTCCATTGTGGTTGAAGCAGGCATCAGGCACTTCTTTGCACTATGGAGGAAATAAGAGCGTGCATCATGTTTAGAAGTCACTGCCATAAGGAAGCGACTGCACAGGTTAGCTGCTTTCCTAGATCCAGAAACTCGGAGCCCCATCAGTTCCTCACCTCATCAACATCTGTGCACTGGATGCCATTTCCACTGTAACCAGGGGGACAAGCACCACATTTCCAGCTGCCATCAGGGTAGCTAGTACACTTCACGCCGGCAAAGCAGGGATTGGACAGGCATCCATCTGAGACAAGGAGAGAGAGACAGTCACAGTAAATGGTTGGTCTAAGCTGCCATACTGCCATGCTGGGCACTTAACACAGTGTAAGATATTATAGGGTATAGGGAACCGATAACTTGTTGGGATTATGTTGTCCACCTGCATCTTAGAGCAATCAAATCGCTCAGGACTAACCAAGCTGGAATCTCCTCGAATGCTGACTGCAGCATTCAGTAAAAGAGCAAAGCTCCTGGGTCGTTTCATCCTGGGCTGCGTGGCTCACCAATTGGACAGTCCTGCTTGTTGCAGATCTGGTTTTCTGTTACATCACCAACGCAGTCCTTGCCTCCAAACTGGGGTGTGGGGTTGTTGCAGAGACGACTACGTTTCTGTACCCCTCCTCCACAGGTGACAGAACAGATGTCCCATGGTGACCAAGGACCCCAGCCTCCATTGACTGTAAGAAGATGAACCACAGGCAACAATTAAGATCAACTTTCAAATCCCTCCCTTGTCATAGACTCTCCTAAGCCCGTTCAAGAAACCTCTGCTTCTCTGACACATGGAAAGAATGCTGGGGAAGAGGGTGAGTTTGTTTTTCATTAAAAGAAGTTGCTGAGCCTGCAGGACTTTGCTTCTGTTTGTTTCTCTAGTAGGTAACCTTCCTGCTCTATGACCCACTGAACTGCAGGCTGCAGATGCCAGGCAACCAGCTGGGCAGAGCTGCTGCCCATGCTCACCCTTGCAGCGGACCTCACACTTACTGGGGCAGGCGTCTTTCTTGCAGGCTTTGGTCTCCCGCGCTTCGCCTTCACAGGGTTTCCCGTTCATCTGGGGGCTGGGAGAGTTGCAGAGCCGGATCCTTGTGATCACACCATCACCACATGTCACAGAACAAGATGACCACGGGGACCAGTGGCTCCAGCCACCATCCTGTTTAACTAAAGTACAGAGTTGATGGTCACAAATGGTTTTGGCTTAGAGACAGCCAAATAGAGGCTCCCATCAGGAGCACGCAGAAGTATTTCCAGGAAATGGTCAATGGCAACTAAACCCAGTGTACGGTAGAAATTGGCTCCTGGCCACATGCCCAAATGTCAACATGGAATGTTTTCTACCAGAGAACGGATAAGTTCGCTGTTTTTATGGGTTGCTGTTAATATCCTAACATTTACAGGGTGCTTACCATAAACCAAAACTCAGTGCTAACTGCTTTACATGCAGTATCTAAATAAAATGCTCAAGATAAACTTATCAAGAACTATTATTATCTCCAAGTTGCAAATGAGGAAAGAGCCTCAGAGAGGGTAAGTTGTGTTCAAGGGTGCACAGCTAAGCAGTGGGATTGGGATCCAGAGATCCTAGAACCCGTGTTCTTAATATACATGCTGTGGAGCTGCCCTTGGTGACGACAACAAGGACAGGTCAGTTCTCCACGTCCCTGAGAGGCTAAGATGCTTACATCTCTTGTCACACTCCTGAATGTGGCAGGTCCGTGTCTGGACCGAGGAGCCCTCACATCGGTTGTTGAGGCTATCGCAGGAGCGGCCGCGCTGCTGAATTCCATTGCCACAGCTCGTAGAACAGGAGGTCCACTCGGACCATGGAGACCAGCCATCGTCCGCAGAGTCGCTGGCTGCAGGGGAAACAGAGGTTCATCAGGTACGTGATGATTAGGACAAGCTGTTCTTTAGAGGGCTCTGTTCAGGGCCCTCCACTTGCCAGAGGGTGAAAAGCAATATATTTATTTCTTTTTGGCTTTACTGAGGTATAATTGACAAATATTATATACATTTAAGGTGTATAATGTGATGTTTTGATATACACATATATTGTGATTACCACCGTCAAGCTAATTAACACATCTCCATCATCTTACAGTTACTTTTTTTGGTGATGACTTAAGATCTACTCTCTTAGCAAATTTTAAGCATACAATCCAGTATTATTAACTATGGTCACCATGGTGTACATGAGCTCTCTAGAACATAATATGAGCCGGCACAAAGTTGCAGTTATACAGGATGAAAAGCAACATATTTCTTAGGCCAACGGCCCAGGGGTTTATCCCAGGTCATGATGTGTACAGCAGTGGGGTAATCGGATGCTTTGCCTGGCTCAGTACAGCTGAGCCTTCCCACAGTGTATGCTCTCCTATTCATTGATTTTCTTTCTCCTCTCAGCATTGCAAATGAGTTTTCCTTTACTGACTTAACATATCTGGGTAGGCATTTCCAGTCTCAGACTTCCAAGAATGCGCGAGTATGAGGAAGCTTATAGGAGTCATTTCTGTCAGGGGAGCCATACACCATGTGTTTGACAGATGAGTGTGAAGGCAGCCGAGCTGTTGTTGGTTCTGGCTCCAACTCGGCCGTGAGTTAGTCAGTTTGTTGTTCCTCTCACCCCAGCGTTTGGGGCCTTCTCTGCACATATTGTCATAAGAGGACAGCATGTTTGTTTACCATCTGCCCAGGCACCACGGCTACAATCACATCTAGCTGTATCAGACAGAAGACAAAGAACTTACTTTCTGTGGTCATTAGTTGTAAGTTTTCTTAGCAATCCCTGATTCAAGTTCAAAACTTTGCTACCTCCAGCTAGCTTTGTTCCTTTTAACGCACATGTTAAGTGAATGCGGAACAGAAAATAAATGTAAAAACGACCATTACAGTGCCAATATCGCTAATATGATCCCTGGATGGAATTGGTTATTCTGAGCTGTGACAAGGGTGTGTTTGTGTGTGTGTGCATGTGTGTTTCTGTGTGTGTGAAGGGCAAGTGCTGTTTTCCTGTTTTCTTCCTTATCTTAGTTGTAATGAATCACTTTTATAACTTGTACCTGCTACACTAAGTATTGTCTCAGCAAAGTCATTCATTTTACTGGTAACAAAAGCCAGGGATAACGTGCCATGGAACGATATCGTGCCTTATTTCTTTTGGTGCTCTAGAGCTCAGATTGCTGCTATTCTCTTAGGCCCTCTTATCCCTACAGATGAAAGGGGCAAAACTTCCAGGCCCGATCAGGCCAATGCTTACACAGTAAGCCTGTCAATATCTCTGGTGAGCAGATTTTTCTTAACTCTGTGCCACTAAGGTCAAATTCTAAAAGCAGTCAACTTAGAGCTGTTGCTGCCACGTCTTCATCTCTTTTCCTCAAAGCAAAAAATCAGAATTAATGAGCTATACCAAGATCTTCACTGCCATTACTGCAATCCAGATGGGTAATTACGATGTACTCATAATGGAGTTTTGGCTCTGTACAGCAGATAAGCTGTCAGTTAACCAGCTGCTGCAGCAAGAAACTGAATGGAAGCATGATGGAGATGGGGGTGGGGTTCCAGTGTTGTGCTCGGCTGTCTAGGATGTATGTAGAACTGACCTAGTCACTGAAGAATAGCTATGCCATTTGAGAAACTTACGCCAACAGCGAGGACAGCATTCTCCATCAGGAACTGTGGCATTGGAGCAGGGCATGATGGGGCAGGACACCTTTTTGCAGATGGTAACTGAGTTCTGCAGGGCAAGAGAGTGAGAGGGGAACAGGCTGCTGAGCATGTTGCATACAGAAGTCTACATCCTGTAACATTTCCTTTACAAGCCAAAACATGGTCAGGGCTGTCAATGCTCTAGTGGAATGATTTTCATAGATCTGTCTCTGTCATATTTGCAGCCACCACTATCGTAGAGACAGTTCTAGTGCTAGTTTACGTGTCACTCCATTCCTTGGAAAGTTCTTTTTAATTGCTACTTAGTCAAGGGTGGAAGTTACAGTACAAAGAATTTATAGCAGAGGAACCAACAAACATCATGGGTCAAATCTATGTCTGAAATCAAACTCAGAAAATTCAGCCAGGACTTTTACATTTTTATATTATGTGTTTGGGGGGAGGAAGGAAGATCTATAAGCACTTTTTCCTCATCTATAGATCTGTGATCTGTCTTTATATTGGAAAAGAAAGGGAATTTAATGAAGTTGGTTCCCACAGCCAGTCATCTGTGATTTGTATTTAAGCAAATTCAAATACTTTGCTATTAATAGATAAGCCAGGTGAACCTCCAAACTCACTGGCCACTGGCATGCGGGGATGCTAGAGTGAATCACACACCTGGCAGTGCCATCTGAGCAAAGCAGACAGTAACATCCTAACAGTGTCAGACTAAGTGATTTGAAAAACAATTGCTACTGTACTAAAAGAACCTATGCCAAAGCTGAATATAAATCAGGGTTGGGAAAAAAAAATGAATGTTCCAACCAGGTTTTATTTACCTGACATTCAACACTTAGTCTTTGAACTAAGGTAGGTAAATTATTCAGATGTCTTAGTAGATTCATTCTCTTAGATACTTAGCCTGGGGTATAATTAATACTTTGATAAACCATCTGAGAGTTTAAAGAAGAACTTATAGATGCCATAATTGCATCTTAAAGAAAAAAAAAACACTTTGTTATCAGGCCATGGAACATAAAAAGAATCTCTGTGGCGATTAGGGTATTTCCCCAAAGATGTAGGTTCAAACAAAAGCCGTCGATTCTTATTCTGGCTGGTGAAGGTCCCTTACCTGACAGTGACACTCAGTGCAGCTATCAACAGTCCATTCCTCGTTATTTCTGTACTGAACTCCGTTGTGATAGCATAGGGGAGGCCGCCTCAGCTCATTGGCCAACTCTTTGTTCTCTTCAGTCTAAATGGGAGAGAATATCATTAGTGTCCCCCCGCATTTTCAGTCATTTGGGACCATCTGCGATAAACCTTCCAGGGTTCATGCTAACGGGCTGGGTGCAGAGGCCACTGACCACTTTGCGGATGCTGTCCTGCAGCGTGGTCACAATGGTGCGCAGGCCCCTGAGTTCCAGGACCATGCTGGACAGCTCATCACAGGAGATGCCGCAGATGGCTTGCAAGTCCTTTGTCTTGTGGCCAATGTAGTTAGTGCGGATGGCAGGGCTGGAACCATTCACCACGTTGTTGTCAAGGGTGAGGAGGACACTGGTAGCTGGCAAGAAACAAAATGAAAACTTCAAATAGATACTCTTACCAACCAGCCTCTTGAGTTCTTAGTGGTAGAAGACGTTTCATTTGGTGTGAAGGATGCAGGTAGAGGGGTTGCGTGTATGCGCACGTGTGTATACGTGTGTGTGTATAATACCCCTTGGAGTCACTTCTGTATGCCTCTTGATGATCTCACTGGGGGTAATTTATGTATAACCACTATTGCTAAATTCCTCAGTTTGTTTTTGGTGGAATTCCCCCTGATTCCCTATGTGCCCTAAAAATAGAGGGGTACTCACAGCTGGAGCAGCCTTTGTTCCTGAGGATGTCTTCTGGTGTGGTTCCAAAGACAAACCTCACATTCTGCAGCACCCCCTGTGGGCAGAGGACACACATTACTTGTAGAATGCAGAGCGGGGTGGGGATGGGGTTGGGGGAGACTGTCTGTATGCTAGGAAAAGCATACAATAGATGTTCTAAAAGCTTCAAAGAGCTGTCTTAAGATCACTATGTCAAAATAACACAGCAACATTAATCGCCAAACAACTTCAAAATCTTAATTGTGACTTCTGCCAAGTCTTGAGTATTTTACAAAGAATTCAGTTATCAGCCTACTTGGGTACACAGGAAATGGAATCTGATCCTAAGCCTAGAGGATATAATGACACTTTCCAGTGTCAAAGAGTTAAATGTGGGAGTTCAAAGCCACCGTTGCAAAGATCTAGAAGTTAAGGCACAGATGAAGCTGTAACAGCAACAACTAACTGCTATTTTAACCTTTTATGTGAGACCAGCTGCATCCCCATGAGGAATCCAATAGCAAAGTGGTACTGATTCTGCCCATAGAAAGTATCCATTTCAAACAAGATTAAAATTGGGGGAATGCATTTGAAATAAGCTCTTTTCTTAAGAGCCTAAGGAGTATC
Organism: Homo sapiens; assembly: GCF_000001405.40. NCBI lineage: Eukaryota > Metazoa > Chordata > Mammalia > Primates > Hominidae > Homo > Homo sapiens. Next base: position 39,583,065 of record NC_000015.10, on the reverse strand, counting down.
TAAGGCTTGAACAGGCTGACTGCTAAAGGAAAACCATTTCTTGTTTCCTTGAGTAGTTTTCAAAGTGTGCTTCCCAGACCACCGGCATCAGCATCACCTGGTACTTGTTAGAGTTGCAGTTTTACAGAATCCCAGACTCTGGGGCTGGGGTGCAGCAGGGTGAGCTTTCACAAGCCCTCCAGGTGATGCTCATGCTGCCTAAAATCTGAGAACTGCTGCGTTAGTTTACAGACAGGATTTCCTGTAGCCCTCCTGGCAGGTCACCTGTCTAGCAGATGATCCCACGGAGCAGGGCTCAGAGAAGAAGCCTCACCTGGAAATTGTCATTGACGCCCCCCTTTGCGATGCGGAGTCTGGCGATGCTGGCCAGGTCTCTGGTGAAGACGCTTTGGATGGGGACGTCCAACTCAGCATTCTCCATCTTTTCACAGTCGATGTACAGCTGGGCCCTGTCTTCCTGCACAAACAGGGTGATGCTCTTCCACTGGCCGGTTGCCAGGAGAGCTTCTTCCACAGACACCACGTGCTGCTTTCCTTGGACGGTCAGGCTGAGGTCCAGGGTGCCCGCCTTGCCATTGGACACCACGCTGAAGACCTGGCCAGAGTGGTCTTTCCGCTCCAGGGCCAGCAGCGTGCCCCGGGTCTTCTTCATCTGCCTCAGGGATGCCAGAAGGAGGAAACCCTTTTCTGCCCGCACAGCATCCACCAGGTCTTGGAACTTGTCATCAGGCACAGGGGGGATCAGGTTGGCATCCTCGATGCGGAAAGCTGGGCTGGAAGGGTCGGGGCCCTTCACCAGTCGGCGCCCAGACCCCTTGCGGGCGGCCCCGGTGAGTTCAAAGATGTCAAACACGCTGTTGTCTCCGCCAGACTCTGTTAGACAGGAGAGAACACAAAGTGAGCTTTCTAGGCTGGGACCAGCAGTAGGGGGCTGAGTCCTTAGGGGTGGAGACAAAGGGTTGGGGTGAAAACTCCTGGCAACCACTGAAAGAGGTGAATAAATACCAGGATCAGAGTGAAGCTGCGTCCTGATGTCCAGTCAGGCTCAAGAGGGAGAGGACAGCACGTGAGGGGGCACACCTGGGATAGCCAGCACCTCTTCCTTGTCCCTCCTTCCCCTAAAGGTGCCACACAAACTCACCTGGAATGCGGTTGGTGCCACACACATGCATCAGGAACAGGACGCCTAGTCCCCAGGCCAGCCCCATGGTGGAGCTGTTGGTGCCCAGCAGGGATCCTGTAGCAGGAAGCACAAGAGCCGAGGGTCAGAGATCAGCTAGGCAGGGAGGGACGGTGCGCAGAAACGGGGCTGGGCATGGGGACAGGGCCGGGACCATCCCTCTTTGACCCCGCGTTTGCTGAAATGAAGGACAACAGGATTACTTTCCAGAGAGCATGAGAGAGAGAGAGAGAGAGAGAGAGAGAGGTGGAGGAAAGAGATGCTGGTTTTAAAGTGTGGGGGGCGCAAGACCAACAATTTGGGGGCTTTTGGGAAGTCGAAGGTGAGCAAGATCAGGAACTGTAGTTTGGGGTTGCAGGGAGGGCAGGGGAAGTACAGACTCTTCCCTGGAGTGCTGATACAAAGGCTTAAGGAGGACTTCAGAGAGTAAGGAAATCTTGGGGTGTCCTGATGAGTTGGTTTGTGAACCTCAAGGCTGGAGAGGATGGCTCTGGAGCCTTGCCCTGAAGAGTCCTCCAGCGGCTGAGAGGAGCGGGCTGGGGTAGGCGAGCGGGGAGAGTGTAGGTTCCGGGGTCCACCAGAGGGACTGAAGCCTCAGCGCTCCAGGTGGATGTCCCGGGCAGCTTTGGTCCTCGGCGGCCGCCGGGGGCGACTTACCTGTGTGTACCGGAGCGCGGCGGCCGGGAGCGGTGGCGAGGGCGGCGAGGGCTGGAGGGGCGCGGGGAATGCCTGTGCGTCCGGAGTAGAGGTTGCTCCTGGAGAGCGACAGGAGCCCTGAACTCGCAGGCCAGCTCGGGCGCAGCGGCTGGCAAGGCGGAGGAGCCGCGCGCTTTTAAAGGGGCGCTCGCATTCCTGGGGATTCCTCCGGCCAATGGGCGGCGGCCGGGCAGGAAGCGGGAGGTGGGGGCCAGTCTGGGCTCCTCTCTCCGCCCCCCGCTGCCTGGCGCGCAACTTTCCAGCTAGAAAGTGAAGGGGGCGGGGGTCGGGGCTTGGGAGCACTAGAACTTCTCAGAAAAGTCGGTGCCCGCCCACGCAGCCTTGGCGCGCACGGGCTCGGCGCTCGTACTCTTGCGCCACGCGGGCTCGGGGTGATCAGCAAGCATCCCGAAAAGGGACGGGGCTGGGGAGACCACCTAGGAGGGCCCGCGGGGTGGCGCAGGGGCTTTCGGGCGAGCTGATCTCCCGGAATGCCTGGTTGATGGCGAGAGGTGGATACTAGAGACTGGGCCCGTTTTGTAAAAAGAAAAATGGGCCGACGGGGCGCAGGGGACACCAAGAGAGCCATTCGTTAAAGTACCTGCCCCTCGGGCCCTCGCTGACTCTCCTCCACCGTCCCCGTGGGGTGAGGACACGCGTCCCCCGAGCGCCTGTCCTGAGCTGGCCCCACGCCCGCCCCGGAGGGAGGTGAGCGCGGCGTCGGCGGGGCCGGCAGGTTGGTGCGCCGCGTTCGCCTTCGCTGCCTTCGGGCCCTTTCCTGCCGCGGCTGCCAGGGGGCCCACAGAGACGCCTCTCCCGCTGCCGCGGCGCTCCCTCGGCCGGCCGCTTGGGGGCGGTGTGCGTATTCTCATCAAGGGGCCCGGGGAGGACAGCTGCTTTCTACTCGAATTTTAAGGAAACTTACTCGTATCCAGTTTCCACAAGCCAAATTGAAATTGTGTCTTGAAAAACAGTTTTTGTGCCCACTCGTGCTTCTTAACGTGACTCCTGTTTGGAGAATTTGCAGAACCATCTGGCTCCAGAGTCTTCAGCTATTTACAGAGCAGACCCATAGAGTAATAAATTACTCTCTGCCTATTATTGTATTTCCCTTTTTCCTCCCTAAACGTTCTTTTCATTTTTCGGCTCCTGAACCCGAGGTGTGGGTTACATTTCTGTGGGTGCACACATTGCCATGAGTGCCGCTGCCTAGTGCTTCTGTCATTGAAGTCTGGTCTCCAAGCCACTGTCCCAAGCCAGCATGACTCTAGCTTCCTGGAATTCCATTCATCTCTTCGGGATGGGACGTCAGCCGCCTCGCTCCCTCTGCTGTGATCCAGCGCTATCGGGCTCGCTCCGAGGCCAGGGCATAGGTAGAAGCTTGACCAAATAAGGATCTCAGCACGGGCAGGGGGAAACCCCTGGGGTTCACCTCCCATCTTAGCACTTAAACCTGGCAGGACTCCCGACTGCTGCAAACAGCCAAGTGTTTACATTCATCAAACAGCAGTTTCGCTTTTCTTGCGTGGGAGTGTTGTATGACAAGATGGTGTGTGTGTGTGTGTGTGTGTGTGTGTATTACGGAAAGAGTGTTTTCTAGTTACTCAATATGTATATAAAATGCCTCTAAAAGATGACCGGTATGTTCCTAAGGCACATGTTTGTTGGATTTCAGATGTTGGGAGGCAGAAAGAAAAGTTTCTACTGGTTGATGAATAAAATCAGATTCTTGTCCCGCAAATCATAGGTAATGATTCATCCAAGCAGATCTGAAGATTCTGGAATCGGCACCCATCCATCTCCCTCCCCTTCCTTCTCCTTCTACAGCATTCATCTTGCTCTTCGAAAAGTAATTGGGTTTTTTTTTTCTTCTTTCCACTTGCTCCATGATACTGGACAGTCAGAAATAGTTCTTGGAGGGATGGGCCGCTCATGGCTCTGGGCTCCTCTGGCCCACTGGATCATTGTGTACAAATCAGATGGGGGCTTGAGGGCTGCAAGAGGCCCACAAAAGCAGAATGCATCTTGTATGAAAAGATTATCTCCCCTAGGCTTAGCTGTGCAGACAGAGTAGAAACCAGCACTCACTGCCCCTTCAGGATTCATGCTGCCATGGCTGAGGGATTGTAGGAATGCCTCTGCAGATTTCTTGGAACTTGGCTTCTTTCAACAAAACAAGGACAACAGTTTCCAAACTTCATCATGCTTTACCAATAAGAAGGTGACCTATACGGTGGCAGGAAAGAGCTTTCTTATTAGAGAAAGCTGACAGGTATAGGAGCTGCTTATCTCAAACACAAAGCCCTTCCTCTTATCATGATACTTCAGTTGTTCTGGGTGGAAAGGAAAGGTCATAGAAGAGGGAGTGTCTGCGCCCCTTAACAGGAATTCACCCACATTCTTGCCAGCCAACATGTGCTGCAAATATTCCCCAAACCTCATATACCTCTGTGCAGCTTTGAGAGAAGCAGGGATGGGAAAAGGGAAAAGAAAACCTATCCCCTTTAATGTGAGGGCAATAGTCCATTTTGAGTGTGTCTCTACAACCTGGAAGCACTGTGATTTTAAGGCAATCAATTAACATGGGCCGAAGTGATGGACCTTTCAGGGAGCTGGTCCAGTTCTCTTTTTTGCCAAGTTGTCATCCTTGAGGATTAGTTACTGAAAATTGTAAGGCATATGGCATTTCACCGTAGGATTTCCTTTTTCTAAGTTTCTCTAATTGGAGGTGGGATTGACCTAAATACATTGGCAGTAAGTGTGAGGAAAGGGCTGTCAGTTACAGCTAGTTTTAAAATTGCGTGTAATTAAGGAGAGCAACATAATTGAGAAAAAATATTTTGTTTATTTAGCATAGAACAGCAAGGTGGGCTGTGATTTTGTGTAGGAATTTTTTAAGTGTTGCAAATTTTCAGTAGTGGAACATTTCTTACAAGTGTGAAGCAATGAAAAATCATTGTATTCTAGAATAGTCTAAAATCATAGCATCTTCAAATTGAAGACATCATAAATTCATTTCTCTCTGAATATGTTCCCTAGATCATAATTCTAAGTTGCTTTACTTTAACTGCATCAGAGGTCAGAGCCAGGAGGAAGTTACCAACAGATTTTTCTTGTCCTTCAATCAAACACCAATTCAAGCTCTCCCTTCTCCATGAGGTGTTTTCCATCTGTTTTATGCTGTGTGTTTTAAAGCACACATTATCTCTATCATAAAACTTATCACCTAACACTCTTTATTATTTAGTTTTTAAAAATTAGCTTTTATTTTTTCACATGTAAAGACCAGAATTTTTTTTTGGTGGGGGGTGGGATGGAGTCTTGCTCTGTCTCCCAGGCTGGAGTGCAGTGGTACAATCTCAGCTCACTGCAACTTTTGCCTCCCAGATTCAAGCGATTTTCCTGCCTCAGCCTCCTGAGTAGCTGGGATTCCAGGCGTGTGCCACTACATCCAACTAATTTTTGTATTTTTTAGTAGAGTTGGGGTTTCGCCATGTTGGCCAGGCTGGTCTCAAACTCATCACCTCAGGTGATCCACCCTCCTTGGCTTCCCAAATTGCTGAGATTACAGGCGTGAGCCACTGTGCCCAGGCAAGGACCAGACTTGAAGTGCCCAAAGCCCTGGGCTTGGGAAGAGAGAGTTCTTATGTTTAAATTTCCAAATCTCTTTGTGTACAAGTCAATTATGGCACAGAAGGACGGGACTACTCACCATTTTCCTACCAGCTCTACCATTTTACTCAGTTATCCCTTAGCTCTTGGTGGGTAAATGTGGTGAGTGACTCACAAACATTGTACTCCTCTTCAAAGAACTGAAGCAATACTTTTATGGAATTGATCTCAGTGGGCAGGGGTAGGCATATTGGTTAAGGGTAAACACCTCCTCCCCTTTTTCCCACTTCCCTGCCAGTGACTGATTTAGGAATTGGCATGTGATTCAAATCTGACGAGGTTTGCTGAAGGCTTCCGGGAAAAGTCCTTTGTTGCTTTTAAGGAAGAGCCATGTGAAATCAGGCTTTCTCCATCTCTTTTGGATACCAACAAGAATGCCGATAAGTGCTGTTTGGTGCTATTGGCCACTGGGGAGCCAAGTTTAGTGTGAAACCAGTGTTGGAGGAGGAAGAACAAAAGCATAGAAAGAACTCGTATGTCAGGTCACATTTTTGAGCTGCTAAATCTCTCAACTCTTAAGGGAATCCTACTTCTAGATTTCTTTGGTTATGTGCTTATTATTTAAGCCAAGTTGTTGTTTTCTATTTCTTAGAACCGTAGACATCATAACGGCCCCTTTCCCTGTGTTTGGATGGCCTTTTCACTCATGCTTTGATTAAACCTCTTCTTATTCCTTTAGAATAAGAGAAGTAAGGATAGGTCATAGGATAAACACATTGTAAAGGCTCTTCACCTATATTACTAAGATGCTTTCCAGAAAATTTGCACCATTTACTGTCCTGCCCATGGCATGAGGCAGCCCTTCCCCCTATCTCTTTGCCTGCAGCCACCCTAGTTCCACACACTCTTAACTGCAGGCTGGTAAGGGTGAGCGTTATTTCCGATTTTATTGTGTCTTTGTATCCCTCTTTTGGGTAACTTTGAGATGTAGTCCAGCAGGTTCATAAAGAAAAGAATAACCAGGATGGATGGATTCCAGTGAAGGGGCAGGGGCATTGACCTGCTAGGAAACCAAGGGTATGGAGGAAAGAAGATGGGAAAAGGAGATGGTGAGGTCTCACACTGGGCCGAAAGATGGAAATGGGGAAGATTAGCAAGGTAGGAAGGTGAGGACATGGAGAACAGGCTCTTAACATGTAATAATGATAAATCCCCAAAAGCCGTCTTTGGCAAAAGTCTTTTTCATACTCTGGACGATAGGTGCAGGCTACTGCAGTGTTGCTGATGGGGAGGACTGTATTTGGGAGCAGCCTCTCTGGCTCCACCAATGTTTATCCTTTATCATCTTAGTAAAAAATGCCACCTTATGGGGCATCCTAAATATGGTCTGGTTTGGGTTTCAGCGTGGAAGCTTTTTCAAGTGTTTGCCATTTTGCAGGAAGGCCACGCACCCAAAGGCAGCCTTACAGATCGGGGTGGTGGGGGGACTGGAAAGTCACCTGTGATTTAATTTGATGAGTCCAAACCATACCTCTTGCCTCTCAGTTTCTTCTCTCTCTACCCATGCTTGAAATTCCTCCAGAAATGAAATCACAGAATTTTTAAGCCAGAAAGAGCCATCTAGTTCAACCACTCAGTTAATAGATGAAGTCGGTTCAAAGAGGTGAAGCAACTTGAAACAGGTCCTGGAGACTGTTGGTGGTGGAAGTCCAGAAGACAGCACAGGTGCGCCGGCTGCCAGCCCACAGTCCTTCCCTTCATATGGTTCTGATCCTTAAGACTCATTTCATATGGTCTCAATGATGTTTCAGGATTAAAATCAGCAGAAATGTTTACTAGTTTCCCAATTAAGAGCAGGGTATGTGTTTCAGATAGGGAGACAGAGAAAGGTGGGGGGCTCAAGAGTGAGGTAAGGAGGAGGAAGGAGAGACAGAGGCAGCAGAGACTGGACATAGCCTATCAACCAAGGCCAACCCATGTTATCCCACACCCTTTCTCCTCGTCACGTGCAGCCCCAATCCCCCTAGTTCCCCAACTCTCTTTTGAACCCACTCAAACACTTGCTGTTGCTCCTGGGGGTGGTGCTGTGTTGGCTTACTGTTGGGATTGTCAGTTGCCATAGAATTACACTGTTCCTTCATATTTACTCAGCCTAGGACATGATGGAGCATCTCTTTTAATTCTCAAACAGGTTTTACAGAACTGGAAGCAATCTGGCCTCTCAGGTTTCATCAACTCATCTGGCTGGCACCAACCAGAGTGAGGTGTTTAATTGTTCGACCCACAACGGAGGGGCCCACAGAGCACGTTGTTATGTACAGGGTCCACACAGGTCATTAAAGGACTGAAAAAGGTATAGACATGTTAGTTTGCAGAAGAAGAGAATGTGGGCTGGGCGCAGTGGCTCACACCTGTAATCCCAGCACTTTGGAAGGCCAAGGCAGGTGGATCACTTGAAGTCAGGAGTTTGAGACTAGGCTGGCCAACATGGTGAAACCCTGTCTCTGCTAAAAATACAAAAACTAGCCAGGCATGGTGGCGGGTGCCTGTAATCCCAGCTACTCATGAGGCTGAGTATGAGAATCGCTTGAACCCGGAAGGCGGAGGCTGCAGAGAGCTGAGCTCACGCCATTGCACTCTGGCCCGGGCTACAGGATGGGACTCCATTTCCAAAAAAAAAAAAAAAAAAAAAAAAGAAGAGAGAATGTTCCTTAATTCTTTTCCTGTTTTTTTTTTTTTTTTTTTTTTTGAGATTATAAAGGTTTTGATCTTGTTATTTTCACAAAGGATGTAGAGCAGTAGCAGTATCTTTGGAAATAATGAAGGATTTCCTAAAAGCGAGGATTGTAACACATTGGAATGTTACTGAGATAGGTTGTGAAATATTTCCTGGGTGTCTTCACCAATAATATGGACTAGGCAGTTCATCTGGAATCCTGGGCTAGGTGTGGTCTCACCCAGTAACTTGGAGATTCATTGAGAGACTTCCAGAAGTTTCTGACAATAAATAAGAAAGTCTATGAGTCTGCAAATCTGTGAAATAATGGAGTTTCCAGGACTTCCATGACAGAGTCTACTTCTGATTCTAATTAAAGGCATTCCTCCTAAAGAATTTAATTTTTCTGAGGTTCAACTGGTACTTCAAGCCACCCATTTGCGAATTATAATTTTTCAACTTTTCTGAACAGTCTTAACATGTGCAGTACAGATTAGGTGATATTTTCAAGTTTTCTGCTATTCTTTTTTCCTTGGAAGAAAATTATGAGTGTCAGTCAGTTAAAAGACAAGCAAACATAAAGAAAATCAACTCTTGCTGGAAAGTGTTGGAATTGTACAAAAGATTTTGAAGATTGAACATGACATGGAGCTTGGCATGGGATTGTGGTCTGGGTGAAAGGCTCACATGCCACTGGAAAACATGGACAGCAACCAAATGGCTGGCCCGCTGGGCATTCGCTTGAAGTGATAGCCATCTCTTGGGAGGTTGCTTTTTTCCCTTTTTCCTTTTTTTAAGAGGTGAGATCATGACAACTTGCATTTTGCAGAACTGAGCCAAAAGAAATTGTCACTCTTTCTAATTTAAGAGGATGAGTGTATAGTCTGAAAAAAAGCTTTTAATTTTATTATGACAGCAAAGATAAACACTGCTGCTTCCTAGGGAAGAGGAGTTCACGAGTAAACTTTCTCTTTTTTCTTTTATCTCTCTCTATCAGCTTACGTTTTCTTCTTTGCTCTTTTCCCTCCCCTTCCCTTTTTCTCTTTCACTTGATCTCTTTCTCTTCTTTCTCTTCTTCCTCTGTGTCTCTTCCTCCCCCTTCTTATTCCCCTCCTCCTACCCCTCTTCTTTCTGTCTTCCTTCTTCTTTTTTACATTCTTCTTCTCCATGTTCTCCTTCTTCCTCCTCCTTTTCATCATCATCCTTTCTCTTACCTTTCTCCTTCCTCTTTTTCTTTCTCTTCTCCTTCCCTCTCTCCTTTTCCTTAGGGTGGTAGTGAGGATGAAAGCAGTAATCCGTGTGAAGCACTTAGCTCATGGTTATTCAATGAGCTAGTGTCCACTTGCTTGAGTTCAAAGTCCTGTCTTTGCTCAGAACTCTAATCCCTCCCTCCATCCCTCTTTGTCCCAAGACTTGAAGGCAGAGGGCATCTGTGTGATTTACTCTTCCTGTTTCCTTTGCCAGTTTGTCCATCCTGCCCTAAGGCATGGCGCTCAGTGCCTTGAGCCTCATTGCCTTGCTGGACCCAGAAGCTTGGGGACTGGAATCCATGGGAAGATGTGTGGGAGGAAGGCAGAGGTGGGATTACCAAGAAGCTGTAGAGGCTTAGGTGTCAGGGTCCCTCACATGCCTGGGTTCCTTCCCAGGCCCTAGAGAGGCCCTAGTGATGCGTTCATGTGGTCATGTTTGGCAACATTTGCACAAGTAAGACATGTTAGCTACAACTGCTTACATCCTCTGACTTTTCCATTTTAACTTGCCTCAGTCACACTTCTCTGTTAGAGAGTTAGAGTGACTACAGGCAATTTTTGGATCTGGCTCAGGGGACAGGTTGTGAAGATATATCTGTGTGGTTTGCAGTCACTGTGTGAGGTAACGGCTAGCCCTCCTTGTGTTGGAATGGCTTCCATTCATCTTCCTATCGCCCACCTGCTGTCCTGACCTGAAGATGTAGTGCTAGAGGTCTTATCATGATGGTCATGTCAACCTACAGTGGCTTCCCCTGGATGCATGTGGGTCATACAGGAGAGACAAGGTTTGAAATATACATGGCATAGTCAGAAGGCAGTCCGTGGACCAGTGCTACACAAAGAACTATCTAATACATTTATTTTGAGATTTTTTTCCCTTAGATTTTGTGATATTTGTTACTTTGTGTTTTAGTTTGATGAAACTTCTCTTTTTAAATAAATATTTATTTCTACCTAATTTTAAAACAATTTTTTTTGAGATGGAGTCTCGCTTTGTCTCCCAGGCTGGAGTGCAGTGGTGCAATCTCAGCTCACTATAACCTCCGCCTCCCGGGTTCAAGGAATTCTCCTGCCTGAGTAGCTGGGATTACAGGTGTGTGCCACCATACTTGGCTAATTTTTTGTATTTTTAGTAGAGACAGGGTTTCACCATGTTGGTCAGGCTGATCTAGAACTTCCGACCTTATGATCCGCCTGCCTCGGCCTCCCAAAGTGCTGGGATTACAGGCGTGAGCCACCGCACCCAGTAGAATTAATAATTTAATATTATTTTTTGAAAATAAGAAACCCTAAATTGTATACGTTTCAGTCCCATCCGATGTGAATCCTCCCCTGGAAGTAGGGGAAAAGAGAGAGAATGAGGAGGCAGAGAGCTTGGGAGTACTGGGGAGCACCACCCGGGGCCATAGTAGAGGCAGGAGTGTGAAGAGGCAGGCGAAACAGGGTGCGCAGGATTTTAATCTTTTGCTGCCTGTGCTTACGTGTGTGTGGTTGGCATTAATGGTGTGGGGAACACAGTAGACCAGACACTTGTACACATATTAGAGAATAAATTAAGCCAGAGGTGGAAAAGGAACATAACTTAGTGGTGCTAATTATTAAAATAACATACATGAATTGCTTACATCTGATACCTTGCTTTATGTGGCAGAATAATTATGTACACTAATTAATTTTTCAGACAAACCTAAGTTTTATTTAACTGCAATCTCAGATGTTCTCTAAGTGTAATAATCTTGCAAAGTTAGGAGTATGCATTCCAACAACTAAGCTTTAACGAGTTCAAGGTTTCAGTAGCTCAAATTATGTGCCTTCAGTGTGTGTGTGTGTGAGAACATTCTATTCTGAAATGCTCCTCACTGTTAAGAATAAATGGACCCTCCACCTTTAAGTGAGTAGAGTTGGGAGTTAACTTTAGGCAAACTACCTCTCTTTTAGCAGTTTGGAAAACGTATGGTGTTACATATACCCTGTGGGATAGGTCATTATTTCTCTTCTAGTATAAGTCAGTCTTTGTCTGTTTAAATATGTGAAATTTCCTTTATGTATTATTATTATTTAAATGTACACCATGGGTATTTTTCTTTTATGCTTTCCCTTAAATTCGTATGCTGAAAATTGTATAAACTATGTATTACAGTCCTTCAGAAATCATTTATGAAGGGTTTACAATGTGCCAGAGACACCCCAAGTGTCCACCAGCCTCATGAGGGATGCTGATAATGAGGCTGGGCCATGAGGGGTAATGCAGATGTGTGGAAATGCTAAGGAAGATCTATGGTCTAGCTGGCATGGTTGTGTGTGTGGGGTTGAGGGCAGAGAGGTCACAAAAGGTTTCCTTGAAAAGGTAGTGTCTGAGCTGAGTCTTGAAAGACTCCATTCAGAAAGGCTTAGACCTTTGGATACAGAAGAAAGACCATTTAATAGTGTTCACATTCACAACCACCATTTTTGTTTCCACTAAGCCCTCTTATGATCTGGGCAAGAGGATCTGACCAGTCACAAGGGCCCCAGAGAAGAACATCGGTGTTTTAATTCTCCCAAGTATATTTTGGAAGGATGGCTCTTTCAGCCCCTTCTTGCCTTCTCTTGCCTTCTGTGTTAAGATAATAGTGCAGAGCCAGGAATGCAATCCACCAAAGCCAGTAATTAACTTTCTCTTTGGATGGGGAGAGTGAATTCTAATTTCCTGGCTGATGAAATTTTCTGTGGGTTGTTCTGCCTGGTGTCTTCTTTGTTGGCCATTTTGCCAAATAGATGCCAATTTCCTCAGCTTTAATTAGTCCAGATGTCAGAAGCTCAAATCATAGTATCTTCAATGTGTGTGTTTGTCAACATCCTGCTTTTAAATGCTCCGGGCTTCTTCCTGTATATTTCTTTTAGCACAGTGCCTTGAACCTGATAGATACACAGTCTGTTGTGAATGAAGGAGTATAGGAATGAATGAATTAATATCCATGATGAGCTTTATTTACATGAGTGAACCTCAAAGCCTGAGGATCATATAAGAAATAGTTAAATGATTTTCTTTTTTTTCTTGATCTACTTAATTACGCTAAACTTCCTCTCCTCCACCCCCCAAAAAAACTCCACTCAAAAACACTTTAAATTCCAAAGAAAGGGAGCTTAAGAAATAGTTCTTAATCTATTTTTAAGCTCACAGGGGTTTTAAGACTAATTCTCTGTGAAAATGCGTCTAATTGAGAAAACATGCTTGGTTGAGGGATGAGAACAGCATGCATTTTCTTTGAACAGTTTAGGTTTTAACACACAAAAAAAACTCAAAGGAAAACAACAATAACAACAACAAACCTACAACCATAGATATGACTGGGTGGCAAACACAGAAAAGTGAATTACCCTGGATGACACCCACAACCAAACAGCAGCGCCTCTCTCCTGTCTAGCCTGGTCTGGTTAGGCTGGGAGATCTTGTTTTCCTCTCCATACCCCTACCAGAGAGGCCTCCCTAGCAACCTAAAAAGATGCCGACCTAAAGCCTAGCTGAACTGTAGTCTGAAACAGAGAAAAACATGCTGAACTGACCCTGTAGTGACTCACTGCCGAGTCTGGGGGATAGGTCACTCTGCAAGCCCACCTGGGCTCCAGCGTGTCTTTAATGAAGACCTGGCTGTGCAGCTTTTTCCTGATGTTGTCTCCGCCACCTTGGGATATGGGTTTAAACAGAAATGGAAAATTGTTCTCTCCAGGCTGAGGATTGTTACAGGGGTTATTTTAAAACATCCTTTTGGGGGTAGGGATAAAAATGGATGTGGCCTGGAGCAATCTTTTCTCTCTAGGACTATTTCTTCATCTGTGTTAGATGATTGCTACAGTCCCTTCTAGTTCCAACATGATATGACTCTCTAATTCTCCCTGCTATAGGTATAGAGATGTCTAAATTAGGCAGGTCAGCTGGTCAACCTGTGATTCCCTGGTTTTATGAGAGAGGAGATCACTATACCATAACATATCTTGCATATGCTTTCTGAAAATCTAAGGATTGGTAACTGTATCAGGTGTCTTGGCTGCAAAGATGAATTCTGGCTAGTTTAAGCAGAAAAGGGATTTATTACAAGAATTATCTGTGAGGTAACACAGAATCTCCAAAAGACAGAGAACCAGTTGAAATAATGACATTTGGCCAAACCCCATCCAACGCTGATCCTATGAGGACACTACTCAGTTTATAGGTATAAACGGAGCATTTGTTGAAGTCTCCTGAGTGTTGCTACGTAAGCAACCCTCCAGTGTACATTCTCTATTAAGGTAATTGGCTGCCCTTAGCATTGAAGCTGGCATACAGATGATATCACATTGTCTATGCTGAAATATGCAAAGAAATACAGATACTGCAAAAAAGAGCCCAATTATATGAGTCCTTTCCTCCCAGGATAAAAGCCAAAAACATACTTCACCAGCCTCCCTTGCTATTAGGCTCAGTCAATCAGATGCCCTTGCACCTGACTGATTATGGAGCTAGTGATGTAAGGAAGTGAGTGAGACAATAGCAAAGACATGGAACCAATCTAGGTGCCCATCAATGGTGGATTGGATAAAGAAAATGTGGTACACATATACCATAGAATACTATGCAACCATGAAAAGGAACAAAATCATGTCCTTTGCAGCAACATGAATGCAGCTGGAGGCTGATATTCTGAGTGAATTAATGCAGGAACAGAAAACCATATACCACATATTCTCACTTATAAGTGGGGGCTAAATATTTGGTACACATGGACATAGAGATGGCAACAATAGGCACTGGGTACTACTAGCGGGGGAAGAGAAGGAGGGGAGTAAGGGACTGAAAAACGACCTATTGGGTACTATGCTCCCTATCTCAGTGATGGATTCATTCATACCTCAAACCTCAGCGTCACACAATATACCCAGGTAACAAACCTGCACGTGAACCCCCACATCTAAAAGAAAAGTTGAAATTATATTAAAAAAGAAGAGAAGTGTATGAGACTTTGCTAATTAGCATAGTGAATATCCGAAAGGAGTTTTCACTGTGGAAACTAGTGACATTAATTAGCAAAATGAACATTAGATATGGGATATCATTATAATAAAAAAAACAATATTTAGGATACTGGTATGGGCTGAATTGTGTCCCTGCTACCAATTCATATGTTTAAGCCCTAAGCGCCAGTACCTCAGAATGTGACTATATTTAAAGATAGGATTTTTGAAGAGGTGATTACATTAAAATGAGGCCATTATTGTGGCCCTAATCCAATCTGACTGAAGTCCTTATAAGATGAGGGGATTTGGACACTCAGGGACACCAGGGATGTGCATGTACAGAGAAAAGGCCATGTGAGGACTCAGTGAGAAGATGACCATCTGCAAAACAAGGGGAGAGACCTCAGGAGAAACCAAGCCTGCCAACACCTGGATCTTAGCATTCCAGCCTCCAGCACTCTGGGAAAATAAATTTCTATTGTTACCAGCCTGTGGTCCCTCACAAACTAATACTGCTACCTCGATTGGCTAAAATATTAGAGCCCTTCCTGTTTTTAATGAAGAGGGTATAAGGCTCCAGCAAAGACTGCAGCCTTTTTCTTAGGGATAGTGCCTGAGACTTGATCGCTAACTGGCCCAGTGTCCACCCACTTAGTTGGAGAATTCCAAGTTGCCCGGCATGGCCTAGGAACCTTCCAGAATCCTGCCTCGGGCATGTTGCCATGTCTGCCTTGAGAAAATGTTTCAGTCAAGGTGGTGCTGAGAGCCCCTAAAAGGACAGAAAATGGGACTTCTTTGAGCTAACCAAACGTGTTGTATGAATTGTTAATAAGCAATTGTAAAGTAAATGTCTGTATATGGAGCAAAAAATTGGTTTAAGACTTGGTTTCCGTATTTGGTAGTGTGATAACGGGCATGCCTCGCCTCATGTGTGGCCACACTGGTTTGGGTCAGTTCATGGCGGGTGTTCACCAGTGCTGAGCAGCCATTACAATGACAAGTCTCTATCTTAGTGACCAAATGGGGACATGAACTCCATGACAAATCTCAGGCCTTAGTTTTCTGTGACCCAAATAATGGCCTCTATGTCAACTTTTAAATGAGGTTGTCCTTTCAATTAAGCCCTTATTTATGTTTTTCTTTCCTTTGGAATTGAGATTCTCAAAATATGTGCCACAAAACATTCTCAAAAATAGCTTTCTGTGATTAAATAAGTTTGGGAAACAGTTAAATGCCCTCTCTCCTTTCTTGGAGATACAGAACCTATTAGCATCACATTAAAGATCTGGAGAAGTCGGCCGGGCGCGGTAGCTCATGCCTGTAATCCTAGCACTTTGGGAGGCTGAGGCAGGTGGATCACCTGAGGAGTTTGAGAACAGCTTGGCCAACATGGTGAAACCCCATCTCTACTAAAAATACAAAAATTAGCCAGGCATGATGGTGCGGACCTGTAATCTCAACTACTACTTGAGAGGCTGAGGCAGGAGAATCACTTGAACCTGGGAGGTGGAGGTTGCAGTGAGCTGAGATTGCACCACTGCACTCCAGCCTGGGTAACAGAGCAAGACTCCATCTCAAACAAAACAAAACAAAACAAAACAAAAAAGCATCAACAACAAAAAGATCTAGAGAAGTCTATAGTAAAGAAACCTGTTCAAATTTACTTAACCTAGCATTACTCACGTGACCACAGATCATTTTTCCCCTTTTGGAGTACGCTGTTAAGTGGGGGGCTGGGAATGGGTGGAAATGGTTAATGGGTACACAAAATAGAAAGAATGAATAAGACAACGGGTGAATATAGTCAATAACTTAACTGTACATTTTAAAATAATGTATGGAGTGTAACTGAATTGTTTGCACTCAACGGATAAACGCTTGAGGGGACGGATAACCCAGTTGCCATGGTATGCTTATTTTACATTGCATGCCTGTTTCAAAACATCTCATGTACTCCATAAATATATACACCTACTATGTGCCTACAATAATTTTTTAAAAGAAATAAAATTTGCAAAAAAAAGAGAGAATACCTGTTAATATCCCAAGGAACTGTTGTTCTGCGGGACACTCTTATTTATTTATTTATTTATTTTTTGAGACGGAGTCTCACTCTGTCACCCAGGCTGGAGTGCAGTGGCGCGATCTCAGCTCACTGCAACCTCCTGGGTTCACTCCATTCTCCTGCCTTAGCCTCCCTAGTAGCTGGGACTACAGGCGCCCGCCACCACACCCTGCTAATTTTTTGTATTTTTTAGTAGAGACGGGGTTTCACCATGTTAGCCAGGATGGTCTCGATCTCCTGACCTCGTGATCCGGCTGCCTTGGCCTCCCAAAGTGCTGGGATTACAGGCGTAAGCCACCGCACCCGGCCTCTGCGGGACACTCTTATCTAAAATGTGGTTCTAGAAGGGTATTTGTGCCTGTGATTAGATTTGCCCCTTTTCTTTTTCACACAATGTCTTTCACTATTCAAACATGCAGTCAAGTTGAGCTCAGCAAGACATAGTTTTAAATCTATGTGAAATAAGTAATTGATGAAATGACTCATATGCCATCTCCTTTGATTCAGTGGTTTTTCTTTGAGTGGCCAAGAGCTTGCTTGGGAGTCACACAATGTGCGATGTATCAGAACCCGGGAAGACATCCCTGCAGGCATGCTGGAAAGGTTGGTCTCAGGCTGGTTAATGACTTCAAATGGCAATCCCAGGCTCTACATGCAGTAATCCTACTCCTAGTTGTTTAAATTCAAACACTTATTCTCTTAAATACTCATTATTTTCTAAAATTCAAATGAAATAAAGTAAAAGTATATAAAATTAAAATGGCACAAGCCAGAAATTTCTGGATGCAGATAAGACAAGAAAAACAATGAGCGAAACCCTCTTCATTGTTCCAAAGGCAGGGGCACACATTTGGAATTGTCCTTGAAGATGGGCACCCGTTCAGTATTGGGAAAATCCTGGGCTGGCAAAGGGTAGTTGCATTTGAAGTGAGAAATGTGTTCCAAAGAAAAGACAAAGAATAGCCATTTCTAGACAATGCTGTAGCTAAGGCTTATATAAACCATGAGGGGTAGGGTGGCATTTAAGGATGTTTCCATGCCAGATTTCTCCTCAGGAGTGTGTGCCTTACTTTGATACACCGAAGCATTAGCAAAACCCCAAGCAAACAGCTGTCTTCAGAGTCCTAATTGTGGGTCTCCCATGATAGGACAGTATGAAAAACAGCAAGAGAAAAAACATCCTTCTCTAGGATCATGTTTTAAATATGTATAGATACATGTGTCTGTGTGTATAATTGTATGTTTAATTTGTAGATCATGACTACAATGTGTTTTATTCTCCTCTTGGGAACACGCATCAACCTACTTCTCTCTCATATACATAAATGCCATCAGGGCAACTACTCAAGCAGAATCCTAGCAGCCACCCCGATTGCTGCTGCTTCTCCACCTGCTACACTCAGTCTATCAGCAGCTGCTGTTGCCTGCAAAGTGACCCCAGATCCACTCATTTCTATTTCCATTGTTATGACCTAGCCCAAGATACCAACACCTCATGTAGATCACTGCAGTTCCTGTTAATTTGTCATTCTGTAATGGCAGAACCAATTCAACGTTGTCAGTAACAAAATGATGAGTTTTTCAGTGCAAGGGACCCCCAGGTTGCTGGTCACATTACCTGAGCATGCCCAAATGAACTAAGGGTACCTGATTCAGGACCCTGGAGCCAGCTGGAATAAAAAAGTCAATGATGTGTGGAACCCAAGTGCTTGGATCAAGGAGCAAGGGCCAAATTAAGAAGCAAGGGGTGCCCTGTTTTGCTGCCGTATGGACTTAACCAAAGACCTGGCGTGACTTCTTTGCATGATCCAATCAGATCATGCCTTGTTTCATTTTCCTGTCCCTTGCATTGTTGCTGTTTGCCTGGAAAACCTGCTCTCAAACCCTTGTTCAGGAAGACAGATTTGAGTGTTGGCTCCTGTCTCCTTGGCAGTTGACTTGCAATAAAGCCCTTTCTTTTCTCAAAAGCTGGTGCCATAGTACTGACTTCTGTGTACCTTAGGCAGTGAGGCCATTGTTTGGCAACATTCCTGCTGATGATTTTGGGTAAAACAGTTACTCTCTTGATTCAATTTGCTTCTGGTAAAATAGGGGTAATAATAGTTTCTACTTCCTAGGATAGCAGTGAGGTTTAAATGAGAAAAGGATATCCAATATTTAGCAGAATGCCAGGGCTATGGTGAGTTCTCAACAAATATTAATATTTTTTACCACTACTGCAATATATCCTCAATTCCAAGGAGTATTTCCATTGGAGATTTTAATGTCAATAGTGAAATCTCTTGAGCATGTGCTATAAAATACCTTATTTTTCTGTGTAGCTAATACGATATTAAATGCCATGATTGTATGTTTACAGACTGTTAGTTCACTGACATATTTTGGGGATTCATGCGAGAATTTCTATAACTGAAGTTTAGGGATGACAAATGCTAAATATACATAAAGTATCACTCCTAAAATGTTATCGTCTTTCACTGGGGAGTAGTAACTAACTCATATATTGACTTTTGCACAGGCAGAAGCCAGGTTGAGGATTAGAGGAGTTTATATAAAAAGATTAAGACAAACTGGAGAACTGAGAATTAAGAGCATCTTCCAAATGCTACTCACTATGCCTCTATGCATCTTTATTATAAATTTAGGATTCTGAGGCTAATGAGATTCCAAGATCCCAATTCAGAAGTCTCACGATAGGACTGAATTCACAAAGCAGCATCTACTTATTGGAAGAGTCTATTAGTTCTATAAGGGACTATTATAACATTATCTTGACAAATTCCAGGGTTAGGAAATTGCAAATTACATGCTTATCAGTTAAACTCTGAATCTTGTAAGGCTGCCCACGTTTTGAAGATCTGATAATCAGATTGTTGTTCTCCTACAGTCCAGATACGTTCTGAGAGTTGTGTCCTTCCTTAGGCGATTTCATCTTTGTGTGAACATCATAGAGTGAACTTACACACACCTGGATGGTATAGGCTATTACATGCCTAGGCTATATGGTATAGCCTATTGTTCCTGAGCTACAAACAAGTACAGCATGTTACTGTACTGAATATTGTAGGAAATTGTAACACAATGGTAAGTATTTGTGTAGCTAAACATATCTAATCTTAGAGGAGATACAATAAAATACAGTATTATAATCTTATGAGTCTACTGTCATATATGCAGTCCATGGTGGACAAAAGTCATTAGGCAGCACATGAATATATTTTGCCAGAGGCCTTCCTTGTCTAAGGTGGCATCTTGGCATTTCTAAGCAACTAATTTGATGATAGTTTTCAAATGCCGTTCATCAATGATGATGGATAACTTTGGTTTATGGACTGTGGATAAATGATGTCAATCAAACCAATTAAATTCAATCTTAAGGAACGAGACTTTCAATCAATTGATCTTTTTATCTTATAATGCCAAAAACCCATTTGTGATATTTCTTATCTTAAATTGACTAGTTTTAAAAATGGATGTATTGAGTACATATTTTGGCTATTTACTATGGATATCGGAAGGCAGAAAGTAAGTTCTAGGACATGGTCATGCTATGACCTAGCTCAAACTATGCATGAATGAAGCTTTGTGTTGTATATTGATTATGGAGCAGAGAAAAGAAGAAACAACTTCTTTATTTTGATACCTTTAGAAGAAGCACACAGACCAAGCCTCTGGATAGGATGATCTATTGCTAATTCACAGGTTAGAGGAGGCACAACTATAGGACACCAACTATAATACTGTTGACAGGATTGTTGTATGTTTATATGAATGGCCCAAATGCTAATCTGTGTATTAAAAGCAATCCCTCATGTTCTTATTAGAGAGAGGTAGAAAATGGAGGTATAGGGGCACATGAGTGAGGTTATTGCACACTGCAGACCGGTGCACTGGTTCCTGAATGCCTTCTCCATCCAGAGTCCACTTTATGTGATTTCATGCCCCAGGCCTGCCGACAAGGGCCTGATAGAGGCTGTGGTGGAAGAGCCTGTTCTGTTTGGGATGGTGAGGATTGAATGACTCCATTTTCCTCACAGTAAAGAGTTGCCTTGTATATTGTATTAGACAGGGTTCTCCAGAGAAGCAGAACCAATAGAATTTCTCTTTCTCTCTAAGAGCGGGGTACATGAGCTTTGACTCATGTTATTCTGGAGGCTGGGAAGTCTCATGATATTCCAGGTGGAAGCTGGAGAACCAGGGAAGCTAAAGGTATAATTCAGTCTGAGTCTAAAGGCCTGAAAACTGGGGGAGATGATGGTATAATTCTCAGTCCGAGGTTAACGGCTTGAGAATCTGGGGGGTGGGAGGCACTGGTGTAAATCCCTGAGTCCTAAAGCCCCAGAACCTGGAGTTCTGATGTCTGCGGGCAGGAGAAGGTGGATGTCCCAGATCCAGGAGGGCAAATTCGCCCTTTCTCTGCCTTTTTATTCTACTTTGGCCCTTGATGGATTGGATGATGCTCACCCTTCTTGGTGAGGGCAATCTTCCTCACTCAGTCCTCTGATTCAAATGCTAATCTCTCAGAAACACCCTCACAGACATACTCAGAAATATTATTTTACCAAGCACCTGAGTATCCATTAATCCAGTCAGGTTTATACCTAAAATTAACCATCACATATAAGAAATGCAATACATCTCAAATGAGGAAAGATTGAATGATACCTTTGGCTTTTGACACAATTAAAAATGGTTTACCAGGCTGAATTATTTAGTAATTACTTAGTATTTATTGAATATATGGCCATTTTGTTATTATTCAATGTTATAAAAGGCAGTGTCTTTTCTAGACCATAGATTACCCAAATTTTGTGAAGCAGGTAAGATTTGACAATGAACTATTGGCGTCTTGGGAATTGTTTACACTTATAATTAAATTATTAGCTATGCTGTACATGATTATAAATTTAAATATGGAATTCAGCCACTAGTAATCATAGTAAACTTTAGTTAATTTATGCTTTCCAAGGGGAAGAGAAGAATTAAGTAAAAGCTCTTAACTCATGCTTTTAAAAAATTTTTATCTTTGAGTTGACTCTAATCTTTATAAAAGGTGAGTATTATTGGATTAGAGTTCATTTAACAATCATCTAGTTAATCTGTGCAACTAGTTTAGATCACTCTGTCTCCTCCAAAAATCTAGGACATATTGAAAACCTATCGCCAATAGTGAAGGAATCTCTTCTGTGCATTTGTGGTGTGTATACAAATGTGTGTGCTTTAGAGTGATATGGTAACTTATTAGCTCTGTCCACCCATATTTCCAAGCTGTTCTTTTAGGCAAATGGTAGGAATGAATTTCTATGCCCTTTTGGAACATGGCTAAGTGACTTGATTTGGCCAGTAAAATGTGATTGGAGATGATGTGTGTCACTTCTGGACAGAAACCTGTAAAAGACAGTGCAAAATTTTCCAGCTTTCCTTCCTCTAGCTTCAGTCACAGTAAATGACAGCCTTTTTCTTTCTTCTTCTTTTTTTTTTTTCTTTAGAAGGAGTCTCCCTCTGTCGCCCAGGCTGGAGTGCAGTGGCTTGATCTCGGCTCACTGCAAGCTCCGCCTCCCAGGTTCACGCCATTCTCCTGCCTCAGCCTCCCAAGTAGCTGGGACTACAGGTGCCCGCTACCACGCCCGACTAATTTTTTTTTGTATTTTTAGTAGAGACGGGGTTTCACTGTGTTAGCCAGGATGGTCTCGATCTCCTGACCTCATGATCCAACCGCCTTGGCCTCCCAGAGTGGTGGGATTACAGGCGTGAGCCACCACACCCGGCCGAAATGACAGCCTTTGGTTGTATAAGCTCTGGTGGAATGGGCCTGGATCTAGATGACCTGACCTGACCATGACCCATGATCAACTTGTAGCTTAAGTAATAAATAAGTTTTCGCTGTCCCAAGCTCTTGAGATTTTAGGCTTGTTTTACTAAAAGCAACACAGTTTAGCCCATCCTATCTAACATAAATGATAACAGCAACTCCAGATGTGGCACGGCCATGCCCTTTAAGAACTAGAAAAGATAGATAACAATTATGATTAAAAACCATAAATAGTGCTAATTATAAAGCCATCACAAAGTAAAATCATGGCTTATTTAGATGGAATAAAATAAGAACTATAATAACAACATACTATTTGGAGGTAGAAGACAAAATTATCAATATGAATCATAAAAATGATATAATTGTCCATCTAAAAACCCGAGACAATCAACTAAAAAATTACTAGATCAACAAGATGAATGTAGGCAAAATAAAGGTTCAGAAATCAACAGTTTTCTTTGATATCAACTGTAAACAATTACAAAATTTAATGGAAAAAACAACCTTTTCAAAATGCAATACCATGTACCTATTCCAGAAAGATCAATTAGATAATTGTTTTAAAGTTTGCAAAAAGATGTGCTAGAAGGATCAGTGAGACACAAATAAAATTGGTTCCCTACAGGTGATGGGGACAAATGAGGTGCAGACAGTAGGGGTAGAGGCAAGGCCTGTCGATGTATTTCTATCTATATAGATTTGACCTTTTCATCATATAAGCGCAAATGAACTTGGATCACCCGGGAAAATAGTTTCAATATTTAAAAACATAGGGAGAAACTAAAAGGGAAAAACTGGATAGATTTGACTGTATAAAGCTTAAAATTTCTGTATGTTAACACCATGAACCAGATAAAAATTAAATGACAAACCATGAAAATATTTACAATATGTAAATAACCAAGGAGGTATTATTATATATTCACAATCTTTTCAGCTCAAGAAAACTATAAGCAGTCCAGCAGAAAAGTAGGTAAAAAATGCAAAAGATAATTAATTATAATTACATATAGATAAAATACAAGTGGCCATTAAATTGGAGAAGAGTAAAGACCAATTTCAACAGTGATCGAATAAATAAAAATTAAAATGAGATATAATTTTTAATTGAGCAATTTGGCAAGGATTAAGAAGAAAGCTAATACACGATGTTGAGAAGACTATGATAAAATAGATAATTTGATAATAGAAAGGTGAAAAAGTAGATTACAAAAATATTTGTGACTTGTTTTTCAAGTAAAAAATACATGCATATGTATTTAGAATTAAAAAATCTTGGACAGAAATACATATTAGCTTTTAATTTTTGGTTTCATATTAAATTTTATTTTTTATATCTGTATTTAAAATTTTAATGTATTTGCCAAAATTTCCACAAAACCATGTAGTATTTTTACAAAGAGAAAAAATTTTTAAAGAATGTGAGATAAGAATCTAAAGTCCTTATGAGTCCAGTTTCCTCATACTTTCTACAGAAATCTCTCTTTCATTAAATTCTAATTAAACATTATTTCCCAAGGATGTCATCACTAAGGATAACTGCTCAAAAATATTTTTGAGTTATTTTAAATGTAATTATAATAATGTAGCAGAAATGTTTTCCTTGTTTTTATGGCACATGTGTATAATTTTAGCTATACTATGAATTTGTTAGGTTTAGACTACACACCTGACTATTTACAGCACTGTCCCTTTGGAAAATGGGTTCTGACCTTTAAACTATGAATTTAAAAAGAAAGTTTTGGGATACAACTCATTTATGCGTATCTTGTGCTTCTAGATCTTGTAATGTGAATTTCTCATCATTTATTGTTCTTTAACATTCTGCAGGGGACTTTATGGGTGTCTTATGATCTCAGATGAGACTGGAAACTGGTCTGGAATGACAGGTATACACACTGCTAGGCAGGTAGGATCATTTCTTCACACTTCCAAGAGTATACAGTAGGCACTCAATAAACACTAGTAGAACAAAATAGAAGACAGTCTTGGTTTGGAAGAAGGCAGGGCATCAGGTTGCTGCAGAGGGCTGAGCCTGAGGCTGACAGACTGCATCCAGCACGGGTGAGGGCACAGCATTGTCTTCCTGGTTCCTTGGCCTAGATACAGGGTGCAGATTGCATTTCACTTCATTGGCTTTAGGTTGGGAGCTAAGCTTGCTATTAATAGTTCCTCCTTAGTCTTGTGTTTGGTTTCTTCACTCTCACACACCTGGTGAGGCTCCTTCTCCAGAGAGGGGCTGTTTCCTGAACTCAGAGTTTTGTGCGTCTTGGACTTGGGCTTCCAAGAATTCACCCCTCTTGGGATCAGTCAGCTTTGCGACAGATGTCTCTTAACTCTGAAGAGAGTTCTCTCTCCTGTCGGAGCACTCAGAAAAATTTCTCTTATTATTTTTTTCCTCCTAAAAACCCACCATTAAAGTCAAGCCAGTAACAATGTAAAATTATTTTTATGATGCTTTGCAGCATACTACGCTCTCAATTTACCCATATTTCATAGTAATGGGGGGATTGACCCTGTCCCCTTTCTAAAACTAAGCAATAAAAACCTCTATGTTTTCCAGGAATGTTCTCTCCAAGGGACACATGCTTTTACGCAGAAGGCTCTTACTTCCTGTGACAGAAATTTTAGTGGGGCATGGACTATGGTTCAGATAATGCTACCCCTGCTTTCTTACCACTGGCCCCACCAGGAACTTCTCTTACAAATAAGCCCTTTGTTGATGAGTGGGTTTGCCTGTCATCTCCTCCAGAACATAACATGGCACATAGGTCTTAGAGGCTGCTGGTATCCATTAGCATTTAAGAGGCTAAAGAGACCCCCTTGGGGGAAAATGTGGCCAGCATGCTGGTCATCTTTGAAGCTCAAGGTAAGGCTACCATTAAGTGAGACTTGGAATGGTTGTTCCTTAAAATATGAACCACAGGCCACCTGGATCAAAATCATCCCAGGAGCTTGTTAGGAAAGCAAATTCCTGGGCCCCACTCCAGAATTTCAGTTCCTGGAGAGGGAAGACTTAGGATTTGTGTTTTTTTTTTTTTTTTGAGATGGAATTTCACTCTTGTTACCCAGGCTGGAGTCCAGTGGTACCATCTCGGCTCACTGCAAGCTCCGCCTCCAGGGTTCAAGTGATTCCCCTGCCTCAGCCTCCCTAGTGGCTGGGATTATAGGCACACGTCACCATGCCTGGCCGATTTTATATTTTTAGTAGAGACAGGGTTTCACCATGTTGGCCAGGCTAGTCTCAAACTCTTGACCTCAGGTGATCCACCCGCCTAGGCCTCCCGAAGTGCTGGAATTACAGGCATGAGCCACCACGCCTGACCAGGATCTGCGTTTTTAACAAGAGCCTTGGGAAATTCTGGTACATACTCATTTAGAGGCTGGATGCCGAGTCTGGTTCTCTTTCTACCATGTGGGATGCCTCTCATCACTGTGTGCCTTAGCAAAATGCATTTTCCCGTCTTCTCTGGGGTGGACTACAGTGACCCAGCCACCCCTTTGCATGCACACTTTTATTTTTTCATTCTGCAGATATTGTGTGAGAATCTACTATGTTCTACATATTGAAAAATCGTGAGAAATCCAAAGATGGCATCCAAAGGTGCCTTTGGGGGCAGTAGCTATAGTAAAATAGTATATACAATCATTTAGTTGGCACGTCCAACCCGCCTTATTTTGTTGTTCTTTTTATTTTGTTTTAGGCTTTTAGCAGCCTGAAGCCATGGCTTTTAGTTTCTGTCTCTAGTGATAAATGGAAAAGAGGGATGAGGAAGGGGCTTTACTGGCCTAACCAGAAACAGCAACTAAGAACCTGTGACTGTATTCTCTCCCTTGGGCACCCCTGAATTGTTCCCCGCCTTTGCCATTTCTCATGCTGGACCCTGTGTGTGGCAGGAAACCCTTCCACGTGGAACCCACCCACCGAGTAAGCAGGACCCTCATCCAGTTCTTTCCTTGATGGTAGAACACTGCTCAGGTCCCACCCACCTTGTGCTTTGGCAGCAGCTGCAGTGGCAGCTGGCCTAAGTAGTGCGTTTTTGATTCATGGTGAGATGTGATGGGTAGCGGGGCCTGCAGGCTTGTTTGGGCTTGTTCTTCTGCTTGGGTTCAGGCATTCGGTGTTTAGATTTAATGTTTCAACATCCAACAGCTTCTCAGTTTGCGCAGAGGTCTAAATCATAGACGTCTTATCTAAAGCAGGCAAAAAGCATCTGCTATTGCTGGGAATGTTCATACTGAATGCTTTGGAATCCAATTTTATGATAATTTCTCCTTCTTCCCCACCCCACATCTCCTTCCCTTTTTTTCTCCACTCAAAGAAGTCCATTGCTTGCAGCCACCCAACTTCAGTACATATTTTGCTTGTTTGTTATCCCTCATCTACTTAGGGGAAATGGTTGCAAGAACAACTTCAGAGGTATATTAGTCTACACAAGACAAGAGAAGCAAGGACTAGTCCCTGGAGAAGTGAACAAGGGAGACTAAGTATATGAAAGTTCTCCATCTAGGGATGCCGAAAGTTCATCCTGAGGCTTCTGGAATCTTTGCCTCTGCTCCGTTTTTGTTTCTCTAGCATCCATTGAGCATTACTAAGTGCTTTACCCTGTTGCTCACTACAACCTATTTTGCTGATATGAAAAGAAAGGCTGAGCGAGGTTGGGCAGGTTGCCCAAGTGCACATAGAACATGCTGGGGCCAGGATTTACACCCTCACACTCTAGCTCCAGCAGGGGCACTCCTAGCTGCTCTGCTATCTGCCCTTCTCAAGCGGTCCTGCATTTTTCTCTATGGCCTTTTAAATGCTTGCTGGCTGCAGAGCTCCTTTTCAATTCCTTCTACCTGATTCTTAATCCAGGGGGGGCAGAGATTGACTCACCAGCAGTTGGAATCCATAGAATTCTACGTGAAGCATTTCCAAGGAGTAGGATCACACCCAGAAGAAGGGGATCTTTGCCCTTCCTGACTCCACAGGGAGCTAGTGGGACAGTGAGATTGGTGGAGACTGCCACAAACATTTCTGTGTAAAAGAAAAGCTTGCTTATTGGCCGGGCCCCAGTGAAAGGGTCTGTATGCCAGGGCTGTCCAGTGATGCTCTCAAGGCTCTCAAGGCCTCTCAGGCACAGAGGCAGAATAGAGGGCAGTGGGGAGCTGGGGGAACTGGGGAGAAAACCCTCTTAAAGAGAACAGGGGCTGACTGAACAATGCAGGGAAAGAGCATAGATTGAGAAGTCCGAGGGACACAAGTTCAAATCCAGACAATTGCATTTGCTAGATGTGTATGGAAGTTGCTCAGTTTCTCCAAGTCATAAGTCTAATAACTGCCTCACAACTCTGCCATTGCAGTTAAAGTGAGCAATACGAATGATGTGCCTCATACAGGGCTTGACTCTTACCAGGCACTCAGCTCATGGTGGCTGTTATTAGCCCAGGGGCAGATACAGGGAATGAAAATTCCTTTCTCCCTTTGACCACCAACCCAACCTCTCCTTTTTCTTCTTAGATTAGGCTGCTGTAGAGGTATGGATGTGTTTCTGGTTTTGGCTGTTTGCACATGCTGATCAAATTATGACAGTAGTGTGAACTTAACCTGAAATTAGAAAGAGAAACCAAATTATGACAGCAGTTGGGCAAAAAGATCTTCAAGTGGATTATTTGGTTAATAGACATTCCCTGTGGCATTTCATTTTTTTTTCTAGAGAGAAACCATTGATAGATATTAATTAGTATTCTGAATGTACTTTGTCTTGGCAATGCCTCTGCTGATCCTGATCTGAAGGTGGGTTGGCTGCCTCCTGTACAGCCTGACCTCCTCTCCAGGGTGCTGGACACTCTTACCCATGTTGATAGTTGAGACATTTTTGTGGTCTGTGTCCTTTTGTTTCTAAAATATAAGGGGTTCTAGTGAATTTTCCTCCAATGAGCTAGTTTGCCTTTTTGTAAGTAGTCTCAGCTGTCTGCTGTTTTTTCCTATAGATTAAGCCTTGTGGGCTCACCTGTCTCATTTTGCTCTTCTCTCTGGGGGTTGCCCTCATCCCCCTTTGCAAGTCTTCTTCTGGTATCTTTCAGGGGTCTTTTGTTCTCTCTTCCACATTGTTAATTAGAATGCAGAATCCAATCTGGAGTGAGCAAGCACTGACCCCAGGGCACCCTGCTAAGCACCTCTTCTTGCTGGAGATGTGCCACAGAGCCTCACCTTTCCTTCGTAATCTTTTGTTAGTGTTCAACCCATGTGACTTGCTCTCCCTGCCAATTTGAACCTTTAAATGTCAGCAATTAAAATTTCATGAGCTGTTGTATGAAATGCTGCAACTCAAGCCCCAAACACAGCAGCTGCTGTGTTTCTTTTGTCTTCTCATATGGTTACCCTTTCCAAAACAAGATATCATGTTGTTTTGGATTTTTTTGTCCTTAAGAAAGCCGTTTTGCTTATTGCTTGAGACATTCCACTGTCCTTGATACATTTACAAACTATATTTTTAGCCACAACTATCCTTACTTTGCTAATTACAGATTTACAGGTGCTGGTTAGTTTCAGAACAAATGTCCAGACATTTTCAGTTTCCACTCCCCTCCACCCATCTGCTTCCCAGTAAGTTGTGAGAAATAATGAAACTTTTCACTGGTTTCTTACTCAGATCTTTGAACACCCCAAACTACTTATCACCTGGCCCCTTTGATTTGTAAATGTTCAGGTTGTCCAATTACTGTTTTTTGTATTATTTTCCATCAGCTCTATTTGTAGAGTCTATGAAGTCATGGCATAGTATCTAGTTTCCTTTTTATAGAGGAGTTCCTATCTGTGAGCCATGGTTTTCAGCTGAGGCCGTGCATTAGAATCCAGGGTGGAGTCTTTAAAAAATTCAGATACCCAGATACCTTTCTTATCCCCTATGGAATATTGATTTAGAAGGTTTGGGGTGGGGATATGAGCATTTATATGTTTCTAAAAGCTCCTGAGTTAATTCTAAGGGCACCCTGGTTGATAGCCACATTATGGACTGAGTCCCAGGTCTGTGGTATCGAGACCACCATACTGACTGGCCCCAGTAGGCCCTGGGGCCTGGTCTATGGACCCTGAGCCTGGGTTCTAGCTTCTGTTACCTCTCCCTGATGGAGAGGGTCCATTTGAGCAGGGGCTTGGCTATATGGAGAAGGTTGATGGGAAGACATGAAAGGAGGGCTTGGTAGGTGGAGAGAAGGGCAGGATGAAGCAGAAGACTGTCGCTAGTGTAGGGAAGACACGGCTGAGTTACAGCTTAGCCCAGAATGCCTGAGAGAGAGTGGTGGGAGTCCAGGTTGGATGTGGGTCAGGGCCTTGAACAACAGACTTCACGTGTACTTTACTCTTCATAAAAAGCAGTGGTGGAGGCCAGCCCTAAGGTATTGCCAGGTAATAATAGATGGTGAATCCCTGTAACGTCACCTCTGTAAATAAAGCCAAGTTTTGTCTTTCTTCTCTTCATTATTTCCAGGACAGATTATATAGAATCCAGAGCTCTTTGAAATAATTAAGAATGCACTTTGCTTTTCATGATCTTTCTTAGGAGGATTATAAAACCGATGGCTTGTTCCACACATTTTGCCTAGAGGCCTGGGTCCTGCCCAGGCGATCCCCTGGATTTCTTCACATTGCTCCAGGAACCTCACATCTCCCAGCCAAGGCAATCAATTGCAGCAGAATTCCAAAGGGTTTCCCTGTTCATGATGGGGTTTCTGCCAATGCCTATAAATAAATAAAATCAATGTCTTTTTTGTGTTTTTGCTGAGCTTTATTGGTTCCCCTTATGAGATGAGGAAGGATAGGATAAGAAATGAAGAACTTGTTTGTATTTAATCTTCCCGAAATATATTTGGGCAGACATTATTATCTGCATTTTGTGGCCAAGAACATTGAGGCTTAATCGAGGTTAAGTAACTTGCTTGTGGTCACAAAATAGTAAGTTGTGAAACTGGGGTAGAAAACCAGGTCTTTCTGGCCCCAAACCCATGCTTGCTCCATTATGCCACCTCTTCCTGTCTGGGTGGAAGGTCTGCCAGGGGATGTTGAGGCATCCCTGGTAAGGTTAAACCTCATTTACATTTTAAACCAGACACTAGTCTAGAGGCATGTCTAGGCTGATTGAAGGATTTGGGGCAGATTTAGGGTAGGCTATGTGCATGTGATGTCTGGGAGATTGATAATGGGCTAAAGTTGGGATGGTTGCAAGACCAACTTTGGCTGCTTTGCAGTTTTGCCCAGAACTATAGTAGCATCCAGGGAGCTGGTGCTCAAGCTGAGATACTAGCCTCTCTTTGGAGTTATTAACATATGTGTTCTCCAATTCAATATTGTTCTCCTGCTTGGCAGAGGAGGAGAGGTAAACAGATGCACCTGGGCAGATTTTCTTGAGTCGTTCCAGGTAATCTTTTCATAGGATGTTTCTGGCTGCTATTTCCCTTTCTTAGCACTCCTGGGAACATGTACGGGATGGATAAGCTCACGGCACTACTGTGCCTGATATTGTTGTGCGGTCTACCCAGTGTTGTGGGACTGATAAATCTGAGTTGCTAGAGTATAATTTCCATGAGGGCAGTGTCCAGGTCTATGTATCTTCAGTATCTAGCACAGTGCCTGATACATAGCAAGTGCTTTAAAAATATCTGTTGGATAAACCCAAGTGTTCTGGTTTCACATGGGCTTTTCTTCATTCAGTGATTCTACATCAAAGAGATTTCCCCAGGGCTCTAGAGAGTATGGAGAAGAGTTCATTATAATGCCTTTATTTTTTCACTGTTATGTTTTTCTTTTAACCATGAAGTCATTTTGGGGTCCCTTTGTTTTGTTTGTTTGTTTTTTAGTTCTCTAGTCAACTCCTTCTGGGATAGCCCTGCATTTTAATCACATATTAGAGAAAAATGAAGTGAAAAGGGAAGATAAAGCTATCAGCACACCTTGATGACCCCTGAGAACACAAAATCATGGACTCTATTTGCTCTGAGGAACTCCACATCCATGGCCAGGCTAGGACATCTGTGGTTAGAAGGGGCAGGGCAGGGACAGACAGGGACTGACACTCTTCACTGAAGGAAAGGCCACAAAGAACTCAAAGACAGGGCTCATCTCTGCATGGAGCTTAAATGTCATCTCCCCTGTCTATAGCATAGGCCAAGTTGCCATGTGAGTGCGGAGCAGTGGTTGGGGAAGGAATGTCTTTAATCTTAAATTTCACTCCCTTAAACCTTCAAATAATCAATTTCACGTGTTTGAAATATCTTGAGTGGGAGTAAGAAATTGGGAAAATGAGAGTGTTTGGTTTGTATTCAGGTCTAGAAAATGTTAAGAGGCTTGGTGGTGGAAAGGAGTCAGATTCTTTGACCTGCTTTGGTGTGGTTGTGTTCTGATGAAAGTGAGAGAATGTGCACCTGGGATTATTTAAACATGTGACATAACAACATCACAATTAGTTTGTCTCAATATACAATCTTATTTTCTAAAAGCACTCCCCTTCCCTTAATGGTGGGTCTGGGTTACTCCTTCCTATTGCCTAGAGATACTTGGTAGTAACATCTCACATGAGTTTCTTTTCTTTGAATTCTTTTCCTCTATGCTTGTGATAAAGGTCTAAAGGTAGTAGGGTTTTGAGGTGGAGATGATCAAACAAATTTCTTCTTGCCTAATTGTCAAAGTTAGCCAAAGAAGTCAGATGTCTTCAAGAGTTAAGTTGTTAACTAAGACAAATCAACCAAAGCCAGGCCAGCCAAGGGAAAGCAGAGGCAAGCCGACCAAAACCACACATCTCTAAGACACTCACTGCAGAATGGAATTCCGGAGGGCAAAATGGTACCTTAAACATTTTAAATTCATGCTTAATTCTACTCTACAGCAAGCCAAGTGTCATTTGTGCTGTTCTTCAAATATCCAGTGCTAGAGAATTTACTATCTTTATTTTACCTAAAAATAGGTCTGGCTATGAGATCAAATTTTACTCAATTAAACAAAATTTGACTATCTCCTTAGATTTTTTTAAATATATTTACCACTGGGGTCATTGCATTTCTCTTAAAGGTGATAGTTCTTTAAGTAATATGTTTGCAAACCATTTATAATTTTATAGTTCTATATCCTGCTGTTTTCACTTAAAATTATATTGTGAACATTTTCCTATGTCACTATATTTCTCAAAAATATGAACTGTAATGGCTGTAAAGAATTCTATACCATTATGTTAGCTATTTCTTTCTTTTTGAACATTTAGATTCTTTATAGTTTTTAAAAAATTATAATGTTACAACAGCAAACTCAAAACTATGATTTAATCTCTCATTACCTTAGACTATCTTAGATGTGAGAGTACTGGGTTAAAATGGATGAATGTTTTCAAGGATTTTGATATATATTATGTTTTGGATCATGTTCCAATGAAATAGACTCAGAGACAGAGAGTCTCTGTGTGGGAATTTTTTAAAGGAGTGCCCTCAACGCCCTTGAGAGGGTGAGGAAAAGGACTGGGCAAAGGAAGAAGATGAACTATGATGTATTGCAACAATGGCCTCAGCTGATCCTGAGGAGCGCTGGAGTTTGGAGCTCTCCTGTGAGTTGTCCCAAGCTGAGGCAAGGGGGCCGAGCTTTTGTGCTCTTGCATTGACTTCTCATTGGATGCAGGTTGTCTCCAGGGAGAGGTCATGACCTTGGGTGAGGCATCTCCCTTTGGCCAAGAGCAATTCCAAAAGAAAGACTCAACAGCTAGCTGTCAGCAGATAACATATCTGGCCACTGGGGGAATAAGCCCTCAGAACTGAAGCGGGGAAGCTTGTGGTGCATCAAAGTGATTGTTTCAGTTACCCCTTTCAACTCTTGGACCACATATTTCTTATTTAAAAAAATCACCCTATCTGGGAAGAGCTCCTCTAGAACTCTGGTTTGCTTCTTTTCCTAGGGAAATGTACAAGAGGAAGATTAATGGGACAAACTGTAGCTCTCAACAATGCAGCTGTTCTCAGGGACACAACTGACACTCATCAAATCCCTTCTTTACAACCCAGTGTAGAGTTCTCTTCCCCTTGGCTGAAAGCTCTGCTCCAGGTGGCTTACCTGGTTGGGTGACCCAAACCTTCATCCATGAAGGATCTGAGCCTGTAGTCATCATGCCCTTCTCAAGCCATGACTACTACTTTTATCCATTTACCATTACGATTGGCTAGGGTATTACCAAGAGATGCCCAAGAAGTCCTTCTGGGAGCCAAATAGTCTTTTCTGTCACCATGTGTAACAATAGCTCAACCTTCTCCTGATCAATTACCACTGCCAAAATGGTGATGCCTTTTTTGGCCTGTTGACCTCTTGGCACAAGAAACATAAAGTGCCAACAGCTGTAGCTTAAAGTTTAATGGGATTCGTGTAGTGTTCCTGGTATAAGTGTTTCTGTTCTTGGAACCAGACTCTCTAGAGCTGCAGAGCTCAGAGTCGTGGAGATGGAAGGGATGAATTCCCTGGGTAGGTTATTGAGTGAGATGGTAGGAGGGATTAGCCCTATTTCCACCCTGAACCATGTAATCTATATAGAGGAGACACAGTACTGTATAATAGTCACTTATTATTAAGGGTGGACACTGCATCCTGGAGGATGCGGGATGCTTAAGGACTCCAGCCTTAAGTATTATATTGAATGTGGTACTTCAGCAATACTTTCAAAAGGGTGTTCCTTTACCTTATAAAGTCAGCAGCTGGTCCTGTGCTCATCGTTGTACCTCTTTTCTTCTAAAGTGAGTTTCTGGGTACAACAGGATGTTCTGTGGGCTCCTGTGTTAGTGAATCGTACATGAAGTAAGTCCTTAGATAATGGTGCCGGCTGAGGATCTATGGGCAGGAATGGCAAACCTGTATCCTAAGTATGTGTTGATTTCCTTCAAGATGAATTGCTGGCCCTTCCATGGAGAAAGAGGTTTAATGTAATTGCTGTGCCACCACATGGCCGATTGGACTCTCTGAAGAATTGTTCTTTGTCAGGGGCTCGGCAGTAATCTCTGTTCCTGATAGATATTCAGCAGCAGCAGAAACTAGATCACCTATTTTGTAAGCTGCCTTGCACAGCCTCCGTGCCTGCCACCATGATTACTCTGTTCATATGCCTGCTTGCCAGCACTGGGGTGATTAATGAGAAAGGGCTGTCTGACATCACCTGGCCAAATCAGTCTGTCCATTTGACTAGAAATTGCCTCTTCCATGGTAGGCGTTAACATGGTATACAAAGATCTTCATGAAGCTCTTTGCACTTCATGTCCACTTCCGTATTCCTCTTCCCCAGACCTCCTTATTCCTTATCTTTCACTCTTTCTCCTTCCAGGCCACTAAGCAACCAGCCAACCCATTTACAATTGCCCATGAGTTTAGATATATTTGACCTTGAGCCACTTTCCACACAAAGTGAGTGGCCAGGTGCATCACTTGAAGTCCATTGGGAGGATGTCCCCTCACTGCTGTCTTTTAGGGTTATTCATGAGTGGGACTGAGAATACTAAAGACCTTTTCTGGTTTGTATTCCTACATCAAACTGGCCCAACTGTTTTGAACAAAGCTTGGCTTTTCCCTTCCTCTATCAGCTGAACATAAGTGGTGCCCATATAGCCATAGCTGGTGCAACAGTGGTGAATGACATGAGGACTTGGGTCATTAGCTCATGCAATTTTCTCGTTTTTTCCCTCCCACTTGTGTTGATGTATAATTGACAAATAAAATTGTATACACTTAAAATATACAACATGATTATTTGATATAAGTATATATTGTGAAGGAATGATTATCACAATTATGTTGGTTAACATATCCCTAACCTCAGATAGTTACCATTTTTGTTTTTGTGGTGAGAACACAGGATCTATTCTCAGCAAATTACAAATACACAATACAGTATCATTAAATATAGCCACCATGCTGTACATTAGATCCTCAGAGCTTATTCATCTTATATTAGAAAGTTTGTATCCTTTGACCAACATACTCTTATTTCCCCTAACCTCCAGCCCCTGGAAACCATGATTCAACTTTCTGTTTTGGTGAGTGTGACTTTTTTAGATTCCATATGTGAGATAATACAGTATTTGTCCTCATTTTTCTGGCTTATTTCAGTTAGCATAATGCCCTCCCGGTTCATCCATGTTGTCGCAAATAGCAAGATGTTCTCCAATTTTATGGCTGAATAATATTTAACTACATGTATACCACATTTTCTTTATTCATTTGTTGACAGGCAGTTAAGTTGTTCCCATGTCTTGGCTATTATGAATAATGCTGCAGTGAACACAAGAGTGAAGATATCTCTTTGAGAGATTGATATTATTTCCTTTGGATATATAGACACAGAAGTGGGATTGGTGGGTCATATGGTAGTTCTTTTTTTAATTTTTTGAGGCAACACCATACTGTTTTCCATAACGGCTGTGCCAATTTACATTCTACCAAGGGTACACAAGTTTTCTCTTTTCTCTATATCCTCACCAACACTTACCTCTTGTCTTATTGGTAATAGCCATACGAACAGGTATATGGTGATGTCTTATTTTAGTTTTGATTTGCATTTGCCTGATGGTTAGCGATGTTGAACACCTGTCCATGAACCTGTTGGACATTTTTATGAATTTAGAAAAGTGTCTATTCAGGTCTTTTTACCATTTTAATTATGCTGTTAATTTAATACATTAAAATTAATTTGAGTATTAATTTAATAAATTGAAATTTAATTTAATTTTAGTTAAATTATTATTATTATTTGCTACTGAGTTGTATGAGTTCCTTATATATTTTGGAAATGAACCCCTTAACAGATACATGGTTTGCCAATATTTTCTCCCATTCTATAGGTGCCTTTTCATTTTGCTGATTCTTTTGTCATGCATAAGCTTTTTAGCTTGATGTAGTCCTATTTATTTATTTTTGCTTTTGTTTCCTGTGTTTTGGTGTCATATCAAAAAAGTAATTATGAAGCCAATGTCAAGGAAGTTTTTTCTACGTTTTCTTGTAGGAGTTTTATGGTTTCAGATCTTATATTTGTGTTTTGATTTTGAGTTTTTTTTTTTATGCTATGAGACAGAGGTCCAGTTTCATTCTTTTGCATGTGGATATCCAGTTTTTCAACACTGTGTATGAAAATGATTATTCTTTCCCCAATATGCATTCCTGGTACCCTTGTCAAATATTAGTTTACCCTATATGTGTAGGTTTATTTCTGGGCTCTCTATTCTGTTTCATTGATCTATGTGTCTGTTTTAACTGTTTTGATTACTTTAGCTTTGTAATATGATTAGAAATCAGGACATGTAATACCTCCAGCTTTGTTCTTTCTCAAGAGTGCTTTGGCTTTTTTGGGGTCATCTGTGGTTCCATACAAATTTTAGGACTGTTTTTCCTATTTCTTTGAAGGATGCTTGAAGAATTTGGATAGGAATGGCATTGAATCAATAGATTATTTTGGGTAGTATAGACATTTTAATACTATTAATTTTTAAAAATCCATGAACACGGGTTACCTTCCTATTTATGTCTTCTTCAGTTTGTTTCATCAATTCCTTATGTACAGTGTACAGATCTTTTTATGTTTATGTACAGTGTACAGATCTTTTATCTCTCCTTGATTAAATTTATTCCTAGATACTTTATTTTTGATTCTATTGTAAATAACATATTTTAAAATTTCTTTTTCTGATACTTTGTTGTTATTATATAGAAACACACTGATTTTTGTGTGCTGATTTTGTTTTCTGCAACTCTACTGAATTTGCTTATTAGTTCTAATGTTTTTCTGGCTAAATGTGTAAGATCGCATCATCTACAAAGAGACAATTTTATTTCTTCCTTTCCAATTTAGATGACTTTTATTTCTTTTTCTTGCCTAATTTCTCTGGCTATAAGTTTCAATAATATTGGTAGTGGTGGGAGTGGGTGCCCTTATCTTGTTCCTGATTATTCATCATTTGAGTATAATGTTAACTGTGGGCTTGACATATATAGCTTTATTATGTTGAGGTATATTTCTTCTGTACCCAACTTGTTTGAGAGTTTTTATTATAAAACAATGTTGAGTTTTGTTGAATGCTTTTGTTTAAACATCTATTGAGATGATCATAAATCTTCATTCTGTTAATGTAGTTTATCCCACTTATTGATTTGCATATGTTCAACCATCCTTGCATTCCTGGGATTATCCCACTTGATTATGGCATAAAATCCTTTTAGTGTGCTATTGAATTTGGTTTGCTAGTGTTGAGAATTTTTGTGTCTACATTCATTAGGAATATCAACCTGTAATTTTATCTTGCTGTAGCATCCTTAACTGGCTTTGGTATCAGTGTGATGCTGACCTCATAAAATGAATTTGGAAGTGTTTCCTTCTCTTCATTTTTTTGGAAGAATTTGAGAAGGATTGTTGTTAATCATTTAAATGCTTGATTGAGTTCACCAATAATGCCATCTGGTTCTAGGATTTTCTTTGTTGGGAGGTTTTCGATTACTGATTCAATCTCCTTAGTTCTTATTGGTCTGTTTAGATTTTCTATTTCTTCATGAGTCAGTCTTTGCAGGTTGTATGCTTCTAGGAATGTATGCTTCATTTCTTCTAGATTATCCAATTTGCTGGTGTGTAATTGTTCATCATAGTCTCTTGTGATCCTTTGTACATCTGTGGTATCAGTTTTAATACCTCCTTTCATTTGTAATTTTTTTTGAGTCCTTTCTTTTTTCCTTGGTTAATCTAATTAAAGTTTTGTCAATTTTGTTTATCTTTTGAAAAAACCCACTGTAAGATTCATTGGTCCAACTTGCCCAGCTCTATTATCTGCCCTCTTTATGTCCTCTAACAAGGGAAGCATGATGATGCTTCAGTTCCCTAGGTATCCATGTTATTTTTGACCCTGCATCCATCAACCTCAAAGTGTCAGGATATTCCCCTTTCCTCAGTTTAGAGTTACTTGAGTAAACGGCTATAGGTCCTTTAGGCAAAAACTGAGGCAGTCATTACCTTACACACTTGCTGTGGCACTGCAGAGCTGTTCCTTCTGGGTACCTGGTCTCTCCTTCAGTCAAACACTGGAAGATCTGAAAACTGGTTTAGTCCTGGAAACTGGGTAAAGGATTATCACTTTTTAATTTTTTTCTTATTTTTTTTTTTTTTTTGAGACGGAGTCTTGCACTGTTCCCCAGGCTGGAGTGCAGTGGCGCGATCTTGGCTCACTGCAAGCTCCGCCTCCTGGGTTCACGCCATTCTCCTGCCTCAGCCTCCTGAGTAGCTGGGACTACAGGCGCCCGTCACCACGCCCAGCTAATTTTTTTGTACTTTCAGTAAAGACGGAGTTTCACCGTGTTAGCCAGGATGGTCTTGATCTCCTGACCTCGTGATCCGCCTGCCTCAGGCTCCCAAAGTGCTGGGATTACAGGCACGAGCCACCATGCCTGGCCCACTTTTCAATTTTTATAATCAGCTTGGCCTACAGAGGACAGGCAACACTGAGTTTCTTGACGCTGTTGCTGCTGTGCTCCCATTACCTCTCTCATCGCTCTGGTGAGCACAATGTCTTTCTGATATGTCTTAGAACATCATCTGCTGGTAGGTTTTCCAGCTCCCATTTTATCTCTACATTTTATGCCCACCCCTTTGAGTCTTTTGGTTTCTTCTTTTATAATATATTATGGTAGAATATGGTAGTTTCCAAGAGCTATGCTAGCAGAACATTAACCACCATCTGCCTGGGTGCCTACCAGAGTTGAACCCTGTATTGTAAGAGAGTAGCTTCACAGCAACAATCTCTCCCTTATTCAAATTTGTATTATACTCCCCTTGATCCAGGCTTCTCAGGCTTTAGTCCCATTTACAGTTTACTGACCTCTGCTGGCACATTTTGGCTGGGACCTACAACCCCTTTGGGGTTTGGGCTCTTTATTTTCCTAGCTGACTCAGCACTTTCCTGGCCAGCTTCTATTGCAACTCGACTCTCTAGTGGCCAGGAGGGTAGATGTGAGCCAAATCCCAAGAGAAGACATACTGTTTTACAGGCAGAGAACCCTGTGTTGTCTTCAACTAAGGGGTCTTTACTTGAAGAGGAGTGCATCACTTCTACAGGAGCAAATGGTTCTGAGGGGATCTGGAGTTTCAAGATTTGCTGGGATTAAGAATTCTACCTTTTTTGAGTTGTACTATACTTATAATTAAGTCGTTGGCCTGATTCTCAGATTTTTCTGCTTTCAAACTACACAAGATGAGAGTCACTTTTTAGTGCTGCCAAGGAAGTCCTCTGGCTATCACAATTTGATTTCAATAGACAATTGATCAGCTCCCCTTTCCCAGATTTCCCTTCTTTTTTCCCAGCACATAGATAATATTCAGCATCAGCAATCCCAGTTTCCCCAGAATGGCTCAAATGTCAAAGATATTGCATCCTTTGGTGCATTTCCTTCCACTTATATCCCATCCCACTGACCACCAAGGAATATTTTAACACTCCAGTATAACATGTGAGGGCCATACAAACTTCAGTTTTCACTAGTGATGGGGTCCTCATTGTTAATGGGCTAGGAGGTGCCCATCTCCTAAGTTCTATTTTAGAGTCAGCTTCCTCTGACCATTCCTGACATCCACTGCCTTAGGTTGGTTTTCCCATGAAACACTTTGAGACAGAGATTTGTTAGCAGGAAGATATTGGAGAGAGCTCTTGAGAACAACAACTTGGAGGGACCTAAAATTACAAGACTAGTCCCAGAAAAAAGCTGAATTTTGGAATACATTGCAGCAGTGGCTTCAGTTGATTCAAGGGCACCCTGGAGCTGGGATGGCTAGTGAGGATTGTTCCATACTGAGGCATTGAGGGGGGCTGGACCTTTGGGCCTTCAAATCAGCCAGTCATTGGATGCCAGTTTTTCCTGTGGAGCATAACCTTGTGTGAGGCAGCTGCTTTCAACCAAAGATAACTCCTGGGGAGAGACTCAGCTGTGAGCAGCTGTCAGACATGGCGGGTAGAATAACAGCCCCCAAAGATGTCTATATCCTAATTCCTGAAATCTATGAATATGTTAGATTACATGGCAAAGAAGAATGAAGGTTGCAGATGAAATGAAGATGTAGATATTATACTGGATTATCCAGGTAGGTCCAGTATAATTACAAGGATCCTTATAAAGAGGAAGGCAGAAGGGAGAGGGTGTCAATGACGTAATGTAAGAAAGATTCAACTTTGAAGATGGAATGGGGCCATGAGCCGAGGAAGGCAGGCAGCCTCTAAAGGCTGGAAAAGACAAAAGAAAAAAAAAGTAAAAAAAAAAAACAAACCCAGAAAACCAACAGAAACAAACAAAATAGATTCTTCCCAAGAACCTCCAGAAAGGAATGCAGCTCTACCAGCGTCTTGATTTTAGCCACACAAGACCCATTTCAGACTTCTGATGCCTAGAACTATAAGTTAATACATTTGTTTAAGACAGTTTTAGCATTTGCCTAAAACATAAGCCATGAAATTTGTGGTAATATTTGTGAGAGCAGCTATCAGAAACCAATGCAGCAGGCTATCCTCTTGCAACTAGGAGAATGGCTCCCTTGGTTCTGAAGGAAGAGTCTGATGGCACATCAGAACACTCACTACATATTTTCAATTACCCTCTATGAAATATGTACCATTTTATATCTCTGCCTACAGTGTGTGAGTAATGCCATCAGCAACACAGAGCATTATTTAGGCCTATAACTACTTTGTCTTCCCTTCTCAGCATGTTTGCAATATTTCAATGTTGAGCTCCATTCCAAGAAGTTCTGGTAATTTTTTTTTTTTGAGACAGAGTCTTACTCTGTTGGCCAGGCTGGAGTACAGTGGCATGATCTCAGCTCACTACAGCCTCCACCACTCAGGTTCAAGTAATTCTTGTGCCTCAGCCTCCTGAGTAGCTGGGACTACAGGTGTGTACCATCATGCCTGGCTAATTTTTGTATTTTTAATAGAGATGGGGTTTCAGCATGTTGGCCAGGCTGGTCTTGAACTTCTGACCTCAGGCCAGATCTGCCAGTCCCGGCCTCCTAAAGTGTTGGGATTACAGGTGTGAGCCACCACACCTGGCCACTGGTGAAGCTTTTGAGATCAGATTTTCCATTCAATGTTGGAATCTTGTTTTTTGTTGTCCATGCTCTGACATTGGAACATAGAGATCTGAGTTCATTAGTGTTGTTTTTGCCTGATTTTTAGTTATTTCTTCATGTGGTTCACTGATCACCTTTCCAACTTTATATTTCTTGCCACATCTCTTATTCTTAATAGCTTCTCTTCATTTTTTTATCTGGCATTTCTTTCACATTAGTTAAAGCTTCTGAATTAGTTCATTTGGTCTCCAGGCATTGTGAGAGATGTTCCACTCTTAACTAGAGGCTCTACATTTAGTGTCTGAAATCCAGAACTAGAAATACACAACTGGTTTTGAATTCCGTTTGTCCACTGTCTTTTGTTTCTCATCCCTTCCTTTCTTGTCCATTACACCCGACCTTTCGTTGGAAGAATCAATGGGTAAAGCCACTGATCATCTTATGCCATTTACATTTTCTGTCTCTAGAGAATGTGTCTCAAACTTCTTCTACTGGTACTCTTTTATCTCGGCATGAAGAGGAAAAGACAATAAATTAAATCCAAAGAACATCTATTATGTTCCAGGTGCCATTTCATTCTAACTCTGTAGCCAAGATTGGGGTAATCAGCATTATTCCTGTTGTATACACAAAGAAAAGTTGTTTCTGTTTGACTCAAGTTTATACTCTTTTCATTACAACCATTGGTATAGAAATACCTAAGCACATCTATCATTAGGAGGCATAGAATTTTGCTAAATGATGGCCGCCTCCTTATCACCTCTCAAAGGACGATGTACCTCCTCATTGTCTACATTATTCAGAGAGCCAACTTCCTACCTGTCTTCCAAACCTCCTCTCCCACAGCCTGCAGGGGGTGAATTATCATCATGGTTCCTCTTCAGTGGTCCACACATCTTTTTCAGAAGGACTGGACTTAACTTCCAAAGAATGAGGCTCAGACCGATTGTGTATTTCCAAGAAAGCAAAAGTTTCCTTTTTTCTCGTTTCACTTCTATGCCAGGTGTTTTCATTCATCCTTGTCCTATCTCTGGTTTTGATTTCCCCTTGCATTCTTGAAAGTTTGACTTCCTGTTTTCCTGATGTATTATTTTGTGTATTGCAGACAGTGACTCTTCCTGCTCTACAATAAATCAGAGAGAAGAGAGGCCTTCCTCAACCCTTTCACCTTCTCTTTTGATAGGATGACCTACTTTTTTTTTTCTCTCTCTCTCTCTCTCGCACACACACCCCTATCCACAGTCCTGGTGAAAACAAATAGAACATACCTTGGCAGGTTGCTGGGGCAATTGCTCAGCACCCATACCTAGAGTTGGCTTCTCCAGTGAAATTACCACCCCTTGTATCTCTAATTGACACCACCCTTGGCTAATTTCCCTACTGCAGTAGCAAGATACTTTTGGCTGCGCTGTCCACTTCAACTTTATATTGCCAAGGGCACCAATAAATCATTTTTTACTTTGCTCCCTTCTTACTCCTTTCCTGGTACCTCCCTTTCTTAGGCCACGTACTGCTATTTGGAAATTCTTGGAAAATTGCTGCCAGCCAGCTAGCTACTCCAAACAGCTATTGGTTTGTTGCTTATCCAGTAAATAGAAAACCTGGAAACATTTTAGAGAATTTTTCACCTTTTCTACCTTCCAGCCTCTGTAGCCAGGCCAAACTGGGATTCCACTCTTGAATCTGAACACAGGAAATAAGCTTAGGAACCATCTATGTCTGTTGGTTCCTGGGCATTCTTGGGACTGGAGAGTGTTTCTGTCTTGCCAAAAATGCTCGACTGGCTACAGGCCTTGGAGGGCAAAGCAAGGACAACTTTAAAGACAGAAGCAAAACTGTACCCTGTGTTCTGAGTCTGCCATTAAAACAAAACAGGAAAAGGCACACA
Organism: Homo sapiens; assembly: GCF_000001405.40. Classification (NCBI taxonomy): domain Eukaryota; kingdom Metazoa; phylum Chordata; class Mammalia; order Primates; family Hominidae; genus Homo; species Homo sapiens. The sequence goes on along the minus strand of NC_000015.10, from coordinate 39,539,778 downwards.
TCTTTCAGGCCCGGAGTTAATTCTGTGTAAAGACGAAGCACTGTAAAGGCCACATATTCATGAAGGAACTTTCTCCATGAGCTGCCAAACTTCCTGTGGTTGCCTTTCTGTTGAGAAAGTTAAAGTTCATTCTTTGGGATATTTGGGTGGCCATTCAGCTCAACAATACAGAGTCTTTGTTCTTTTCATTTATGTTTGCCTTGTGGTCTTTCCTCAAGACAGGGCAACTCTATTCTCTCTCTCAGATACCTGGTTTGCCAAAATGGCAGACACATTTCTCTCTGGGACAAGGCCACAGATTATTTATGGGACACAAAAAGTTAGGGAATCTGAAGATTAATTTTCTTCTGCAACTCTTTTTACCTCAGTACATTTTGAATCAGTTTTGTGTTTTCTTTTCCTGGGAGAAATGACATATTGCCCTATTCACAAAACACAACCTATCCGGGAAGACAAGAACATTTTAATATATGTTGGCTTTCTCTTGCTTAGAAGGTTTTCTCTTCCCACAAGGTTTTCAGCCAGACTTCAAGGACCTGGAATGCTGTGGGACTGGCCCAAATCCTGGACAAGCCCTTGTGAAAAAGGTCTTCTTGAAACCTCTTATCCTCGTGCAAAGGAGGCAGGGCCGTAGCCACATGAGCTTTCTCATAAAGTCTCTGCTGCCATCCAATGACAATGAGATGATTATAAGGAGGGAAACAGCTGTGGCTGACTCAGGACAAGTAAAGGAAGCAACAGGGACCCCAGACAGACACTTTCTGCAAATCTTTATCAATGAGGGGTTCTTGGGAAAGTGAAGAGTGGCTTTTCTATAATTTTATAGAGTAGATACAATAGATAATTCTTACCTATCCTTACTTTCCTAGCCATTTCCACACTCTTCAATCTAGGCTATAGATCTCCAAGCCTCCAAGGGCTGGACTATGGCTGGTGACTGCTGACCAGTCATAGCTGCTCCCTGTCATGGAAACTTAGCATAAGGTAAAATTAAGGAGATACAAGACTTGACAAGTTTCTCTTAGTCTCTTTGCTTGATTAATTTGAGGCTGTGAGTTAAGGGGCTTATAGACATCTATGGGACTGCATCCCTATGAGACGGACCCTGAAGATATTCGTACCTGGCATTCTTCATGGATCCTCCCATGGCTCAGATTTGTAGCAGCATCATTTACTTTACTATTATGAATCCTGCTCATTAGTGGAATTTTTTGAAGGCCTACTGTGTGAAAAGCTTTCTCCAGGCATTGTAGAACATGAATACGGAATTATTCTTGCCCTTAGGCAGTTCAAAGTCCTCTGTGTGTGTATGTGTGTGCACAAGCACGTGTGTGTGTGCACTTGTGTGTGTGTGCACCTGTGCATATGTGTCTGAGAAATAGAAAGGTTGAAATGAGAAGAAATAAACTATATAACTCCCTAGAGCATCAGATTTGTCTTCTACCAGTGAGAGTGCAGTGGGGTGTTCAGAAGATGGGTTCTTACATGGAACATGATTCCTTTCATCACAAAGCCAGTTGGGGGTCATGTGGAGGCCAGACTGCAGAGTACCCATTGGTTCTGAATCCCCAAAGGCTTTGGGGCCACAGATGAAACTCAGCAAGAACACGCCTCCAGCAACCTGGCTCAGGTGAAAATCAGGCCAGGCCACCAAAGTTCTTCCACTAATGCTCAATCTCACCAGACTTTCCTTTACATGTCATTTGTGCTTTAGCCTCCACCTTCCTATGAGGCTCCATCAAGATGTAGAAGACTGTGCTTGCCTAGTGCTTCCAGCCAAAGATTACCTTTATTTGAGCCCAGAAACAGCTGATCTCTTCCTTCCCAATAGAGTACTTGAGATTAAGAAGTATCCTGATTGAGAGGGAAGACATTATCGTTGATCTCAAAATGTAGGTTCTCCTGTCTGACTATTGCTCCTTATCTTCCAACTCTCCTTTCTGCCTTCATACTCATCCCATTTGTTCTTTCCCTTCATGAATGCATGAATTCTCTGGGACTGGAAAATTCCCATGGAGCTGCTGCCCATGGAGGTACAAGGTGCCATACCAAGGTACAAGGATGCAAAGGTCAGGGGCAAGGTTGGATCAGGGACCGTGATTATATATCCAAGGTGGCTGGAGGGAGTTTGCAAATCATCATTGTGCCGTGAATGGGGAGAGAGAGGGTAGTAAGAGTCAAAACTGGAGTTGTATCTAATGTCATGTTCAAGGGCATGGCAAAACCTTAACAGGGAAGGTGGAGTATCAGAAGATGAGACTAGGAACAGGGCAAGAAGCTGAATGTGAGTCCCAGAAGCTTCAAGGTGAGAACTAATGCTGTGAGGGGAACAGGGGGGCTGCGATGTATTTTCAGATGGTGTGAATTGCATAGAACATGGTCAGGCCTGCTGGAAAAAGGGGCCATGCAGAAAGAATTATGAGGGCTTTAAATCACTTAGTCTCGACCCTCTGCCTACTCTGTGAGCTTTTTCCTGGCTGCACAGGACCCACTTTGTACTCTAGATTGCAGTCAACTGCTTCAATATTATCCAGTATTTGGGCTTACTTAAATAGCCAAGTTTTCTAAAGTGCTTTATGATTATATCGTAAGCTCTTTGACAACAGAGCTGTGTCGTCTTTAGAATTTCTCATAGAACCTAGCATCATCTTTGCTGGAATAATAGATGTAGAGCAATTGAAGTATGGCTTCCTTGCAGCACCTACGCTTACCATAGTTTCTGTTGAGGCAAGGTAAAATTCCCTAATGCACCCATGCTTCTAAAGGACTCTGCCCATTACCTGTAGATTTGGAGGGGCCAGGCCCCTTGCTTAGGCTTATGCCTTGTTTTCCTACGTGTAATACGAACCTTATGCATTTAGGGTTTACCTGGTATGTACCATCTGCCATACTATTGTGTGTGCCATCTGCCAGATCATGGGCTTCCAGAAGCTTCTCTGAGGCTTGTTCACTGTAATGACTCGCTTGTGCCTTGAACATGTGCTTCCTTTGGGCCTCCCAACCTAGCCTTTAAGCTGTGAGTATGTTCATGTTCATTTCTCTAGACTCTGATCTTAAATTTGTCCTCAGGACTTTGAGCAAGCACATTTTCTCTAGAAATTACCTTGGCCAATGTCTCCAGTCTAACCGATCTTGTTCTACATCAGTGTCTCTCAAATGGCAATCCAGAGTCCATCTACATTAGAATCAGCTGGAAAAACTGGAAACATGCAGATTCCTGCCTGCTGGATCAGAATCTAGGGCTGAGCTAGAATCTGCCTTTTAACAAGTTTTCCAATGGATTGCTGATACACCCTAAAGGTGTATCATCTGTTGAATGACCATCTGTTCAGTCCTACCCAGTTGGTGTGGCTCTAAGACATTGCCCTCTGTGTATCCTGTGTTTCTGCTACTCAGGACCTGGCTGCTGAATGCCTTCACCGTGGTGCATCAGACCCCACTGCTCACACCCAAAAGTAGGGCTCCAACCCTGTCGGGCGCCTCTCACCTCTGGTCTCGTGATCTGTCCTCAGCCACCCTTCAGGGACTCCCTGTTCTTAAATGTGCGTCAGCTGCTCCCAGAGAGTCTGAGAGCCACACTAGACCTGCAATGCCTCGTCCATGGCTTTCTTTCCACTGAAAAGAGGATGGACTCTTATTAGGTACAACAGGGTAACTGAAAACAGGTTGAAGTTTCTGCAGCTTCAGTCACAAGTGGGAAAAATTTCTAGTGTCCATTTCCAAATCAAGTAGTAGGGGGAACTGGTAACTCAGCAGCCCAGTTGTTGAATGGGAGAGCAAATAAAGCAGCCTCCTCATGTTTCTGCTTGCTTTTGTGATTTTAAAAGGACAATAAAATGTAGAGATTATAAAATAGTAAAGGCAAGCTTTGTAAAGGCCTTCCCAATGTGAAAGAACTTTTACTATCTTTCATTCCGACCAGGTCTTAGCACAGGAAGCAGGATGCGAGCAAGGCCGGGACCTCTTCTGGGATTTCTGCTCGGGCTGGGCTCAGCCACAGGTCAGAGGTGGGAAGCGTCCCCTCCACTGCCTGGAGAGGGGAGAACAGACCCCTCTGTCAGTTCCTGCTGATAATAACGCAGCCTGCGTGGGCAGACATTGTGCATCCCCTGGCTGGATAGAACACGTGTCTCAATGCCTTTCTTGTTCTTCACCTTTGTGTAGCATGTGGCTTGGCAGGCGAGAGGGGATTAGGAGGCCTGTTGACAGAAATCCTGGTAGAATTCCATGTTTGAGAAACCCATCCAAAGGCGATAGCTTTGGGGCTTCATTAGGGTGGTTATCAGATCCAAAAGTGTTTTCCAGAGTGTGGACCCCTCCCTCCATGTTCCTGTTCTTATCTCTCTAATCTCATGAAAGTGGGGAAGGGCTAGAAACTCTTTCTCAAAAGAGACTTACGAGAAATAGCTCCCAGACTAAACTCTTTGCTCTGTGTTCACTCATGTACTTGTTTTTCAAAGCTTGCCAATTAAAAGAAAGAAAATTGTATGTGTTCAGACAAGTAGGGACCCACAGGCTGATGCGGTCAGAGGGCCACTGATGCTGAGGTTGCTCAGAGACTGGGAAGGTGGCTCAGGATGGGGTGAGCCCCTATTTCTCAGAGGTGCTGGCCTGGCCTATTTACTCCAGAACACTTAGGCCCTTAGAGGCCACGATTTCGGGGCTGCTGTGACAAATAGCCTTGGAAAGGTCATGCAGATGCATCAGTGGCATGCAGAACCTGCCATGAGTCTTGAATATAGTTGGTCTTCAAAATGTGATTGCCGAATATATAACATTGCCTTTTAGCGGGCTTTTTGTTTTATTAACCAATGCAGAACTATGCCTTTGTTTCATTCATTCTTATGTAATGGCAAACATAAAAAAATAGGTGTCTTACTCTATCTTGCTCCTAATATTGAGTCAGAGGAACTCCAAGATCAAGGTCTCTCAAAAGAGTGGTTCCCCCAGGTTCATGGACATGTTATTTCTGTGCACAAAATGAATTAATGAATGTGCATAAGACAAGGCCAGCTATCTAGAGAGTATTACCTTGTTCCTCACAAGCTTTCTTTTGACTTTTGAAAAACATGCTGCTTGTCTTGTAAGCAGTAAGTACTCATTCTCCTCTACAAAGGAAGCTTTAAAAACTGGCTAGCCTCAAGGTGGTTTTTCCCTGTCTTGCACTGGGAATACAAGCTCCTTTATCTCAAACATCTCTGGTCATTTGAGGCTCACTTGACATCCTGTAGCAGGGAGAGGTCAGGGCTGGAGATGTAATGATGGAAATCATTAGTGGTTTTAAAGCCATGAGATGGGTGAAATCACCAGGGGGAGTAGATAAAGAGAGAAAAGAGAAGAGGTTGAAAGACCAGGGGCACTGTAACACTAAGTATTTGGGGAGATGGGAAGAAACAGACAAAGAAGACCAGGAAGGAGCGGTGAGAGAAGTAGGTGGACAATCAGGCATGTGGGGTGTCCTGAAAGCCAGAGGAAGACAGTATTTCAAGGATGCAGGAGGGGTCAACCCTGAGGAATGTTGCTGAGAGGTGTAGTCAGCTAAGGGCAAGCTCTGCCACTATTTTAACAATGTGAAGTTGTTGGTGACCTTGGAAAGGACATATTTTGGTGGAGGGGTGGTGGTGAAAGCCTGATTGGTATGGGCTCAAAAGATTCATTAGTCTTTGCTGCTCCATGAAGTGGAACAAAACAAGAGCATCAGCAACCTCCAGTCAGGGCTGATGATACCCTGTTCTGCCTGTATTATCTCCCCTAACATCCTCTCAGGAATTTTCTACACATTCCTTAGTTGATGGACATACGGACAAAGTTCCAATCAGGAGGAACTATGTCACCAGATTTTGGGATTGTAACAGTTATTGCCAAGTGTTTCAAATTGAAGCCTCAGCCTTTAGGTAGGACCATACACCACTTAAATAGGAAGGTGCCCCTTACAGATCATTGAAACTGAGTCCCCTTATTTTACATATTGGGAAGCTAAGGCTCAGATCTGGGAGATGACTCACTGAAGGTCATACAACCACTCTGAGGCATTGCCCCCCTTCTTCCTCCCAGGTGTACCTGGTGGATGAGAACCTGTACTTTTAAAAAAGATTACTGGGGGACAGATCTCCTATTTCTTTCATTTCCTTCAGATACCCACTTTGGGGCAAATTTTCTTTACAATAAATAAATAAAACTACTCAGATTGTAATATAAGCCAATTTTCCATATAAAAGATGAAGCCTACTTGGGTCCAAAAATCTGGGAAGACCCTAGTCAGGCAGCCTATTCTTTGAGAAATGAGAGGGACCCTGTGGCCCAATAAAGGGCTCACGTTCAGCAAAGACTCCAGGCTGGGGCTTCCCACACTCCTTCTTGGACTTTTTCTTTTTTTGAGTTTCGCTCTTGTTGCCCAGGCTGGAGCGCAATGGCATGATCTTGGCTCATCACAACCCCCACCTCCTGGGTTCAAGCAATTCTCCTGCCTCAGTCTCCTGAGTAGCTGGGATTACAGGTGCCTGCCACCACGCCTGGCTAATTTTTTTTCTTTTTTATTTTTTTATTTTTTGAGATGGAGTTTTGCTCTGTCGCCCAGGCTGGGGTACAGTGGCGCCATCTCTGCTCACTGCAAGCTCCGCCTCCCAGGTTCATGCCATTCTCCTGCCTCAGCCTCCCAAGTAACTGGGACTACAGCCGCCAGCCACCATGCCTGGCTAATTTTTTGTATCTTTGGTAGGGATGGGGTTTCTCCATGTTAGCCAGGATGGTCTAGAGCTCCCAACTTCAGGTGATCCGCCCGCCTTGGCCTCCCAAACTGCTGGGATTACAGGCGTGAGCCACCATGCCTGGCAGGACTTTTTTTGATGTAAGCAGAGCCCCTTTTGCCAGCTTCCTTGGGCTTATTCCCCCATAGATGGCAGCTGGGATCCCAGCCTCTTGCCGGTTGATATTGTCATTCTTGGAGGGGGCCCAGGTTGGGCTAATGCTCGTGTGACTAGAGCTTGCTGGTGTTGAGGGTGTTCATCTGAAGTTCATGACCACTAGGCTTGATCTAAAAAAAGGGACGGAGCTTAGCCCCTCCACCGGGGAGTTATTGATTCTTAACCAGGGACCCAATATACCCTTCAGGCTAGTCAACTGCCTGCTCTGCCGCTAAAGTTCTCCTTCTGTCCAGATACTAAAGTACAAACCCTTGCTCTGCCCTTGGAGGGGAAACCAGGCTGTGGTTGAAAAGCTGTCAGTTCCTGGGCTGGGCCTGTGTCTGCCACCACCTTCTGCAGACCTCCTACCCCCATGGAAGATAAAAAATATAAGCTCTGGACTCACTGGGGTTAGCAGCACAAAGCTTTGATTTAAAATCTTTTTATAAGTTGGTTTACTAAAAAGAGAATGATAATAACCATTCGACCCAGCAATCTTATTACTGGGTGTATATCCAAAAGAAAAAGAAAGTTCTATTGAAAAGACACATGCACTCATATGTTCACTGCAACACTATTCACAATAGTGAAGACGTGGAATCAACCTAGATGTCCATCAACGTTGGAATGGATGAAGAAAATGTGGTGCATATACACCATGAACCATTACAAGGCCATAAAAAGGAACAAAATCATGTCCTTTCCAGCAACATAGATGCAGCTGGAGGCCATTATCCTAAGCAAATAAACACAAGAACAGAAAAGCAAATACCACATGTTCTAAGTGGGAGCTAAACATTCAGTGCACATGGACACAAAGAAGGGAAAAATAGACACTGGGGACTACTAGAGTGGGGAGGAAAAGATGGGGGCAAGGGTTGAAAAACTATTGGGCACTATGATCGTTACCTGGGTGATGGGATCATTCATACCCCAAACCTCGGCATCATGCAATATATCCAGGTAACAAACATGTACCCCCTGAATCTAAAATAAAAGTTAAAAATAAAATTAAATAGAAAAAGAGAGCTTATAATTTGCTTTGTTCAATAACTGGAAAGAGAATCAATGAAAAAATAGAAGATCCAAGTGGGAGAGAAGTGAAACATTGGTTCTCAAGCTATGCTCCCCAGTAGAATCATCTGAGCTTTTAAAACCCTTAATACTTTGATCTCACCCTGTGTCAGTTAGATCAGAATTTTGGGAGGTGGGAGGTAAGCATCAATATTTTTAATAACTCCCCAGGTGATTCCATTTACATCCAGTTTGAAAAGTCTGTTAAAGTGTATCTCAAACTTGACTCTGTCTCACAATCATCTGGGGTCATGTTGAAATGCAGATTCCGATTCAGTGGGTCTGCAATGGAGCTTGACAGGCATCCAGGTGATGCTGAAGCTGCTGGTGTAGGGCCCACAATTTGAGATTTGAGTAGCAGGATGCTAAAAATGCTAAAGTCTTTGACACTCAGAGCCCAGCAGCAGGACCTCAGCCTGCAGGGAAAGGGCTGTGTGCCCTGGAGCAGGTGGATGTGAGAGGCAGGGGCTGTAGCAATATAGAGAGAAGCTGTAACCAACAACACACTCTCAGAACTAGTTAAGGGATATTTCAGCCCTCAGCTAGAACGGGGAGAGAAACATCTGGCCTGAAGGAGGTAGAAAGCCTGTGCTTACTTGTTGTGCTGACTTGGAGGGGAGTGCTCTTGTGGGCTGAGCTCAGGGTCCTCAGTGCCTCACTGCTGTTCTGGCTCCCTTGCCCTCTGGCTTTCATTTGCTTTTCCAGAAAAGGTTCTTCTGTGGCTTGAGGATACCAGTGCCAAGTCTCATGCACAGTCCTTGCAGGCCCTGAGGCTCTCTGCTGAGATTTGGCATGGGCTCCACTATCAGATCCTGATGTTATCACTTCCCGAAAGCTGTTGCTTGCTTCGCTCTTGTGCTAACAGCAAGCTCCCTTTCACAATGAAAGAGAGTCATTTGGAGAATGCTTTTGATATGTGGTTGTTTTGCATGCATTAGGCTTGTGTTCTAAAAGAGGGAGTGCACAGATCAAGGGGTGCTATGGTTTGATTGTTTGTCCCCATCAAGCCTCATGTTGAAATTTGATCCTCAATGTCGGAGGTGGGGTAATGGGAAGTATTTGGATTATGGCGGCAGATGAATAGATTGGCGTCTTCCCTGGAGGTGAGTAAATTCTCACCATTAGTTTCCATGAGCCTGGCACCTCCTCCCTCCTTCTTTCCTCCTCTCTAGCCATGTGACTCCTGCACATGCTAGCTCCCCTTCACCCTCCACCACAAGTGGAAGCAGCCTGAGGCTCTCGCCAGATGCAGACATCCAAGCTTGAAGTTTTCAGTCATCTAAATCTTGAGCCAAATGCACCTTTTTTCTTTATAATTTATCCAGCCTAAGGTATTCCTTTATAGCAACACAAAATGAACTAAGACATTGGAGAATGGTTAAAATCCAGAGGCAGGTTGGGAGGAAGGAGGAGAGTTCAGGAGGAAGAGCAAGATGGACTTGGGGTTGCACAGGAAAGCACTTGGGAAAGTGATGATGTGATGGTTAATATTGAGTGTCAACTTGATTGGATTGAAGGATGCAAAGTATTGTTCTTAAGTGTGTCTGTGAGGGTGTTGCCAAAGGAGATTAATATTTGAGTCAGTGGACTGGGAGAGGTAGACTCACCTTCAATCTGGGTGAGTACCATCTAATTAGTTGCCAGCACAGCTAGAATAAGGCAGGCAGGAGAAAATGGAAGAGTAGACTTACTGAGTCTTCTGGCCTTCAACTTTCTCCCATGCTGGATGCTTCCTGCCCTCAAATATTGGACTCCAAGTTCTTCAGCTTTTGGACTCTTGGATTTACACCAGTGGTTTGCCAGGGACTCTTGGGCCTTTGGCCACAAACTGAAGACTGCACTGTTGGCTTCCCTACTTTTGAGGTTTTGGGACTCGGACTGGCTTCCTTGCTTCTTAGCTTGCAGATGGCCTGTTGTGGGACTTCACCTTGTGATCATGTGAGTCAATACTCATTAATAAACTCCACTTTATATATACATCTATCCTATTAGTTCTGTCCCTCTAGAGAACCCTGACATTTTCCCTGGTGGGGAAAATGGCCAGTATGGTCATGGCCACACAGTTGAGACTTTACGTAAGGTAGGTTTGGCTCGGAGTAAAGGTATCTACTTAGCTACGTTGAAAACCAGTCTAACATCTATGCAGATGTTCTCATTCTTAGTGTTCACGTCATTCTTGGTTTCACATCTACCTCTGTTCAGGGTTTAGATTTTTAAATGCTCCCCAAAATGTCCTCTCACTTGGTCTCTGTAACTCCATTTCCCTGTGTGGTAGGAATAAGGGCTGACAATTTTATATTACTAATTGGATGTGCAAAGAAAATGTAAATTTTATTTTCCATAATGGAGCTAATCTTGCTCCAGTACCCTCCCCCAGATGGGTAGAAAAGAAAACATGTTTCTAGTTTTTCAAGTTGCCAATTAAAGCATCTCAGACTCACTCTTTTGGTTTGAAAGTGTCTTTCAGTTTAAAATAGTCACCTTTGTAGAAACATCTCCTTGGGGTAAATTCTCAACATTTCAGGCTCCTATCTCTGTTTTTTCTCCTCTCCAAAAAGTGGTTGTAGGGCCTTATTTGGGTGGGGAGGGGCCCCAGATGCATGCATGCAGGCTTGTATTGACCCCTGTGTTCTTTCTGCTCTCTGTAGCCAGACCATAGATGGGTCTTGTCCCTGGGTTCCTGTGCAGAGCCCTTCTAGCATTTGAGGGCCATCTATGGACAAGTCTATTAATCTATGATACAGTGTGAATGTTTGTGTTCCCTCCAAGATTCACAGGTTAAAACCTCATCTCCAATGCAAGAGTGTTGAGAGATGGCACCTAATGTGAAGTGTTTAGGTCATGAGGGCTCCATCCTCATGAATGGATTAACGATTGTATAAAAAGGGCTCAGAAAAGTGGGTTTGCTCTCTTCTGCCATTCTGCCATGTGAGGAAAGAGGTCATCCTCTCTGGAGGTTGCAACATTCAAGGCCCCACCTTGGAAGCAGAGACTGGGCTCTTACCAGACCCCAGACCTACTAGCGCCTTGATCTTGGACTTCCTAGCCTCTGAAAGTGTGAGAAATAAATTTCATTCTTTATAAATTACCCAGTCAATGGACTCACAATCTAGTCATTTGCTGAGGAACTCAGAGTCTTCCCATTTTCTCATTTCTAATTGGATGTGCAAAGAAAATGTAAAGGTTACACAGGACCTTCTTCTTGGCTGGATTTCTAGAGCATGTCTCTCTCTGACTTAATCCCTTCTCCTAGTGCCCCCAGTGTGCCTTATTCATGAGAAGGCATTAATTCTGATGCTCTTTCCCTCCTTTAGAACCATGGAACTAGATTTTGTGGAAAGGGAGGTGTTACAGGTTTAATTGTATTCTCCTCAAAAAAGATATGTTGGAGTTCTAACCTCTGGTACCTCAGAATGTGACCCTATTTGGAGGTAGGGTATTCACAGTGGCAACCAAATTGAAATGAAATTCTTGGAATGGGTTATAGTTCACTGTGACTGGTGTCCTTATAGAAACGGATAAAAGGGAGAAATTTCAGATGCAGAGACACACATAGAAGAAAGATGACTCAGGAGTTTGAGGCCAGCCTGGCCAACATAGTGAAACCCCATCTCTACTAAAAATATAAACACTAGCTGGACATGGTGGCGCGCACCTGGAATCCCAGCTACTCGGGAGGATGAGGCAGGAGAATCACTTGAACCTGGGAGGTGGAGTTTGCAGTGAGCCGAGATCTTGCCATTGCACTCCAGCCTGGGCAACAGAGCAAGACTCTGTCTCAAAAAAAAAAAAAAAAAAGAAAGATGACATGAAGATGCAGGGAGAAGACAGCCACCTGCAAGCCAAGGAGAATGGTCTAGAATGGATCCTTTCCTCACAGTCCTCAGAAAAAATCAACTCTCTGGACGCCTTGATTTTGGACTTTTAGTTTCCTGAACTGAGAAAACTAATTTCTGTTGTTTAAACTACCCACATTATGGTACTTTATTATGACAGCTCTAGTGAACTAATACAGTTGACCCTTGACCCTCCAACATAGTTCATTAGGGGTGCTGACCTCCAGCTCAGTAAAAAATCTGAGTATAACTTTTGACTCACCCAAAACTTAACTACTAATATCCTACTATAAATAGCTGATTAGCACGTATTTTGTACGTTATATGTAATACATACTGTATTGTTACAATAAAGTAAGCTAGAAAAAAGAAAATATTATCAGGAAAATTATAAAGAAGCGAAAATATGTTTACTATTCATTAGGTCTTCATCTTGTCTTCACAGTGAGTAGAATGAGGAGCAGGAGAAAGAGGGGGAGTTGATCTGCTGTCTCAGGGGTGGCAGAGGAGGACGAGGTAGAGGAAGTGGAAGGGGAGGCAGGAGGGGCAGATAGACTTGGTGTAACTTTCATTGAAAAAACATCCACGTGTAAGTGGACCTGCACGGTTCAAGCCCATGTTGTTTGAGGGTCAACTGTGTAGGAGGAATTGTTTCTGCTATTTTTTTAAACCCTGAGTAAATTCATCTTTCAAATCTAATATTCAGCTCTCCTAGCAGAACTGGGTGTTCTCAATACTGAATAATAAAACCTCCCCCTAGAAGTTTTGAGGGGTGTGAGTGGCTAGAGATTAATATCTTTCATATATGTTAAATAATTTAGGAGGGCTGGAAGGAACATTCCTCTTCCATCTCATGGAGAATGTAGTTCCAAGTATGGAGTATGTATATCCAAGATTGTTGTCTTAGCTCTGAATATATTTCTACTTAATCCAGATTCTGCCTTGATCAGATCAGATCAGACCTCTCCCATTTCCAAACCGGGATGGCAGAACCACAGGTCCCAGTCCTCTGTTTGCCCCCATGTCTGAAACAATGCTTCTCCAGCTTTCCATAACCCACAGAAAGGATATTGTGACAGTGTGACATGCACCAGACTTTTATAACAGGTGCTTAAATTTTACTCAAAGTCGGAATGCTTCCAGTTGGCCACTGTTAAGTCCAAAGTTTCTGTCCAAAGAGCACATTCGCCATTCCTGGAGCTCAGAACGTGTCTCTTAACAGAAATCCTGGGCTGGGCAGCTTTCAAATATGGACTTTGGCAGATGGATGTGGTGGCTCACACCTGTAATCTCAGCACTTTGGGAGGCCAAGGTGGGTGGATTTCTTGAGGCCAGGAGTTTGAGACCAGCCTGGGAAATGTAGGAAAATCTCATCTCTACAGAAAATTTAAACATTAGCCAGGTGTGGTGATGCACACCTATAATCTCAGCTGCTTGGGAGGCTGAATTGGGAGGATTTTTTGAGCCCAAGAGTTTGAGGCTGCAGTGAGCTATGATCATGCTACTGTAACCCAGCCTGGTTGACAGAGAGTAACCCTGTCTTAAACAAACAAACAAACAAACAAACAAACAAACAACAAAACCAATAAAGACTTAGGAAATCTCTCCCTGAGGATGGCTGCCAGATGCTGGGTGCCCTCAGAGGTCACAACCGTACAGCCACACCTGACCATCATTCTGCTGGAGGCTGCCTCCTTCCACTGTGACCTGGGCTTAAGCTGCTTCTCTGCACAACACTTCTGTGGCTTTAGAGCCTTCTAAATCTTCCTGCCGAGTCTTGCTGGAGAACGCAACACTAAAGACATTGGATAGAGATGAGCTTAATGAAGGAGAGGGTGGAAACTCCCGAAAATTTGGTGTTGGATGACATATTAGCAATCATTCTGCTCCCCCACCCAACCTTCCCCAGCCAGGGCGAGATTTTACTGATGCTGAACTTCAGCTGAGGTTCCAAGATGTCAAGTGATTAGCTCAGAGTCACAGAGGGGTTAGAGGCAGAGTTGGAAACAGATCCAGATCTGCCTCCCAAGTCAGGCCTCCTTCCTTTACAGGAGAAATAAGATGAGGCAGCTTGGTTTGTTGATTGAAAGGCCAGTATCTTCTTAGTTTAGTGATCTTTTTCCTCTACCAAAGCTAGTCCTTTCCTAATACATGAAAATACTCCTGCTCCTGGGACACCTCAAGTCCCTTCCTCTAGTCCCTTTCCTGTTCTCTCTAATCCAACCTCATTCAGGGTCCTCCACCACCTGGCCCTCCATCCCTCCATCCTCCCCTCCTTCCTCATATTTGCCCTGTATTTCTGGGGTTGAGCTATACACCATTCTCTTGGCCATGTCTCCTACCAGTATTTCCTAGCTTTTGGTGTTGGTAAAAATCTTCTGAGGACCTGAAAAAATGGAGATTCCCTGGTGTGTGTTTCATCTTGAGACATTCTGGAAAAGGAATCTGAAGTTTAACAGGAGTCCTCTGTGATTCTGATGCAGGGGAGCCAGAAATCCTGCCTGAGAATCACTGCTTTACACCTTCCCACCTCTGTTTGGGCATTTTTCTGCTAGTGTGGTTGAGGGCTTTGGGATTCCTACTCTTTCAAGTATGAGCTAAGTGAGCTTGGTCAAATCAAATCACCTTATTGCTCTACACCTGTGATGGTTAAGCTTGCGTGTCAACTTGATTGGAATGAAGGATGCAAAATATTGATCCCGGGTGTGTCTGTGAGGGTGTTGCCAAAGGAAATTAACATTTGAGTCAGTCGGCTGGGGAAGGCAGACCCACCCTTAATCTGGGTGGGCACCATCTAGTCAGCAGCCAGCACACCTGGCTAGAATATAAAGCAGGTAGAGAAACATGAAAAAGCTAGACTGGCCTAGCCTTCCAGCCTACATCTTTCTCCCATGCTGGGTGCTTCCTGCCCTCGAACATCTGACTCCAAGTTCTTCAGTTTTGGGACTTGAACTGGCTCTTTCCTACTCAGCTTGCAGATGGCCTATTGTGGGACTTGTGATCATGTGAGTTAATATTTAATAAACTACTATATATATATCTATCTCCTACTAGTTCTGTCCCTTCAGAGAACCCTGACCAACACAACACCTCATTTCACACCTGTCTAATCTGGACATCAATTCCTATATTCTAGGGGTGTTGTGGAAGATTAAAAAACAGTGCTTTGAGTAGTAACATTGCCTCTGATCAGTTGATAGCCACAGAGAATAAGGTGTAAAGTTTTCTTCCTTGGGGTAGGTATGGTCTAAAACGTGGTTTGCAGAAGATCAAAAAGCTCCTTAAAGTTTAGAGAAATTCGAGAAAAAATCTTAAGCAATCAGCTAGGTAGAGAAAAAGTGGGATCTTGATGAAGACCTTACACAGTCCTCATAGGTATGGAGGGTTGGGACCCAAGACTGACCCAAGCCAGGTGATCTAGGGCAAGTCACACGATCTATCTGAAGCTCAACTATCTCACCTGTGAAATGGGGCTGATGATAATATTCTGTCCCTAGCTGCCCTGGGAGATGGTACTGCTGATCAAATGGGACACACAGTGAGGCGTTTTGTGAATTAGCGAGTGCTCTGGGAATAGAAGCAAGTTATTTTTTGCACTGAAAAGGCAGCTACCTTGTCCATTAGGTATTTCTCTCGGAATCAGAATGAAGCGATTGGTTAAAAATTGAATCATTAAAAATACCAACTTAAAATAGAGCCAGAATGGGATCTGTGTTTCAGGTGGTCAAGAAAAGTATTCAATTACTATTCTTTAATTTACCTGTTTGGGAGTTAAGTTGCTGCTTTATCACGTGATTAAGGCCATGGGATTCCTCTAATATTCTTTTTTTTTTTAATTATACTTTTAAGTTTTAGGGTACATGTGCACATTGTGCAGTTTAGTTACATATGTATACATGTGCCATGCTGGTGTGCTGCACCCACTAACTCGTTATCTAGCATTAGGTATATCTCCCGATGCTATCCCTCCCCCCTCCCACCACCCCACAACAGTCCCCAGAGTGTGATATTCCCCTTCCTGTGTCCATGTGATCTTATTGTTCAGTTCCCACCTATGAGTGAGAATATGCGGTGTTTGGTTTTTTGTTCTTGCGATAGTTTACTGAGAATGATGATTTCCAATTTCATCCATGTCCCTACGAAGGACATGAACTCATCATTTTTTATGGCTGCATAGTATTCCATGGTGTATATGTGCCACATTTTCTTAATCCAGTCTATCATTGTTGGACATTTGGGTTGGTTCCAAGTCTTTGCTATTGTGAATAATGCCGCAATAAACATACATGTGCATGTGTCTTTATAGCAGCATGATTTATAGTCATTTGGGTATATACCCAGTAATGGGATGGCTGGGTCAAATGGTATTTCCAGTTCTAGATCCCTGAGGAGTCGCCACACTGACTTCCACAATGGTTGAACTAGTTTACAGTCCCACCAACAGTGTTAAAGTGTTCCTATTTCTCCACATCCTCTCCAGCACCTGTTGTTTCCTGACTTTTTAATGATTGCCATTCTAACTGGTGTGAGATGGTATCTCATTGTGGTTTTGATTTGCATTTCTCTGATGGCCAGTGATGATGAGCATTTTTTCATGTGTTTTTTGGCTGCATAAATGTCTTCTTTTGAGAAGTGTCTGTTCATGTCCTTCGCCCACTTTTTGATGGGGTTGTTTGTTTTTTTCTTGTAAATTTGTTTGAGTTCATTGTCGATTCTGGATATTAGCCCTTTGTCAGATGAGTAGGTTGCGAAAATTTTCTCCCATTTTGTAGGTTGCCTGTTCACTCTGATGGTAGTTTCTTTTGCTGTGCAGAAGCTCTTTAGTTTAATTAGATCCCATTTGTCAATTTTGTCTTTTGTTGCCATTGCTTTTGGTGTTTTAGACATGAAGTCCTTGCCCATGCCTATGTCCTGAATGGTAATGCCTAGGTTTTCTTCTAGGGTTTTTATGGTTTTGGGTCTAACGT
Source organism: Homo sapiens (assembly GCF_000001405.40). Lineage (NCBI taxonomy): Eukaryota > Metazoa > Chordata > Mammalia > Primates > Hominidae > Homo > Homo sapiens. The sequence continues at coordinate 39,522,999 of NC_000015.10, read as the reverse complement.
TTAAGTCTTTAATCCATCTTGAATTGATTTTTGTATAAGTTGTAAGGAAGGGATCCAGTTTCAGCTTTCTACATATGGCTAGCCAGTTTTCCCAGCACCATTTATTAAATAGGGAATCCTTTCCCCATTGCTTGTTTTTCTCAGGTTTGTCAAAGATCAGATAGTTGTAGATATGCGGCGTTATTTCTGAGGGCTCTGTTCTGTTCCATTGATGTATATATCTGTTTTGGTACCAGTACCATGCTGTTTTGGTTACTGTAGCCTTGTAGTATAGTTTGAAGTCAGGTAGTGTGATGCCTCCAGCTTTGTTCTTTTGGCTTAGGATTGACTTGGCGATGTGGGCTCTTTTTTGGTTCCATATGAACTTTAAAGTAGTTTTTTCCAATTCTGTGAAGAAAGTCATTGGTAGCTTGATGGGGATGGCATTGAATCTGTAAATTACCTCGGGCAGTATGGCCATTTTCACGATATTGATTCTTCCTACCCATGAGCATGGAATGTTCTTCCATTTGTTTGTATCCTCTTTTATTTCCTTGAGCAGTAGTTTGTAGTTCTCCTTGAAGAGGTCCTTCACATCCCTTGTAAGTTGGATTCCTAGGTATTTTATTCTCTTTGAAGCAGTTGTGAATGGGAGGTCACTCATGATTTGGCTCTCTGTCTGTTGTTGGTGTATAAGAATGCTTGTGATTTTTGTACATTGATTTTGTATCCTGAGACTTTGCTGAAGTTGCTTATCAGCTTAAGGAGATTTTGGGCTGAGACAATGGGGTTTTCTAGATATACAATCATGTCATCTGCAAACAGGGACAATTTGACTTCCTCTTTTCGTAATTGAATACCCTTTATTTCCTTCTCCTGCCTAATTGCCCTGGCCAGAACTTCCAACACTATGTTGAATAGGAGTGGTGAGAGAGGGCATCCCTGTCGTGTGCCAGTTTTCAAAGGGAATGCTTCCAGTTTTTGCCCATTCAGTATGATATTGGCTGTGGGTTTGTCATAGATAGCTCTTATTATTTTGAAATACGTCCCATCAATACATAATTTATTGAGAGTTTTTAGCATGAAGGGTTGTTGAATTTTGTCAAAGGCTTTTTCTGCATCTATTGAGATAATCATGTCAAGTGGGCTTCATCCCTGGGATGCAAGTCTGGTTCAATATACGCAAATCAATAAATGTAATCCTCTAATATTCTCTATTTTTCCTAATTGCTGACCGTATCAAGTTCAAATGGTGTAGACCTGAAGGTAAAGCCTATCGGGAGTAAAAAATCCAAACCCCTAAACCAAAAACAACAATAAGAAAGAAATGAAACACTCCATCGGGATTTCCTAAGTTAACACTGACAGAAGGTAGATGGAAGTTTAATAAAGGGGCACTGGGTTGACACTTGGTGCACATGAGCCTGGCTTTATGACCTTGGCCATCTGTGCCTTCACTTGCCTCTTTGGTTTCACCTCCCAGTCTGTCCTTTATGAATTCTCTCATCCTCCTTAACTGAGGTACTTATTTCCTCAATCCTCTGTGTACTTGCCAACCACTGCCTTTGTTCAAACCATCAAACCACCAGCCCACCGTGCATCTCCTCTGCAATGCTGTCCTGTGTCCGTGCCTCTCCCTTCTTTAAGGATGCAGGCATCCTCCAGGAAGCGGTCCAGGAGCCTTGGCCCTCTGCAGAGGAGCTCTGCCTGAGCCTCTTGTGTGCCCTTGGCTCTGATTGCCCTGCGTTGTACGTTGTGTATTTGGACAGCTGTTCCAAAAACTGTAAGACCCTCAAGGCTGTGTCTTTTCACCTCTGCCTCCCAGAGTCTAGCACAGGTCTGTAAACATCAGAGCATAACAATTTCTTATTGTTGATAAAGATTCTGAAATGCTAGTCTCCTTTGATGAGAAAGAGTGAACAGGCCAAGGTGGGTGGATCAGCTGACCTCAGGAGTTTGAGACCAGCCTGGCCAACAGGGTGAAAGTCTGTCTCTACTAAAAATACAAAAAATTAGCCGGGCATGGTGGTGCGTGCCTGTAATCCCAGATACTCAGGAGGCTGAGACAGGCGAATTGCTTGAACCTGGGAGGCGGAGGTTGCAGTGAGCTGAAGTCACCCCATTGCACTCCAGCCTGGGTGAGAGAGTAAGACTCTGTCTCAAAAGAAAAAAAAAAACATAGTAAACAGGGATGGGTACTAACTTTTACAGAGAAACCTAATGTGCAATGAGTGTATGAGGGGGGATGGTTAGATGCGTTGGCTCTGGAATGAGACTGCAAGCCCATTTCTTACTTCCAAACATGTGTAAGCATTAATTAAAAATATTAAATATTTGGATACCCATCTCTCTAATAATCAAGTTTCTTACTTCCTGACTTAGCATTCAAGCTGTACACCCACTGGCCCATGAACTAAAAACGTTTTTTCATTTAGGCATTAGAAACAGATGTAGAGCTGAATATTGAACCTATTTAGATGATTTTGACTTGGAACAGAAGATATTCTGCTAAAAAACTATTCTTAAACCCAACAAGAGAGGCTGTTCCTTCACAGGTAGAATAGTAAACTCATGTCTCTCATAAAGAGAATTTGTAAGTGGCCTTTCCCGCCAACCATTGAGACCACAGTCACATTTAAATCGTTTCATCAAATGAGGGAATTTTCTTATGAGACAAATTCTAAGCACTCAGGCCATGCTACAGTGAGTTTTTCAAGGGAGACCACGTTTCCCAGGTGTTTGGGGGCTCTTGTGCATCTATTTAGGGACTCAGAAATAACTTACTTCAGGCACGAACTTATAAAGAATGTCTTCACAATCCAAATGCAACTTGAATCACAAAAAAATTAAAGTATCTTTTTTTAAATCTCAAGACATTAGAGATCTAAATTAAATTGAAGAAACACACATTCACAATGCTTGAGTTTTGTTGCCAGCCTTTATTTGATAATGCTGCCAAATATACCTTATTTTAGAAGAGCATTGTGAGATAGCAGAGAGATGAAAGTTAGACAAAGAACAATGCTGCCATGGAAAAGGCAACTGTGTGCTCATCACCCCTGCCCAGTGGTGACAGGTGGACACCTGGGTAGGAACGCTGCTGCTGGTTGGCTGGTAGGAGGTGCTGCAGAGAGACCCCTACCTGACTGTCATCCTCTCTCAGTGGCGAGTCCATCTAGTTCAGACTCAGACAGGTGGAAGAAGTCAACTCCTAACTAGGGTATAATGAAGCATGATGGAAGTATTTGACCCAGCGGCTCTTCTATACCCAGGAGGCCCTGACTGCCACATTCACCAGTTGATTTTCCAGGTGAGGACAAATGGAGACTGATAAAGCTGTGTTGGGATAAGGTTGCTATTGGTGGGATTGACTCACCCTCTATCTGAAGCCTCATTCTGATATCCCCCCCTGAGCAGGGAGAAGGATTAAAATTTCTGCCTTAGTAAATGACAAATCCCTAAAAACAGATTATGAAAGTGGACCACGAATAGTTTTCCTCTGGAATACCAAGATACCCTGGTATTCCAGAATAGAATATTTTCCCCACTCAATTTGTTTCCAGGACACGATGCCCAAGAGTTAATGTGTTCTGGTAGCATAGAAGGCACATAGTCTTGTCTTGGCTGTAGGACTGACACCATCATGAACACCTTGGATAATCACTGGGCTGTACTTGTGCCTCACCTTCTCCATCTATATACTGAGCGCTTTATGCTTTGGAGAAAACAACATGTTTGTCTACATGACTCTTCCCTGAATGACTTCTGCCAGTGTCTGCAGTTCTTGGTGTTAAACCTTCTTGGATCTACCCTTTCTAAGGGTATGGCTTCCAGTGGTTCAAACCTGGTGCAAATCACCCCTATTCAGAGAACCATCCCCAAACTTCTGCATCCAATGCTCTGTGAGACATCAAGTAGAGAAGTAGACTATGCTCTGGGGAAGGCTTTTTTTTTTTTTTTTTTTTCAAAAAAACACTCTGGAGGAAGAAACAGTTCTACTCTGTGTTTCTCTGTGCTCCTCGTTCCTGGCCCAGGCAAGTGGGTGCTTCTTTCAGGCAACTGGAAAACAGCTGAAGAAATGCAATGGCAGCTCTGCACAGAGACAGAGTTGCTTAAGAGCCATCCTGAACTCAGGCCCGAAGAGCACTTTTAAAGCTAGTGATCTCGGCAGGAGCTGGCAAGATAGGTGTTGTTGGAAAACTTCTGTGTTTAGTTCTAAGTCATCTTCTTTTAGTTTCTTCCCTTAAGGAAAGGAATGCAACAGAAGAGAGCAAATTTGTTTATTTTCCTGACATCCCTTCATCTGCAGAGCATTAGGAACCTGTCTGTTATGGTCCTGGTTTGCTACTGGACCAGAAGGGAGGAAATTGGGGTAATAGAAGGATTCCTTTGATATAAAAAGACAACAATGCAACTAAACAAAATCCACATACCAAGCCTCCAGCTGGTGCCTATTGGATGAGGGCTGGTAAACAAGAACCTAAACTGCCCAGATTATAATGTGATTGGGCTTCGCTTCTCACTCTGAAATGCATACACAACCAAACAAAGGACATTAGCATCAGTGCTGTGCATCCCTCTTAACAGTCAATCATTACATTTATGACTGCCCTATGAGAGCTCAGGATCCCTGATCTTCCCTGATTCTTGGAGCCTTCCTCTGTGCTGCAACTGAGTTTAGTGAGAGAAAGAGTGAGCACAAACATTGGTTCCCCAAACATGGCAGCTTAGGTTAACCCTTCAGCCTCAGCCAGGGTAATGGAGATTGCTGCCAAATTTGTAAAGTTGTATGGGTAAATTTTATTATCCTAAACTTGTGTGTCTTCTTATAGGAGGGAAACTCATTAAGGATAGGAAACATGTCCCTATAGAAAGCATAACTTCCTCTTCCCTCAAGTGTATGCCTCCTAACTGCCCAGGGTAACTAGTCCCTTAGCCTCCTGTCTGGGCCAGACATGGAATGATTTCTATCCTAGCTGTCACACCTGGGACAGTGACACTTATTAAATTTTACTTGATTTAGTGCTGAGACCCTGTCAGTCGGGTTTTGGGCAGTGGCTACAGTCCCTGTCATTTTTACCACTCTTTGAAAATTGATTTCTAGTGGCAATAAATATGTTGGTTAATGAACTGGGGACAGTTTGTTTTTAGACCTTTAGAAAGACAGTTATCCCTATAGGTCATTTTATTCAAATTCTCCACCTATCCATGCAAAATGTTCTAAGATCCCTAAAAGAAAGTTCATTCTGTCTGTTTTAGTTGAAATCTCCCAGCCCTTGTTAAACGCTGTAGTTGCAAAGATGACAAAGTGTATGCAGATGGGTGGGGAGTGCCTAGCTCACGGTGGTTTAGATATGTACTCGACCCTTTCCCTTGCCTCTGGGCTGAATGGGGACTACCTCCAGGATGTTGGTTCCTCTGAGTTTGTGGAATATATCATAATTTGGCCTTATCTGTGTCCGTTCTTCTGGAAGCTTGGATAACTGACAGCTTGGTTGTCAATTAAAGTAAATTTTGATTATGATTAGGGGGTAAGAGTGACAAAACTGCCACATTTGGTTTAACACATTTTCCTTTTTTAGTTAAGAGAAGAAAGAGCCAAGAGTTGTTAGCAGCAGTTTTGGCTTCCATTGTGAAAATAAGTTATCTTCACTGTGAGAATTCTCCATGGGACTCAGGGCAAATCCAGGCCATAATAATGCCTTTGTCTGATAAGCAAAATGGCAACATGTGGAGGTGGTGATATGGTTCAAGGAATACTAGACTTGCGGTCTGAAGACCTGAGTTCTTGAAAGGGGGACGTCCCTTATTAGCTGTGTAACTAGCAAGTCACAATCTCCCTGAGGCCCTGTTTCCTCCTCTGTCAAGTGTGGATAATATTTTCTCTGGCCACCTTATGGGGCTATTCTGAAAACCCCAAAAGATGTAGTAAATTTGATCTTACATGGGGGTTCTAAAATCATCACCTATGATGATAATCAAGTATAGTAAAATTATCCTCATGAATTGTTAAGAGTCCATGTAGGAGATGAACATTCTTTTTCCTGATAAGTCCAATACAATCAACATTTTTCCATTTCTGGACAGATCATTGTTTCTTCAGTTGAGTATAAAATGAAGCACGGGAAAGCTACTGGGTACTATGCTTATTACCTAGGTAATGAAATAATGTGTACACTAAAACCTTTTTGAAACACAATTACCTATATAGCAAACCTGCACCTGTGCCCCTGAACCTAAAATTTTAAAAAGGGATATATTAGCATTTCCATTTAAGGAAGCATGGTTAAACTGGAAATAAAACTGAACCTAAGTTTCACCCATGTTGCTTTCTTTTCTTGCTCCTGTGTTCATTGTTTCATCATTCATGCAACAAACTTAATAAATAAAATGGCTTATCAAAAAGTAGGATTTAATATAACTGAGAGCAACACAAATTCAACACAACTTAAAGTTGATGTGATTATGAAATGCAATTATCAGCAAAGGTAAGAAAAAAAATCTAAAAAGTGAACAACAACCACAACAGATGAACCACTTGATTTGCATTTAGAGGCTCTGTTGTACCAAAAAAGGTGTCTTTTAAACAGTAGAAGCCAGGTTTGATGGTGTGCATCTATAGTCCTAGCTACCAGGGAGGCTCAGGTGGGAGGATTGCTTGAGCCCAGGAGTGCGAGGTTACAGCGAGATATGATTGTGCCACTACTCTCCAGCCTGGGTAACAGAGTGACACCCTCTCACCAAACAAACAAACACCAGTAGAATTTTACTTCACATGATGAGATTCTCCTAAAATGACATAGGAGACATAGGAGCAATGGAACCAGCCGGAGGAAAAGCGGTCACATCACCCTTCTCAAACTCTTGGAATGAAATGGTAGATGGAACCACCCATTGTTTCTCTTTCTTGTACAGGCTGTAATTGCTTTTCTTTATTACCTCGTGTGTGTATACTTGCATTCTTATAAGTTAAATGCATGCATGTGACTACAGTGCAGTAAAAGCTTTGAAAAAAAAAATCAAAGGGCTATACAGATGAAAGGTGAAGGGTTGCAAGACAGAGAAGGAAAAGGCGGCTTCCCAGAATGGTGAGTCAGAACTGCCATGATAAACCCAATGGTTGCTTTTTGGGGAAGAGCAAACTAGGGTGCGGGGTGCTGAGGCTACAGCTGCTGTCTAGTTGCTAAGACAAGGATCTCAGCAGAAAAGGTTTTTTTGAAAGCAACTTTGAAGATATACAACAAACTGCATATATTTAATTCAATTTGATGAGCTATGATGAATGTATATGCTCATGAAACCATCACTATAACCAATATAACAAAGATTTCCATTTTTCTGAAAAGATCCCTCATGCTTCTTTGTAATCCATCTTTCCCTCCACCTTCATTTCCAGGCAACAAATGATCTACTCTTTGCCACTACATACTAGTTTGCATTTTTTAGATTTTTATATAAATATGTAAATGGAATAATACAATATGTATTCTATTTTCAGGGGGTTTTGTATTTGTTTACACAAAATAATGATTTTGAGATTCATCCATATTGTTGTATCAACAGTCTGCTCTGTTTTCTGAGTACTATTGTATAGATATATCACAATTTGTTTATCTAATCACCTATTGATGGACATTTAGGTTGTTTCCAGTTTTTGTCTGTTACAGATAAAGTGGCTGTGAATATTCATGTATGAGTCTTTATGTGAACATGTGTTTTTATTTACTTGGTGTAGAATTGCTGGGTCATTCCAAACATTGTATGGTAGGTTTATGTTTAGCTTTAGAATCTACAAAACACTTTTCCAAAAAATTTGTATCATTTGCTATTTCCACCAGTAGTGTATACAAGTTCTGCTTGCTCTGCATCATTGCCAACGCTTAGTATGGTTGGTCTTTTTAATTTAAATCTTTCTGATGGATGTGGAGTGATATTTCACTGTGGTTTTCACTTACATTTCCCTGATGACCAATGATGTTAAACATCTTTATATATGATTTTAGCCCTTGATAGATACTCTTTTGAAGTGTCTGTTCAACTTTCATCGCCCATTAAAGAAAATAGGTTGTTTGTCTAGTTCAATAATTGTAAGTAATTATTGAGTTGTAAGGGTTCTCTATACATTTTGGTTACAAGTCCTTTGGATATTTTCTCCTAGGCAGTGGCTTGCCTGTCTGTTTTCTTAATGGTATTTTTCACAGAATAAAAGTGTTTAATTGTGATGAAGTAGCATTGAGCAAACAACATTTCTAATAAATGCTCCATTATTTTTACTTTCTTCCTAAGAAAAGTTTGCCCACTCCAAGGTTACAAAACTTTTCTCCTTTATCTTTTTTAGAAGTTTTGTAATTTTATATTTTGCATGGAAGTCTGTGATCCATTTCAAATTCCTTTTTGTATATGAAGAGAGTTAGGGGTCAATATTCATTTATTCCTTTATGGATAGGTAATTGATTTGGTAGCATGTGTTGGAAAGGCTATTCTTTCCTCATTAAATTGCCTTAGCACCTTAAATGAAAATCAGTTGACTATATATGTGTTGGCCTATTCTTGGCTTCTATTCTGTGTAGGGTTTGCAGTTGTCATCTGCAAGAGGTCTAGGCTATAGGGGACTCATACTTTCATAACAGAACCAGATTCCTCAAATAGGTTTTTGACATGAAGTTTATGTTTTCCATTATGAAATTAATATATTGACTCCTAAATAAAATAAAGAGCAAAAAAGTAGAAAGTAGAGAGAAACATTCACTTATTATCTCACTCTCTGAAGCAAGCTGCTTTTAAGTTGAAAAATACATGTTCTTCCAATTTTTTTCTCTCTCTCTCTCTGAATATTTAGGGAACATAATCAGAGGCAGAATCGTCTGGTGGTTAAAAGTACAATCTGGAGTTAGACTGCTTGATTTTCAATCCCAGCTCTTCCACTCATCAGCTTTGTTATCTTAGGCAAGTAACTTAATATCACTTGGCTTTGTGTTCCTCATCTCTAAAGGAAAATCTACAACATATGCTTATTTGCGAGGCGGGGTAGGGGGCCATGGGGTTGAGTTAACCTATGTGAGTCAGTTAGTGTAGTGTCTAGAACAAAAGAAATGCTCCAAAATTCTTGGCTATCCTCATCAACACCTTCATTTCTTCCATCCATTTCTAAATACAGCCATTTTCTCAGGGCCAGGTAACTAGATTGAAGCAGAGTCCATGAAGAACTAACCATGCCTCACTGTGAGTATGCTTTCATTTTAACATGGTTATCGTCTTGCTTTATACATTTTTGCATACACTTAACAGATGAAGCTGACCCTCTAGAGGGCTAGTGTTCAGATACCAGCACTGAGTTCCACATCCAGTGAAGGCGTTGGGCCTCTTGGCAGCTGTTGGGTAGTAGGGCTGAATGCCAGTTAGCAGGATGTCCACCCAACCTGTGCAGTGTTGGGAAAGTGAATGCCAACCTTCAAAGACCAGGGGGCCTCTGCAGAACTGGCTTCCAATTGCTATCTGGCTTATCCCCTGCCACCAATATGCCAGCACTTTAGCAGTGGACTTATTTAGCTCTTCAAGCCTAGAATTTCTTCTTACAAACACAATATGCAATACAAAGATGACAGGAAAGTGTCAGTAGATTTTAATTATTATGTATTTAAAAATACCCATATATTGCAAACATAGAAAATTACCTATAGGTTATTCATGCCTGGATTCACCTTCTATTGTTTTCAAGGCATGGAAATATGTCCATTTCTAGATTTTACATGTAAAAATTTGTAGTATGAGAAAGGGCAGCAAAGGTGTGATACAGCTGTGGAACCAGCTCCATGGAACAGCTGTGCTCCAGTTGTTTAGATTCCCCCAACAGGAAGACGTACAAGGTGAAATTGTGGTTCATATCATCTTTGAATCTAAAGTCTCCTGTTGATCTCAGCTTTTTTTGAGAAGATATTGTCTTTTGTAGTGTAAATCTGCAGAAGAACCTATGTAGATGAGGAAAGATGACTATTCACATAAATCCTTGGAGATTTAATGGCTGTGCTAGATTTTCTCCATTTGCACTGCTAGATCCAGCCTACCCTTCTCTGGGCTGCTCTGTGGAAGCTGATTTACAAGGATCTCATCAGTGGATATTGGGCTTGGCCATTGGGAGGCAGCAGCAAGAGATCATAGAGTGGGAGGAGAGGAAGGCTTGGGTGTTAATTTCCCCTTTTCCCTCCCTGCTCTGCTGTTCCCTGAAGGGTTTGGATCCTCTGCAGCTGGCCTCACAGCTATAGCTCTCTCACTTAGGGCTCTGGTAGCAGCTCCCTGCTTGACCCTCCAGGGAGAGGAGAGTTGGCACCTTTCTGCTGTGGCTACTTGTGGGATGCTTAACTCTCCCTGTTGGTTCTCTCAGCCACCCCTGCAGATGGCTCCTTCATGAAGATCTCCCCATTTGGAACACAACATCTGTTTCCTGCTGGGACCCTGACTGACACAAGGGTCAAAATAAGCTCCTCCATGGGAAGCATTGAGAGAGGCAGAAAATAAAGAGAAGGAAGATAATACTATCCATTCATTGCAGTCGTCTATGTGCTAAACACTGTGTGAAGCATTTTGCATGTATTCAATAAATATTTACTCAATGCTTTATGTGGGTTAAACACTAATAAATAGACAGTTTCTCTGCTCTCAGAGAGATGACACATGCAATCCTCATAACGACCCTACTATTATTATCATGACTTCTAGCATAGGAAAGTTGAGTCTCAGAGAAGTTAAGTTACTTTCCCAAGGTCACCAGCAAGTAATTGCAGAACTGGAATTCGAGCCCTGGCTGTCTGACTCTAAAGCCCACACCCTCTTCTCTCCACTGTAACAACAGCTGCTCATGTACCCTCGCAAGTCGGCAGCTGGATGAATTCCAGGAGAGGAGCTGTTTTGTTCAGCTTGGTAATGACAGAAGTGTGGGGAAAGCCTGGAGTCATCCCAAGAGAAGGCTATGGGGCTGAACTGCTTAGGGACAACTCATCGAGGATGAGCTGGTGGAGGGCTGTGATTGATGGGTGCTGAGAGGCAAAGGTGCTGTTGGCCCCAGTAGGCTGAGGATGTAGGATTCAGATTCTTGTCCCTGGACCTTCCCAGTTCTGCCAGGAGCCAGCTGTTGACAGCAGGTAGAGATGCCTCTTTTGTCGAAGTTGAAGCATTTTCCTCTGCCCTGCCAGAGGCATCTGTGTGCCATGAAAGGACTGTGTCTTTTACAGGCAGGAACCTTCACGACGAGGTCACTCTTTTCTGCAGTTTCCTGAAGGATGTGCTAAGCTCCAAGAGGAAAAATAAACTGGCTGGCATATTGTTTGGGGCTTCAGGATTCAAACCTTGGGTCCCCTTCATTTTTGTGGCTTGTTCATTAAATCCTAAAGAGAACGACCTTGGAGTGAACGAACTTCCTGAAGGGACGTTCCTGACCAGCAGCAGGAATGGTCTGAACACCCACGGCCAGCTCTCCAGGGCTCTCTCAGAGCAGCCTGCTTGCAGCGCAGCCCGTGACTCACAGCCCACTGGGACTGCAGGCTGAAGCCGCTGAGAGCTGCCTGAGTCGCCTCAGTCTTGAGGCTGGTTGAACCAGGATGAAGTTGGGGAAAGTGGGAACCCTTTTCAGAAGAACCAGGCTTCATTGTTTCTGTGGTTTATTTACAGAATCCAATGGGCTCCTCATTAGCTCAAGTTTTCTTCCCCCTTTTCCTCCTTCCTTCCATCTCTTCCTCCCTCCATGCTTCCCTTCCTTTCTTTTCCCTTTCCCCATACCATCTCTCCATTTCCTCTTTCCATTTGTCCTGCTTTCTCTCCCTCCTGTCTTCCTTGTCTCCTTTCCTTCCTTAAATAGCCACCTCAGTCAGCTTCCGGCATGAGATTAAATGCTGGAGTCAATGCTTGATGGGACTTCTTCCTTTTAAGGGTACATCTTTCTAAGGTAACCATGTGAGTGTCCCCGACACGTCATCTGTCAGGCAGATCAACAGTCACCTCCTGACACAGAAAGGCCTTGGGCTTCAAAGATTCCAATGAGGAAATTATAGGCAATTTAAATGTGGGTGTCAAACTGGAAACTTTTCTTTTGAGGGATTCAAAGAAACACACTATTTATATTCATGCCCATTTTCTATTTGCGATGAGAAAGCAGGGTATAGTAAGGCCAAGTGTATCAGCAATTGAACAACAACAAAAAATCTCATTTTTCATGGAATCAAAATACAGGGTAATTTTGAACTCTCTTTGCCACTTGGCTTTGGACAAAGCAAAGTCCGGAATCGGGAAGCCCAGGTTAGGTGTCAGGTTGTCCAACTTGTTGTGTGGGCTTCTCTTCCATTCTATTATAGCTCTGTTCACCTTTCCGAGAGCCAATCAGTTCTCTTTCAACTTTTCCACTCCATCCCCCTGTGTGACCAACCATGCAGGATTTTCCATGACCCAGAGAATAGCAGTTGATGATAGAAGTGAGAGCTTATTGCCAGGAATTTTATTTGTACAGAAACCTCTAGAGAAGCCCTTCTCCATCCCCACCCTACCCCAGTATCTATCCCATTATGATTGGCCCAACATTCATATAACACAGTCCAAGAAAATGGGCGAGTCAGTCCCCCAAAGGCTTATAACTAGAAGTGAGGGAAGGTCTAGAGCTGATGTCCCTCTCCCACGCTGCCATCTGGTGTGGACTGTGGGGTGTCCATGAATGGAGCACCTGCAGAGTGTCAGGATGCCAGGACACTCACCCTGACATCACCTGGCATGCATACAGAGCTGGGCCCCCCGCAGTTGTGAGCTCATTCTCCAGGGTGGAAAGAGGTGGATTATTTGTGTGTTTTCTGTCCAAAGATGGCTGCTCTGGGCCTGACCTTCTTGGCTTAGGGGGAGGTGATGTCACCCAGCGCTTCCTGCAGCTGCTGTAGCATGAGGAGTCACCCTCCACCCCCAGACCCCAGAGAGGCGCTGCAGTTTAGAGCCAGTGCATGTGGGTTTCATGACCAAAATGTCACTGACTTGCGGCTGCAGGAAGAAAGCGGTATTCATCATAGCAAGTGAGTTGCCAGTGGTGGCCTGATGGATAGAAAACCCGAGCGACCTGAAGTGTGGCCACGTCCAGATCCCCCGCCCTCTGGGGTGTGGTTCCCGGGAGGCCAAGTCTCAGTCTCTTTTGTGTCTGCATAGATCCACTGATTTGTTCTTAGAAAAGGTTAAAAGCTCTGAATACAACCATTGTGTCAATTTTGAAGGGTTTTTGTTGTTGTTGTTTTAAAAATTATTTTCTTATGAGCAGTGACTAATCAAGGATCCTATATTCCAGGGCGTAGTTCTCCCAATTGGTTAACTATAGAATCTCAGTCTGCAGAACAGTGAATGTGTACTAAATAAACAAACAAACCCAAACAGAAATGTAATCAAATACATTTAACAAGTGCTGAAAAATGTAAAATATAGTCACGTGGCACATAACTACATTTTCATCAATGATGGGCTGTATATGCAACAGTGGTCCCATAAGATTATGATATCTTATTTTTACTGTACTTTCTCTACTTTTAAATATGTTTAGATACACAAGTGCTTACCATTGTGCTACAGTTGCCTACAGTATTCAGTACAGTAACATGCAGAGCAGGTTTGTAATCTAGGAGCGATAGGCTACACCATCTAGCCTAGTTGTGTAGTAGGCTCTATCATCTAGGTTTGTGTAAGTGCACTCTGATGTTCACATAGGACAAAATCACCTAATGACACATTTCTCAGAAGGTATCCCTGTTATTAAGTGATACCTGATTTTATGTATATATTTTGAATATTTGAACTGTAGTAATGTATATTAGAGGATCAAAATGTCCCGCTTAATTATTTTTAAAATCTAGTATTTGGCAAGCATACTTGCCCATGCCACTGTCTAGCACACCTGTTCTATCTCGTGGAATCCACTCTAGCACATTCTATCTTAGGTGAGAAGACAAAGCTACGTATGGCTTCTCCTTTTAAAGTTTTTCTTTCTCTTTTTACCTTAACTTGTTATTCATGAAACAGACAGTAATTGAACCCACTTATTCATTCACTTACATGTTTATATATTATATTTAAAAATATATGAAATGCAGGATGCGTGAAGCTGAGTGAGGCGTGGTTCTCATCTTTGAGGACCTCACAATCCAGTGGCTAGGCCGAGGTGGCCACAGGGAAGGAAGCAGCTGTAGTTACACAGCCTGAGGTCAGGAGCAAGATCTTGCCTGGAGTCACGGATGGGGGTGGTGTGAGCAAAGGGTTGCGTGTGGGTGGAAGCTAAGGGTGGGGAGGAAAGCATGTAGGGTAGGAAGAAGACTGGGCCAGAGATGGAATTCCAAGAACCAAACACACTCATGGGCTGGACAAAGGGAGAAGAGTCTGTGAAAGAGACAGGAGACGTCAGAGGGCAGTAGGAAGCTTCCCACCGTTAGATTCAGCCTGGGCTCCCTGAGCAATGTGATGATGGCATTAATTGTCTCCCTGGGCAGGGAGAAAGAGTGAGGGTCAGTGGTGTGTAGTGGTGTGTGTGTGTGTGTGTGTGTGTGTGTGTGTGAGAGAGAATGAAGGGCAATTGGGGAGAAACTTGCTCATAAATTTTAACCAATGTGTAAACTGTTCACGAATATGACTCTGGAACTTGAATGGTCTTGTGTTTAAGAGCATGAACTGTAAAACCAGACAAATCTGGCCTTTGAATACTGGTACTGCTTCACGATGACAACAACCACAAAACTTTAAAAAAAACCATTTCTTTCTGTTTTTATTAACAAGTTTAACAGACACCTTCCTTGAATGAGGGGACATAATACAAATTATGGTGACCTATATATAAAACCTGACACCAAATTTGCACTTTTGAGAAAATGTGTATATAAAAATATGCCTTAAAATCGGCACCAAAACACAGTGCAGCAATTAACCCACAACCCCAACAGGAGTGGCCGCAAAGGCAGGTCTGGTTTGTGGACTCAGGGAGCTCTTGGTCCCACAGCCTCACAGGTGAGCCCTGTGTGAGAATGGCCTTCTCTGAAGAGGAGCCAGGAGAGCTTTTTCTTTGAAGGCAGGACCTCTGCGAGTTCCAAATGTCACAAGTGTGGCATCAAACAAAAATGGTGCTGAGAAGAAAGGCAGGAGGGAGAAGAGTTGTCTTTGCCTTAACAACAATTTTTAAGAAACCATATACCAAGGCCTCATACAATGACTGGCACATGGTAAATGCTGAATTAATGCTACATTATCATAATAATGGTGAGGAGATCACATATGAGCTATTCTTGAGATGCAGACATACTTTCCCAATGACACAGGTGGTAAGCAACTTCAAGTCACAAAAGCAAGGGTAATTTTTGAGTTTTCCCTGCTGTGGAGTATTCTCTGTCTCCTACCATTATAATTCCCTTTGACTTTATCCTATGTACAAATAAACTGTGTTAATAAAACTCCTTTTCCTGGTAGCCGTTCAAAACAAACAAACAAACAAACAAAAACAGCCACCACAACATTACCAAAGAGGAAAAAAAAACCCAGAAAAACTAGAACTTTAAATATCTCTAATGTCTCTGTCCATACCATCATAGTCCTATCTTTTTGCTCATGGGTAACTGTTTTGCCGTGATTTTAACCTCACAAATGTTCAAAGTGGCTTTAGATGGTATTGATGAAATGCTATCATTTTTTGTTCTTTTCTGGTCCTGGAGGGAAGTGCAGAATGGATGGTCACTAGAGGCTAGAGTGGCTAGTAAGGCTTTTGTAATCAGAGGGGGCTCAGTTGGTGTCTTCAGCTTCCTTCTGTGGGAGGTGGCTCAATATTGGAGCCTTAGACTGGTCTGGACTCTGCCTCTCTGGATCTTCTCTTGAGCAGAGGCTGATCTCACTGCAGCAGCAACAATACATTTGCTGTCCCATCAGAGCATCTGGTCAGCCACCCAGCTGGGTTAAACACCAGTCCTCACTATTCCCTGAACATTAGGGGGTCTCAGATGAAGCTTTCCAAGTTGCTTTGGGAAACTCCTTTCTGTAGGTTTGAGGTGATGAACAAACCTACAGAAAGGAAACCTCCCATGCTTTGTCTCTTGGAGTGGGGTAGGGTGCATAGCATACCAACAGCTGTCTCCAAAACACCTCATCTCCAATAACCCCTGACCTGTTTAGTGTCTCACGACGGGTGAAGAATTATAAAAAGGTTATGCAACTGGTTTAAGAATACCTCCTTTGATCACTTGCCTTATGTTTGGCATGTTCTATCTGTTGCTTTGGTATTTCATTCAAAACTTCCAGTAACAATAATGCTAATACTCTAACTTGACTGCTCATCTCTAGCCATTGCCCTATCTCCTCTCCATCATGACTGAAATCACCAGCCTGGAATTCTCTTGCTCCCCACTTTTCTTACTGGAATCCACTCACTTGTCATTCAGATCTCAGGCCAAGTGTCCCTATCTCCATGCCCCTGTGACTCCTCCATATTACAGACTCTTGTGTCAAGAATCTTTCTTTTGAGCCCTTGTCAGTTTCATTCTTACATTTATTTATATATTCATTAATGTTTGTCTATTCCTCATCGTATCCCTGGCATATAGTGACACTCAGTGAATACTTTTGAATGAATGAATGGATGTTTGTATCACCCACTAGACTGTGGTATCTGTTGAAATCCTTCCCTCCAGACTTCAAGACAAAAATATCATTGTAGTTGTTGCTGAATAATCCTTGTAGGTCTTAATCTGCTTTCAGTGGTTTTCAATAAGATAAGAACATTCTTTCCTAGCTTCATTTCAACAAGTATTTATGGAGTATCTACTACATCCTTGGCAATGTTTTAGGTATGTTCTGTACATTATTTCATTTGTCCTCAGAGAAACTCTATGTGGTTTGCATTAATACCTGTACTTTCTAGGTGAGGATGCTGAAGCTCAGGGATGCTGAATGACTTGTCCAAGGCATCTAGGTAATAACATGTGAATTCAAATTCGAACCCAGGTGTGTCTGACACAAAATCTGTTGTCTCTTTATTATATTGTTTTTCTGATATTTAATATCCCTATAGTTAGGTATAAAATAGTGTGGCTCTGAATAAATGGAAGAGCAATCAAAGAATGAGCTATGAATATTCATGTTAGAAATACAAAAGCCAAGAGATATATAGCAGAACCTTGTATTTCATGTTGGTGTGTGCATGCTGCTCATTTGTGTTCCCAACTCAGTAGCAAACTCCAAATTTTTCTGCTCTAGGCAGCTGAAGTTTGTTATTTGCAAATATATCAGAGTTTATTTTATTTTCCACATAAGCATTATATGCTGATTCTAAAAAGGTGGCCTGCACTAGCACAATTTGGCCAGTCTATCTATAGAAACCCAGTTTTTAATACATGTATTTTTTGGGGTCTGTTTACAAACCCCATGGGGAGATAGTGAAAATTGTATACCTTCTCTCCAGTAAAAGGCACACATTGATTTTGAGTATTATTTTAGAGTTTTAATACTTTGAACTGTATAGAACCCAACTTAATTACCTGTAGTCTGTTTGGAAAGTCTCAGAATTCATCAGTTTGATACTGACTGAGCACCAAGCATAGAGCAGGGTGTAGAAATGAGCACTGAAGATGTTTATAAGAAATCAATATGCTTTATTAAAGAATCATAGAATATTAAGGTGAAGGATCCTCAGCTCACATTTCATCTAACCACTGCAAACATTAGGGAGATATTTGCATTAGGGGATCTTTAGGACTTCTATGTAGCTGTTCCCAGTCCTAAAGCTCTGTGAAAATGCGAATACCTTTTTCTACTGTGAATGCACGTATGCATACAATATCAGTTCCTTGTGAACCCTTTTTCACCTCCATGGTATTTGGTCATTGTTTGGATTAGGATGAGACTTCTGTTGCTAATAAGAGGGCTCAGTCATCTTATACAATCCAGAACTCTTCAAATTTCTCTACAATTGTAGTGATACAAGCTGCTAATCTCCTTGGTTAAATTAATGACTGTACTTTCTGGTATTTTAAAGTAAATAATTCTGAGTTGAACAGAAGGTCTGGAAAATTAGGAAACTGGCTTTTACCATGGGATGCAGATGAATCAGACCTGCTAATGTGTGAATCGTCACAGCTTTGAAGCATCTCTGGATAACATGTGACTTCTTGGATGAACTATAATTGAAACTCACAGGTATGGAACAAACATCATGGTCAGGCAAAACTGCTCCCTCCTAGGCAAGGAATTCCGTGTAGATTTCATTTTTATCTCATTTAATCCTCATGACAATCTTAAAAGTGATTGCTAGTACTTTTTGACAAATGAGGACACAGTGACTCAAGAAGTGAAATAACTTACCAAAAATCATACACCACTGAGTGGTAGAATCAGGATCCAAGCTCAAGCTTTCTGGTCTAAAATTCCTGCTACATCACTAGTTTATGCTGCCAAAATCACAGACATCCCCCTTTGGAGCTACAGGGAAAGCCAGGCTATCAGGGCCCTTTGCACAGACTCAGCTCAATCCATAGCTCTGCCATGAACTAGCTGTGTGACCATCAGCATGTTACCTAGCCTTTGTGTGCCTGTTTCTTCCTCTGTAAAATGAGGCTGGTAGCAGTACCATTTTATACGGCAGCTGTGAAGATTAATGAGTTACTATGTAGAATACTGCTTAGAATAGTACCAGGCACATGGTAAACCCCCAGGAAATATTAGCAATTATTGATTACTTGAAGTTCTCTGCCCACTTCCCTGAGCTCGCAGTCTTCTATTGCACCAGGCCTACTTTTTTGAATTGAGAGCATGAGAGACATGTTTTGTTATTTAGTACAATCAACCTCTGGGAGGACCGTGGCCTAATTAATTACAGACTATTTTTTGAAGGCCAGATTTTTATAATGCTTTTGTGGCAAGTTTTCTTTCCCACTTACATTTAATTTTGGCAATAAAAAAGCAAAATTAGCTGATTTTTCTTCATTCTTGCCTGCTGTCAATAGGTTGATGTCTGCCAGCCAGACCGAGGGGCCAACCTTTTATGTATTTATTTTTAAACTTCCATTTTGACAAACCTAGTGGCACTTTTTCAGCTGTTAATGCAGATGATCTGCCTTTATTGCAGGCCCACCAAATGGTCAGTCATCTCTTCTGGTTTCTGGACTCTGACTTCCCTGAGGACAAGAACCACTGACATTTAACTTGTCTCTGTCACACCCCTGCCTAGACAGGGCCTGGCATGTAATGGGCAGTCAAGTGACGTCTGTAGAATGAACTAATGAATGAATGAATGAATGGGCCCACAATCAGAGCGTCCCAAACCTGGCTGTTTTGGGAAGCCACACTTGCTTGCCATTTGGGTTCCTCCCCAAAGCAAGAATATTAACAATGAGAGACAAATCCATAAGCCCCTATGCTCAGGGCTTTCTCAGCTCATTGCCAGTATGTTTGAAAGAAGTCGAGTAGGCCAGCCTGGGGAATATGCCGCATTTCTCTCTAATATGGTTTGGCTCTGTGTCCCCACTCAAATCTCATCTCGAATTATAATTCCCACCTGTTGAGGGAGGGAAGTGACTGGATCATGGGGGCGGTTTCCCCTGTGCTGTTCTCGTGATAATGAAGGAGCTCTCACGAGATCTCATGGTTTTATAAGTGTCCGGCATTTCACCTGCTTGTATTACTCGCTCCTGCTGCCTTGTGAAGAAAGTGTCTTGCTTCCCCTTCGCCTTCTACCATGATTGTAAGTATCCTGAGGACTCCCCAGCCATGTGGAACTGTGAGTCAGTTAAACCTTTTTGCCTTATACATTGCCTGGTCTCGGGCAGTTCTTTATAGCAGTGTGAGAATGGACTAATACACCCTCTTATCTGTGTGGATTTTTTTTTGCCAGGTAGGCTCCAGAGCTGTCTTTCCCCACCCCTCTGTCACCTATCTGGTGTCACTGCGTGACCCAAATGGCTGGCTGAATGACAGTCTATCTTGTTAAATCATCTTGACTCATTTTTTTTCTTGAAAAATTTTGCTTGCCTTAAACATGTGCTAACTGGATTGGACTTGCAAGGGCCCTGTACTAGATAAAGCTAATGCTGTTACTATCTTATTTATATTGCCTTCTCAAGGGTGGTTATTTAGCTTAGACTTTCTCCGAGGAAGGAATAGCTAAATTGCTTCAAAGGAACATTCTTTTTCCCAAATAGGAATTCCCTGGTCATAGCTTATCTCAGCAAGAACCATATACTTGCGACGACATGAGCCAGATTCTCCTACTGTGTGATTTTACTGGAATTCCCCACAATTCTGTAGTAACTTGATGCTGACCTTAAGTTTCTTTCAGCAATGATACTGTATAGTCTCCTTTTGAGTTTGGACACTGGCAAGAGAAACTTAAGCTGGCTGAACAACACAGGATGAAAGTTTGTAAGTGGGAGGAAAGTTTCACCCAGATCTGGAAAAACTCAATGTGTTTTTAGAAAAGAGTGGCAAATGTTTCCAAAGCATTATAAATCGAGTTCACCATTTGGATGGCATTGATTTATATTAAGAATTCTACTCAATAGTAGTTTGGAATGCAAGGCAAAGAAATCTGACCTCTAGCTGTATGAAATCAAAAGAGACATACACCATCTCCAAGGTGTTCTGTCTCTGTGCAGATGAGGCTCAAAGCCACATCACCAAGCCTATTCTCACACCACCTGCCATTGCTGACTAATCGTGCAAACCAATACCTGGAGAGCCACGTGTCCTGCCTCTCAAATGCCTCAGATGTATCTGCTGCCCTCATTAGCACTGCTGTAACCCCAGGCCAGAGCTCAAAGCCTCCACCTGGTAGCATCAGGTTGTTTTCTGGCTGTGGTGTGGTTTCTGATCAGCATCAATCAGCATCACCTGGGAACTTGTCAGAAACACAGATTCTCGGCCCTACCACAAATCTAATGAATCAGAAATTCGGAGGGTAGGGCTCAGCGATCTGTGCTCCAACCAGCCCCTGCACGTGATTCTAAGGCATGCTGAGATTTGAGAATCATGGCTCTAGGCTCACTCCCTCTAACTTAGAACTCGCAATCCTGATGCCTATTAGAGTCACCTGCAGTACTTAACACACCAGACCAATTAAACTGATTAAGTCTAGGCAGGAAATTAAAAACTCCCCAGGTGATTCTACAGCCAGGGTGGATAACTAACATTAACTGATCATCATAGCTTAAATGAAAGTATCAATTACACACTCCTGTTGCTCTTTTCAGAAACCATGATGGTTTCTGGCTTTCTACTGCTCAAGTTCAAAGTGAGCTTTCTAAAGAATCCTCAAATATAGATCAGGAGAAAACCTGACTACATCTGGGGACTGCTTTGTCTCAAGAGCCCATCCCCTCAGTTCTGTTCAGGATTAGGCTCTGCTTGGCTGGAGGAAGCCAAGCATGTCAGGAGCCCTCCTTTTTCATTAGTCATCTCCTCGCCCTCTTTCCCTTTCCCAGGACCCCGGTCCTCAGGGCTGTCCACACCAATTTGTGTGAGCAGCCAAGTCCAGTGCTGATCATGAGGCCTGAGGCCAGGTCCAAGCAGCAGCAAGAGAGAATGGGGCTGGAGGACGGGTGGGATTTGAGCACAGTGTGAATGGGGAAGACTTCTTCAGCCTGACTGAATACCACCAAAGCACAGCAGAGCAGCTACACCCAGGTCAAGCATTTGCAGAGTGGTGGGTGGGAGCAGAACTCTCCATTTCATCTTTCCTGAGTTGCCAGACCTGGGCTTAAATACCTAGATATGATTCTGTGGCCCCTGTGACTGGCAGGAAGACTAGCTCCTGGGGTGGGATAAGTTATATAAAGCATGGTGTCTGTGTCTCTGCCCAAACCATGGGCCCAAAGAAGACACTCCCTGGCCACAGTGGTGGCCCAGCAGCCCGAGGCCAAAAGGAGGTGGCTGCTGCTTGAGATGGAACTTCTCACACTCCCAATCACAAAACCCAACTTCAGTAACAGGGCTTTTTCTTTTTTTCTTTTTCCTTTCTTTTTTTTTTTTAGAGGATCTTAACTTAAAGGTTCTAGTTTTGGTTTTGTTTCAAAAATAAAATCTAAGTCTAAAAAGCCATTCTGGCAGAGGTTAAACTGGTACTTTTCTAGGAATTTTGACTGTTCAAGTTGTGAGTTTCAGATTTGGTCACAATCTAAACGTTTGAACAATAATGGTGATTAAAATAATTTTAGTATTGATTGGGGAATTTTGGGATAATCTTTATAAAAATCAAAGTTACAAAAACCCTAATCCTCACCGAAATGTAATTTTACCAATGAAGACACTGGAAGTCAGGGAAGGGGAGGGATTCACCATGTTAGAAAGTGCGAAACTGGGTTTGCAGCCTCAGATTGGGGGACAGGACAGCTCTTTTCAAGACTGTCTAATGCCCCTCTGCCAGCCAGCCACCATTTGCCTTGAATGCTTGTTAGAGGAAAGGTATGAATAAGGTAATACAGTGTTAATATATAGATTAAACATTTTTAGAATTGCACTATAGCCCACAGTTTTCAACGTGTTTTTATTTCATGTATCTTATTTGTTCTTCCCCGCTAAGCCACTATATCCCTATTTTAGAAGAAAGTTCCTATCTTATAGGGAGCTCTGGAGGTGACTTGCCTGAGGCCACACTGACAGCAAAGGGCAGAGAGTAGACTCAGATCTCACACCACACTGGGTCCCTCTTCTCTCTCTGTTATATCAGACTATCCTTCCCCGTGACAAGCATTATGGAGACAATGACAAAAATTGGTCTGCTCCAAAGTCTTCCCTCCCTATGTCCACAACCCTTGCAACATAACTTTGCTGCTCTCCTGTTAAGTGGTAGAGCCTCTCTCCCCACATTGATTCCAGCTGGCCTTGGGACTTGCTTTGTCCGATAGAATGTGTTGGAAGTGAGGTTCTGGGGCTTCCGTGCTCAGACCTTAAAGAGGCCTTGCATCTTCCACTTTCCCTCTTGGATCCCAACCATCATGTACAGAAGTCCAGGCAATTCTGCTGGAGGGGGAGGCCACATGGAGAGAGAGGCTCTCCAGCTAACAGCCAGCACCATGGCCCAGGCGTGCGAGTGAGACCTTCTTAGATTCTCCAGCCCCAGCTTAGCTGCCTTGGCCAACACCATGTGCAACACAGATGAGCTGTTCCTGTTGAGCATTGCCCAAATTCCTAACCTTCAAGACGTTTATGCAATAAAATGGTTGCATTTTAAGCACGTTGGGGGTAGTTTGTTACACAGTAATTGATAACAGATACACACTGGTTTTAGTACCATGATACTGTAGAGTAACCAAGCTATATACTCTTCCTTCTAAAACTGGTCAGTTTATGTCTCTGTTTGCTAATTTTGTTCATATTATTAATATCCAAGGACCTAGGACAGACCAGATGAAAATGGAAACTGAGATACATTTAGGGAGGATGCTACTTTATTTTTGGATTATTCTCTTAACTCCATCCTAGCCCAAACCCTAGCCCTTGCCCTAAATCTAGCCATAGCCCTGACCACTACTCCTGCTGTGTCCTATCCAACCAAAGTCATTTTTCATGACTGGTTGAACTCAGGACAGACAGGCAAAAAAAACCAAACAAGATTATCTGGACGCTCATCTCTGGATGCTTTAGGGTATCTGGAATATGGGGTTGGAGGAAGGCCCAGGGTGAGGTAAGGGAGAGAGAAATGTCAGATTCACTACTTACTGTTAGCTGACTGTGTGTTCTCAGACAAGTTCATTACCACATTGAGCCCTGGATGCCTCATTTGGAAAATAAGCCAGTTGGAGTGTTCATTTTCAAGTTCATTTTAAAGTACAAGGTACAAGCTCTGGGAGATCTACCCCACCTTGTTCTAGAGCCTTGTGATTCTGAAAAGCTCCACCAAAGTTTTCAGACAAGTTCTTCCAGGCTAGTGGGGTACTATGGGTCTTGACAACTCCCTTGTGGCATCACCTTGAGAAAGGAAAGCATGTTCTAAGTTGATGAGGGACAGTTTTCAGGCAGGATTATTTGGAAAATGTTTATTCAGAAGAAATTGGAAGCTCCTCAAAAATGTAGATGGAAAAACTGCAGCCCAGCCCAGCCCAGCCTGGAGCACATCTATACATACTGAGCTGAAATATGCTCTTTCTCCCCTGCCAATCACACAGCCAAGTAGGAGGCCCCTTGTTTTCTTCCTCAAAGAGAAATTCCTGGACACAAGAACTGCTGCGTTATTTCAGAATGTCATCATTTCTCAGTTGTTTTGTCCTGGACTGTTTATCCAGTAATGGTGGGTTATTGCTGTCTCCCGTGGGGCCTGAAACAGCTTCCCGCTAAGGACCCCTGGGGCTGTTGCGAGGGACTGTCCTTGGCACATGCTGGGAAGGGAAATGAGGCCCTCAAAGGTCTTCCCTCCACAGCCCCTCTTTCTGTTTTATCCCGAGTTATGGCACACATTGTTACCTCTGCATAGGAGCTGGCAGCAGGAAAGTACCTCAAGCAATTATCCCAGCCAAACCCCTACTCACAAGCTGGGTGAGGCTGGAGCCATCAGAAAGCATCTTCTTTTAAAAAGAAGGCTTTGCAGCTTTTTGCGGGTGTTACCAAACCCAGTATGATTCTCATGCAATTATGGACATTTTTCTTTAGGTCTGATTCAAATCCACCTAGTTGCAAGGTAAGTCAGTGTCTATTGCCTCATGTTCAGGAATGATGGTGCAAAGTTGCCTCTCCTCCTCTTCCTGTGTTATCTACAGTGGCTACAAGAGACTCTTGGGTAGGAAGATGGGGGTCAGAAGTAGATTTCATTCTAGCTGATTTTATTTTTTTTATGTTTATTTTTGCCAGTGCTGTCCCATGTCTATGATCAATGTTACTTACACAGCTCTGGATTTGGGTGGGTCCTTTGAAAGAACAACTGGTGACTCAAATGGTTGTGGAGGCTTTCCCTGAGTGTACAGCTTAGCAGAGAGAGAGAGAGAGCTTCACAGATCCTGGTGTGTAGAGCAGGAGGTCACAGCTTTCTAGTAGCACTCAATGCTGTTTCCCAAACCACGTGTGCCCATCTGCAAATTTGGAAGATAAGCCCAATTCAGAGTTGAGGTAGATAGCAGTTGCACTCACGCTGCACCCCTACTGCCCACATCCTCTGGCAATATGACTCTATAGGAGATGTATGATAATGAGGCCTCTTTGCCAGTTACCAGCTTATTACTGCTCAGCTCCAAATCCACTGCTCGTGGCCTTGCTTGTCATATTGGAACATTTCTCCACTGCCAGCTGGCAGAGCATTGGAGGGACCCTGGGGGACCTTCTCCCTGGTTCTGATGTTCTGCTTTCGGCCTGCTCCCGAGGCGTGTAGTGGCCAGCAGTGCATGGACACCCACTGGTGCTTATCCCAGCTTGCCAGTGCAGGTGTGTGGTTCTCTGATCGGTAGCATCTCAGCAGGAGGGGAGGTTTCCCTCTTGTGCTTTGCTGCTCTGCTGCCTGCTGCCCCGTTCTGGCCAACAGCTTCCCTGCCATCCATGTGCTGCAGTCATGCCCTCTCCAAGGAGGTCTGAATCCCAGCCTAGGGGGCAGGGTCTCCCCTTCCAAGTTTGTTTCTTAGGTTCTTTCTCTCAGATCTGGGGTATTCTTTAGAGCTCTTTTTAAATTCCCTTTTCTTAGCTAATTTCCCATTAATAGTTCTTTGTAATCAACCTTTTCAGTTCACATTGCTGTGTGCTTTCTGTCTCCACATGGGCCCCTGACTGCTACACCCTTTTACCAAGGTCGTCTCATTTAATCCTAACAATATCCTTATGAGGTAGGTATTATCAGTAGCTTTATTTTACAGGTGAGTAAACTGAAGCTTAGGTGGCAGTCCTGAGCTGCCCATCCAAGTTCCTGACTTCAGAGAAAATGATGTGGAGACCAATATAGGTTCTTTCCCAGTTTCCCAAAGAAATTTCCAAAAATCCCTAAGCTAGTCACCTTCTTATTGGCTTCAGTTTCTTTATTTACAAAATTGGCATTTTTGTCCCCAGATAACTCCAAGGACCTTTGAGAAACCTTGGAGGAGAGCTGCAGATGGTATTTCTAAATCTGTTCATGAGACTGAGTGAAAAAAAACATTCTAAGCTGAGATACGAGGTCTTGCCAGGCTTATTGTGTCTTTCTTTGCTTTGCCCATTCCCGAGGGGTCTGAGCCTTCTGACTCTTCTCTGATGACCACCACATGTACCCAAATAGACATCCATGCCTTTGAAAGGGACTCTGGAATAAAAGCCTCAGGCTGTAATTTTGGAATCCTGTGTTTCCTGTCTTCTCTCCATCCAGACTCAAGTGACGTTGTAGGAGCTGCCGGATTGTCCTTTAATTAGGTGAGAGTTCCCTGGCTGCACCTCTGCCAGGGCAGGGTCTGCTGGATGGAGCTATCTCCAGCCCAGCTGGGGGAGTAGTAGTGTTTAGGACACATTGATGGTGCCTTGGGGCGAGTATGTTCCATGGCTTTTGGTTGGGAGAGAGCCCAAGCAAAAGAAAACCTGAAAAAGGCAAAGAATATTGGTTAAATCCATTCTTTTGATGATAAGAGATTGATTCTTTTCTCCCAAAAGAAATGGAGCTTCTTTTGGAAGAAACAAGAACAAGAGGTTTATTTTCTCTTGAGGGAGGCATTTGGAATTTCAGCATCTATGTTTTCTGCAGAGGAAGGGAAGTCCTTGAAATACTGTAGGGCTAAAGTCATGAAAATATTTTCACCATGCAGTGTGGAATTTGAAAATGTGCCGGGTTTGTCTTCTGATTGCACCGGAAGGAGCAGGCTTTCTCTCTTGCTGTGTGGTCTCTGGCAGCTGGGCTCCTGGGTGAGAAATAGGAGGCTGGTGCCTTAGGAGCCTCTGTGTGCCACACAGAGGCTTTCAGGGTGTTGACCTGGAGCAGACAAGAGGCTCAGCCTCAAATTCTTGCCCTGTCACATACTAATTGTGTGATTCCAGGCAAGTTATTTCATGTCTTTGGGTGCTGGCTTCCTCATGTATAACACGTGGCAATAATACCTGCCTTCAAAAGTTGTGAACATTAAGAGAGGTGACAGCTCGTGGGGTGGCACTTCGTGGCTATTCCACCAGCAATAGCAAAGAGTAAATAGCTTAGCTGAGGTGTGTCTTGAAGAATGGGGTCCAGTGTAGTGATTTGCCAGCAATGTTTCCCAATTAATAAAGAATGAAGGGTGGATGACTAATGAAACCATGTTATTTTCATCAACTTGGATGGAACTGGAGGTCATTAAGTGGAATAAGCCAGGTGCAAAAAGACCAACATCACATATTCTCACTAAAAAATCTGGTCACATGGAGGTTGAGAGTGGAAAGATAGAGAACAGATACTAGGAAGGGTGGGTGTGAGGGTTGGGGGAGGATGAAGAAAAGTGAGTTAAAGGGTGCAAACATACAGCTAGATAGAAGGAACAAATTAGATGTTTAATAACAGAGTAGGGTGACTACTATAGTTAAACAAAAATGTGTTGTACTTGGGAGATGGACACCCTAAATACCCTGACTTGATCACTGCACATTATAAACATGTAACAAAATTTCACATGTATCCCATACATTTGTATCAAAAAACTCTCAAAGAATAAAAATTCTAAAAATTAAAAAAAGACATGAAATGTTAGATTTAGCCATCAGCATGAAATGAAAAGCACAAACTTTATTCATATCACATTCAGTTCATATTCTGGCCCTACCGCTCATAATTCCTTATTAGATAGTAGCTACTATTTCTCCAAAACAAAACAAAACAAAACTTTTTACCACTATAGAAACACTAATTGTAAGAGATAGGCCAGATAATACTTAGATTTTCCGCTGCTCCGTCTACTGGGTACTATGTTGAGTGCTTGTTCATTTAACAAATGCATAAATATCTGTTAAACCTTCGCTACATTAATGTCTTACATAATTATTTTAATAATGATACTTTGCCTTTTTTAAAAAAAGTGCCTTTGAATCCTTACTATATGCCAAGCACTGTGTTAAAATTTTACCCTAATTACTTTTATTGTCTAATAACAATAACTACCCTTTATTGAGGGCCTATAGTCTTCTGGGAGTAGTGTCTGATTTACAAATACTGGTTTAGACCTCCAAAGGTATACTTAATGGTAGCTGTTTATTCAACATAGATATGTGTGGCCACTATGTCAAACTGTTTTCATACATTATAGTGGCATTGGACCACACCCACCAAGCACTTTCCTCTGTTTTCCAGTATCATCTGGTCACACTGAAAGACTTTCCAATGCTTGGAGTGCACCATGCTCTTCTAACCTCAGAGACTTTGCACTTGCACTTCCATCTACCCATGTGTTTGCTTGGCTGCTTCCTTCACACCATGAAGACCTCAGCCCAAGCGTCACTTTTCTAGTAAGCTCTCCTCTGACCACATCGACTCAAGTAACTACCAACCCCACCACCAAGTCAATTCTCTTTCCTGTCACCCTGCATTTAAATGTTATTTTTAGCCTGGTTTTTTAAAAGCAGATTTAATTTACAAAAAGCAAAGATTTTCACAGAATTTATCTGCAGTCCTGTTCCCAACATGTAAAGCTGAGAATATTCTGAAAAAAGGTTTCTGCAAAAATGTGACAAGCTCCAATCAATTTCCAGGGAATACCTTAAAAGAATGTAGTTATAATTCACTTTCTGTTGGAGTTAAGGTGGCGTCAAACAAATATAATTGAATGGTTTTTTTAGAACACTAACTGGACAGCCCAAGACTGGGCTCTTTCCCAGATTTTGCCCATCGGTGTCGTTGGCAATTGATTGTCCTAGTGCCTCAGCTTCTTCATCTGCACAATGTGAAGGTTGGGTTGATTGATCACCACGGGCCCTTCCAGAACAATCTTCTAAATATGCATATAGCCACCATTTATTAAGGTTTGATTATGTGCCAGATGCTTTGTTAAGTGCTGTCCGTATATTATCTGATTTAATTCTCACAGTGCTTCTAAGAGGTAGCTGGTTTTAACCTCATTTTATAGATTAAAAAAGTGACACTCAGAGGAAATGGACCTTGCCCACCAAGGTCAGTCACACAATTAATAGGACTAAAGAACTGATGGATTTAAGCCCGTATCTGGCTCAAGTAGTAAGCTCTTACTGTGTTGGAACATTGCCTATCTCTGAGTTTCTGGGAGTTGAAGGTTTATCTTCTAAGTAGGAGGTTAAGTTAGTGTCAGAAGAGAGAGAGCTCTCTAAGTAGAAATCATGGAATTATTTATAGCTTTTATGAGAACTAGAAGCTGAGGCAAAGCAATCAAGCTGAAACTTATGTCTATTCCTCCAAAATCCCATAAGGCATTTCTTGTGAATTTGGGTCACACTGTCTCTGAAATTCAAATTTAGTATTTTCATAGCAACTTTGCAAAGTTCACATTAATTAGCTAATTAAGCTCTGCACTACTGTCACGAAATCTTCACTTTCAAATCCTTTTTCTGGCCGTATTTGCAGTGTTTTTTTTCTTGGTCTTTTTCAAATAGACTACACACCTCCCTATAAAATAAACTATGTAATGTTCAGCTCTGTGTATTGGGGAGGTAGAGCCCACATGTTTACAGGTTATATGGATTCAGTGATGTATAATGTAGACATAGTTCAAATGTTTTTTGAGTGCTAATCTCTAAAATTAGATCAACACACACGCACACAGATGCACACACACATATTTCAGCTTTGTTCCTCAATTTCTAAAGACTTTATTGATTGGCCTAGTCTAGTATATTCCAGAAAAAAGTTTTTTTTATTTTTTGAGGACAAGAAATAGGTCTTTGATTCTACGTCTGTGCACTTAAACTACTCCTATGTATAGAGGAATGATTAGTTTGTATTTGTTGACTTTGCAATTGAAAGGATCTCAGAATTCACTTCAATGAATTTGGCCCAAACTTGCCTGAATATAAGAATACAAACATCTTCTCAGGGCCCAAGTCAGAACTTTGGACTCAATCTACAGAGGAGGAGCTTGACAATCTATACTTTTTAACGCAGCAAGTTATTTCTATCATTGTGTAGATTTGGGAAACATCTCCATGCGTACAAAGGGGTAGAAGTTTCTTCTACAGCATCATAAGTTATGTTTTTTGGTTTTAGCTCTCAGGTTTGAAGACACAGAGACACACTCATTTTTGTCCATGGAAAGGTGGATTTATTATAAGGACATAAAGCATTCTTTGGGGAATCCAAGAGTAGGCAGTGGAGCACAGCCTGGCCCCATGGACTAGAACAGAGGGTCTGTGGTCTTTCGTTCATGACGTCCCTGCTTTTCCCTGTCCACCAAGTTCATATTCCTCTATCTACTGGTCAGGCTTCCCATGCCTTCAGCTTGTCCATAGTCCATAATAGCCCTCCGGCCCCGAGTCACCTCGCCCTCAGTTCCTTCTCCAGAGCCCACCGATTCAGAATTTCCATTGCCTGATTCAGTATTTCTGAGTGATCACTCATCAGCTCAGCCTTCTGAGCCAGATCACCAGAAACATCATTACTGGCAACCTGTGGATACATTTAGAAACAATAGTGCAGACATGACTGGGGAAAGAGCATAATAATTTTACTATTTAATTATAAGGATATTGGAACTATATCTCCAGGTTGTAGTTAACATTTGTTAAGCCCCAAGATTAACATTTTGGACTGTTGGTGAGGTGTTTGAAACTGTGTTTGCACTATGGCTTACTCAACAGTGGACAAACATGTTAGTTGTAACAGTAGAGGTATACAAATGACTAAACAGCAGCAATAAAATTTTTTTTTAAAGAGAAAACTTTGAATGACAACAAGGTGTTGCATAGTCAGAGTTCCCAGAATTTTCCATTCTATTTTGACTTTCGCTTAGAGAGTTTAAGTGGCCCTTCCAGGATGCACTTGGCAGCTTTGGGAAAGGATTAGAAACAGAGGCGATGGTCAAGGCGGGACCTGCTTTTTGTAATCTTCTGCTTCAGTTAGGGTGGATCATGTGGTTTTTCAGTTCCTAGAGACCACATTAGCAGTTAGGAACCAAGCCAGTTTATCTTTTTTGGTCCCTATTTTTGAATCTAGGTGAGCAGCTGACTCAAGGAAGAACAGAGTGTGACCTGACTCCATTTAAATTACGCAGCTTTTATTATGGGACTTGAACACACAGGATATGGCTTTCCCTGACTCTCTCATTGAGCGAAAGTTTAGATCAAAATAAAATTCCCTCTGTCTGATTTCAGATTAACTGTTGTTCTGGGAAATGTCACAGAAGCAGAGGCAATGTTATTTCACTAAAAATAGTTGTGTCAGAAACTAAGAGTCATATCAAAAACTTCTAGAGGTTTTAGGTCCAAAAGCCCACATGATGTCTGGTGACAAGTTTATTTGAGGCCCGCATGATAAAAATTTAGAGGTAGAAACAAATGGCTCTATAATCTAGTTCACATGTGAATTGCCCTTTGCTTTTCCACCCCGTTCTTTTTGCCTGTCATCCTCTTGGCTGTAGGCAGGAAAGGCTGACGAGAAGGCTCAACAGAGTCTGATTTTCTTCTAGTTGAAAATGTTGATGGATGTTGAAGTTCAAGCCTGCTATACTGGGTTTTTGGATTACTGAGGTTGAGTTTTAAATTATACAGGTCTGTTTTTATGTGTGAGCGTAATATCCACTGTGGCATATTTGTGAAGCTCGCTCGTTGCTTTATTATTGTCAGGGCTACACAACAAGCACAGAGCCAAGCTGTGTGTCTCTATTTAGAGCGTATGTGTCCACAGGGCAAAAGCGATCATACACAAAACAAAAGAGTATAACTAAGCACTGGACTAAGGACCATGGATATTTAAAGAAGGAAAATTCCGTAATGGGTGAATTTTAAAAATAATTTTGTTTTATAAAGCTTCCTGGGGGAGGCGGGTGATGACGCTATAAAGGAGTTTAACATTCTATTGTTTCTTTTCTATTACTTATTTTTGGAAATCCATTTCCAACCAGATTAGAAAATGTTTTAAATTTACATGCATATTTACATAAATATTCATTCAATTTACATACTTTACATTAAATTTAAATACATTACTTTAATTGCTTTTGCTTGTTAAGAAATGTTTTTCTTTTTTTAAAAGAAACTTTTTCTCTACCAAGGTTTTCAAAATATAAAGCATGAGGAAAGGATCAAAGTTTTTCTTGGGAGATGGGCTAATTGTTGCAGCACTAGATATAAGACTCTTGAGGGCAAGAAATGGGCCTGTCGTGCTCTCTGTTGTGTCCTGGTGTCCAGCATAGTGTATCTTGTCCATTGGATGCTTGCTGAATACTTGACTGAATGAATCATGTTCCTGGACAATGATTTGGTGAGGTGGAGGACAGTTTGAACAAAGGCATTGAGATGGTAACAGCCTGATTGGAATAGACTAGGATGATAGGGATTGGTTGAAATACCATTGTATAGCCAGAGAAAGGTTAGGCCATAGAGGGTTTTGAAAGGGTGTATGTTTGACAAGACAGAGAAAAGGGAGATCGATCAAGTTTCATAAACAGGAAAATAATGATGAATGCTTTTAGAAAAACATATCTTGCAAAGTTAGGAAAACATATCTTGCAAAATTAGTTGGAAGGGACAAAGATGCCAGTTTCTTCTTTTGTGAGTTAGTGAGGCATAGATCTAAGTTGAAATAGACCTAAAAATCGCTGATGGGACAGATGCTAAGACTTGGTGACAGGATAGAAATAAAAGGCTGAAGGAGAAGTAGGAGTAAAAAGTAGGAGACTAAAAGAGTGGAGCTGGTATGGCAGGGAAGGGAGCCACTTGGAAGGAAGCCCATTTGGATGGGTGGAAGTCTGACAAAGGAAGGTACCTGGCTTAGTTCATGCTTGAAGCAATGGGAAGACATCCACCTATAGGTGTTTGGATTTATGCAAATCCTCTTGGGAGAGGTGAGAGGTCATTGTCAGGTTTATAGATCCAAGGAAGCATTAACAAGGTGATGCCAGATCAAGTCATGTAAGGGTGGAGAAAGATGCACAGAAGGCAGGAATCCTTGGGGCCAAAATGAGGGCAGTAGTTGGTCACCTGGATGAACTTTACCTAATGAATCCCCTAAGATTAGAAGGCATTTCTTATTCATCTTTGCACTCCCAGCAGGAAGTACCATGACTATTTTACAGTAGGAATATTCAGGAAAATAATGTAATTTCTGCCTACCAACCTGAGGAACTCGAGGACAAATGTCTGCAGTTCTCCTTGGGATTGTGATATTAGAGCAGCGGACACAATTTTCCTTTTAGCTACCTTGATGTTTAATTTGACCTCTTTTTCCCTCTATGCCACTTTTTCTTGTTATATAAAAAAGAAAAAGCACGGTGTCAGCACATCTCTGATGTGTAGTGTGTTCTGGGTGTAAAAGAACAACTCAAACCCCAGCATTCTTTTTTCTTAAACAATAAAAAGAAACAAACTCAACAGCGAACTTACGTATTTGTGGTATGCTTGGTATTATGTGGGCCTCAGTCCTGTCCTAGACAGTGTATAATCAAAGTGACAATAGGTTCCATAAAAGCCAGCTCCGACTCTGTTCCACAGGCAGCATCATTCTCTCTGTGAGTTAGCATCCTTCTTCCATCATGGACAACAGTATTTCTTTAAACAAATCAGCCTTCTAATTCGTGGTTTTTAGGAGTGGTGATTTCATATATGCAGGTATAAGTAACAATAGCCAAAGACTCTACAATAGCATTCTCCAATAGACTAGATTACAGTGACCTTCAAAAATCAAGAGATAGTTTTAAACATTTTGGAATTTCTATAAACACTTACTTTATGAACTCTCTATACATCCTGTCAAATAGATGTTGGCAATGGCTTTGTTTGTGGAATTCCTAAAGTCTAGGAGCTGCCAGATATTTCCTTTGCTTTTTCCTTCTTCCTTCTTCCTTACTAGGCTTTGAGGGGAGCCTGTGAGTGTGTGTTTTGTACAACAGCCATCTCGGGTGGATGTGAAGTTTTAAATGGCCCCTTTCTTTGCAGGTAGGTTGGCAGACAGAATACTGCTGGCAAAATGGATGATTTCAGATTTAGCCTAGGGCAGAAAAGCCCACTTTGAATTGCTTATTCATTCTTCCTTCAAGGGCTAGTGTCTTAACACTCTACTCAGCACCCAGTGAGTTGGGAAGATTTTATTTGCTGCTTCCAGAAGAGACTTTTTTGTGAAAAGTAAAAATGAAGAAGTTTGTTTATTCTTTCTCTTTTATCTTCTACTTTTTTTTTTCTTTGACAGAGCATAATTCAGAGCTCAAAGCCCTTTGACTTTCTCAGGCTTGGCCTCTCTCCATAGGGCCTGCTCGTCCTATCTGTCTCTGTATTTATATTACTGTGGACACCCTGGCTTCTTTCTCCAAAACAACATGTGATGCTTTTAGTTTGGACTTGGCTGCTGGCTCCTGGAGGACTCAAAGACTTAGAGGCTGTATTAAGAGATGTGTTAGGGTGCTGAAAGGGAACTTCTCTCTCTTTTCTCCTTTATCCATGGCCAAATGAGCAAGATGAGTATCACTGGAGGACCTACATGATTACATGATGCATAGTTGTAGTATCCCTAAATTGGGGCCTGGTTACAGAATTTGTAGTACCTGATGAGTTGGATGCATCTGGGAAACCAAGCTGTCTTTACAAATTCCAGTTCGAAGAATAAACTCTGTGTGTGTGTGTGTGTGTGTGTGTGTGTGTGTGTGGTGGGGGGTGGGTGGGGATAGTAGAAGCTTCCTTCAGGTTGTTGTTCATTCATTCATCCACTGTAAGTTTACTGACTACCCACAATTGGCCTGCCAGTCGGGATTCAGAATTGACGCATGATTCCATTTGTAATATTGCACAGTAGGCAAGGGGTTAAGTAAAGACCTTAGAACTTGGAGTCAGAAGGCCAGGGTTTGAGTCTTGGCTCTGTCATCTGTTGAGCTGGGAAAATCAGAATAAGTGCAATAGGCAGAGTCACAGAGGAAGGACTGGTTAATTTGGCCTGGGATGGTCAGGGAAAGCATTAGAGGGGTGAGAACATTTTAGCTAGTTCTCAAAGAATGATTGGGAGTTTGTCAGGTGAGTGAGGTGAGATAGGGGATGTGATGTATTCTAGATAAATTGAATAGTAACAAAAATCATATATAATGAAAATGTACAACATCTTCAGGGGGTAGTGAGTTACCTGGGAAGGCCAGAGCTCCAGTGTATGGGAAAACTGTTCAGGATATTGTTGAAATCAGGTTGTGAAGGCCCTTGAATACTTTTTGAAGGGGTTTGGACTTCAATCTGCTGCCAGAGGTGCTCCAACTTCAGTTTTTAATCAGATGGGTCAAAAAGTCAGATTCATATTTTACATGCTGCTGGCAGCAGCTCTGAGATGACTTGGAGGGAGTGGGCCCAGAAGGGAGAGAGGAAGACAGAGGATTTTTTCCTAGTGCAGGTGTGAGATGAGACACTATTGTTTTTCCTGTCTATTTTAATAAAGAGTCATTCATACTTCTGCTGCAGGGCAAGTTTAGTGAGCATGCATGGACAGGTAGGAGTAAGAGACTGTCCTAGATGGTAGGTGACAACTGGCTGGTTATCTGGCTGTGTCATGGGTACCTGAGAAGTTCCAGGGGAGCAGGCTGGAGAGGCACCCCTGGGGGTTTCTGGTACAAGGTTTCAAAGGCCTCAGTGATGAGGGCCCAGACATCTTTCTAAGGCCGGGATGCCGGCCCCTTGGGGGAGTCCCTTGATCCAGATAGCATGACAGAGCACTCAGTTTTCTGTGTGTGTGGGCCTTTGAACCTCTTCAAAGTCAAGAGGATTTTCTCTCTGCCACAGACAGAATATTAGTCCTCATTTATGTGCTTTTGTCATTAGAATACACGAAGTATCTATTCTTGTAAAAACCTCAGTTGCACTTGGCTGGAAGCCACTGTTGTTACATTTGTTGGACACAGCTGGTACTCTATCAAGCCTGAAGAATAAAACTAGTGATAATCATGATTCCAATCAGAGTTAATTGATGGAGAAATAATATTATTCTATGTAACATTAAAGGAAAAGACCACTGGTCTGGCCATGTGATATGGTAGTGAAGTGGGTATTTGTTGTAGGGTTATGTAGAGGTTGAATGGTGTCACTAGGGAGAGTGAAAGGTCTCTTGTGGTAACTAGATGGGAAAAGGAACAAAGCCAATATGAACCCCCACAAATTTATGACTTTGTATTTACATGAGAACAAAAAAGACTAAGTAGAAGGAATACGGGGCCAACTGGAAATGCTCCTGTCCTACAGTTGTTATTGACTTGAGTGAGTCACCCAAGCTTTTGTGCTTGAGATATCACATCTGCCATTTAAGGGGAATAGTTTCTATTACTTCTCTACTGAAAAAAATACATGAAGTGTCATTCCAATGCTTTCAGTGGTAAGGATTAGAAATACTATCAAAAATAGGCATCCATGCCAATCCAGCCAGTGAGAGAGCACTGTTAACTTCTGTAAGTAAGAATAGTCTTGATCTGTGAAGTGGGATTAGTACTTACCTTTCTGGATTGTCATGAAGGTAAAGTGTGATGAGATTCGCAAAGTGACCAGCACACCTGGCATCTATCTATATCTGTAGCAGTATATCTAATGTGTGTGTGTACACACACAAGTATAATAGTTGGATGCTTTTATTCCCACTCCAATTACATGCTTTCTTCAGTGAGCCCAGTTCCAATTCATATGCGGGTACTTGCTGTTTTCATACCCACATGTTAACACTGACATTGACCTGTTCTCTTTGAATTGCAAGAACTGGAACCAGGTAGGAATGTCATGGGCTGAGTAGAAAGCTATACGAGTTACAATGGAAATTACTTTGAGCTTACACGTCCTATAATCCCAGATTAACCATATCTTCCAATTTGGAGAGTAATTCCAATATAAATCACTGTTATGGAGTGCTAGGTTGTGGATTACTACCCTTTTGGAATTAAACCTAAAGGCAGGAATTCTTTAGGTTATCTCTGGAAACTAACTTCCCATTATAAGGCCTAGACTCTCTACTCAGGGCTTGCCAGTCAATGGTTCCCCTTGCCTACAGGTTAAAGTCCAAAGTCCTTGGCATGACATATAAGGCTATACATGGCAAGATCCCAGCTTTCCTGCCACCCTCAGCTATCATTAATTTTATCTTCACATCCAGTACTGCAGCCATATCAGACCACTTACAATTTCTCAAACGTCTTAGGTAATTTTAATCTCTGCAGATGCTTGGAATGTTCTCCCACCCTCTACTGGCCTTACCTTCCTACCCAATCTACCTCATATGTTACCACATCAGAGCATGAGTCCACCTCATCTGAATGGTAACTCTCTCTCTTATGCCTCCAGTATAGCTTGTACATACGTCCTTCATAGCAGTTACCTCACTGATTTTAATCATTTGCATATTTATTTTTCTCTGAGTTATGAGCTCTTGGAGGACAGAGACCATATCTGTAGAAATTGGCTTCATATCACCTGATTATTCTTTTAGAATTAAGTGTCATGAAATAAAAGCTTTCTTTGTATCTTACTGTATTGCCCACCCCTTTCCTATTTTCTTGGCACCAGAAAACTCAGAACAAAATTTAACTGTAGCGTACAGGAATTGATGATACATATCTTGACATTGCAGTCTTTCTAGACCTTTTTTGTCTCAATTTTATATTATCTATGAATATTTCCAACTTTTATTGTATATATTCAGGTAGTCATCTTCAAGTCATTTGAAGAGTGACTTGTAGATTACACTAAAAATGTCATCTGATCTTTCAAGTTTCCTTGAACCTTTTCAAGGTACGGAGCATCTGGCACTCTGCCCTGGTTTCTTTGTGATTTTGATTTGCATTTCCCTGATAGCTATTGATATTGACATTTTTCACGTGCTTATTGGTTGGCCATTCATATGTCTTCTTTGGAGAAATTTCTATTTAAATCATTTGCTCATGGAAAAAAATGGGCTGTTTGTCTTTATTGAGTTGTAAGAGTTCTGTATATATTTTGGGTGTAAGTATCTTACTAAATATGCAATTTTCAAAATTTTTCTCTCAGTCTGTAGGGTTATCTTTTTACTTTCTTAAAAATATCCCTTGAAGCAGAAAAGTTTTTGATTTTGATGAAGTCCAACCTAGCCATCTTTTATCACCTGTGCTTTAGGTGTCTAATTTGAAGAGTCATTCCCTAATCCGAGATCATGAAGATTGAATTTTGTAGTTGTTTTGAAAAGAGTTTTGTAATTTAGCTCTTACATTTAGATCTATAATACACTTTGAGTTAATTTGTGTCTATTGTGAAGTCAGGGTGCAAATTCATTCTTTTGCATGTGATATTCAGTTGTCCAGCACTATTTGTTAAAGATTATTCTTTGCCCACTGAATTGTCTTGCCTATTTACTGAAAATCGATTGAACATAAATGTGAGGATTTACTGGACTCTTAATTCTATTCTGTTGATTAATATGTTTATCCCTATACCAGTACCACACCATTATGATTACTGTCGCTTTGTAGTATGTTCTGGAATTGGGAAGTGTGAATCCATCAACTTTGTTATTCTTTTTCAAGATTGTTATAGTGATTCTGGATCCCTTGCATTTTTATATACATGTTAGGGTCACCTTGTGAATTTCTGTAAAAACACCAGAAGAGTTTTGTTAAGAATTGCATTAAGTTTGTACATTAATATGGGAAGTATTGCCATCTTAACGATATTAAATCCTCCAATTCATAAGCATGGTGTATCTTTCCATTTATTTTAATCTTCAGTATCACTCAACAGTGTTTTGTAGTTTTTAGCATATACATTTTATACTTAAATTGTTAAATCTATTCCTAAAAATTTTATTCCTTTTGATGTTATTTATAAATAGAATTTTCTTAATTTTATTTTGGTTTTTCATTGTTAATATATAGAAATGCAATCGATTTTTCTATACTGATCTTGTATCCAGCAAACTTGCTGAACCCATTTATTAGTTCTAATAGCTTTTTTTTTTGTTTTTTGTCGATACCTTGGGATTTTCTACATAGGAGATTTTCACATCTGAGAGTGAAAGAAGACCATTTGATTCTTTACAATTTAGTATGATGTTAGCTGTAAGTTTCTGGTAGTTTGAGGAAGTTAATTTTTGTTCCTGGTTTAAGCGTTTTCTTCTTTTTTTGTTTAATCATGAGTGTTGGAGTTTATCCATTATTTTATGCATCTATTGAAGTAATTGTGATTTTTTTCTTTATTGTTGTGGCATATTATATAAATTGATTTTCAGATGTTAAACCAATCTTGAATTCTTGGAAGAAATCTTTCTTAGTTGTGGTACAATTTTTTATTTGTTTCAGGATTCATCTTGGAGTTTTGCATCTATATTCATAAAGGATAGGGATGCATAAAGGTGTGCAGTTCTCTTTTTCTCATGCCTTTGTCTGGCATTGGTATCAGGGTAATAGTGAACTCATAGAATGAGTTCCCCTTTCTTCTATTTTCTAAAAGAGTTTATAAACAATTGGTATTAATTCTTCTTTAAATATTTGGGAGAATTTACCAGTGGAAGCCATCTAGGCCTGAATCTTTCTTTGTGGGAAGTTTTTATTTACTAATTCAATCTTTTTACCTGTTATAGGTCTATTTAGATTTTCTATTTCTTGAGTTAGTTTCAATAATTTGTGTCTTTCTAGGGATTTGTCCATATCATATAGTTTATTTAATTTGTTAGCAATAGAGGTTTTTTTTTTTTACGTTTTATCCCCCTTGAATTCTTTTTATCTGTAAAGTTAGTAGTCAAGTTTCTTCTTTCTTGCCTGATGTGAGTAATTTGAGTCCTCCTTCTTTTTTGCTAAAGTTTCGCTAAAGATTTGTCAATTTTGTTCAAGAACCAACTGTTGCTTTATGTATTTTATTTTTTATTTCATTTATTTCTACTGAAATTTTATTATTTTCTCCTTTTTGCTTGCTTTCAGTTTCATTTGTTCTTTTATAGTTTCATAAATTGAAAGGTTAGATTATTAGAGATATTTTTTAAAGAAATAAGCATTTATTGCTATAAATTTAGCTCTAATGCTGCTTTAACTTCCTCCCATGGTTTTTTTTGTATGCTGTATTTTTATTTTCATTCATCTCAAGTATCTTCTAATTTTCCTTGTGATATTTTTTTCCCTTGACCTATTGGTTATTTATGAACGTGTTGCTTAATTTCCACATATTTGTGTATTCCCCACATTTCTTTTAGTTATTGATTTCTAAATCTGTGGGCATAGAGCCTAATTTACATGATTTCAGTCTTTTATTATCTATTGTGGCTTATTTTATGGCCTAGCACATCATATATTTCTGTGGAATGTTCCGTATGCACTTCAGAAGAATGTATTTTCTGCTGTTGTTGGGTGGAGTTTTCTATAGATGTGTGTTGATTCTACTTGGTTTACAATGTTTTTCAAGTCTCTGTATCCCAGTTGGTTTTCTGCCCAGTTTTTCTCTTTATTGTTGGAAGTGAGGTATTCCAGTCCTCAACTATTATTGTTGAATTGTCTATCTTTCCCTTCAATTTTGTCAGTTGTTGCTTTACGTATTTTGGGATTTTGTTATTAGGTACATACATACTTGTTATTCTTGTTACATCTTCCTT
This sequence comes from Homo sapiens, assembly GCF_000001405.40. Lineage (NCBI taxonomy): Eukaryota > Metazoa > Chordata > Mammalia > Primates > Hominidae > Homo > Homo sapiens. Next base: position 39,482,408 of record NC_000015.10, on the reverse strand, counting down.
ATTGAATAAATTGTCATCACTTAAAATGTCCCTCTTCATCTCTAATAAGTTTTTGTCTTACAGACTATTTTATCTAGTATTAGTATAGCTGCCCCAACTCTGTATGATTGCTGTTTTCATGGTATATCTTTTTCTATCCTTTTACTTTTCTTTTAAAATAATTTTAAAAATTAATTTACATACACTAAAATGCAGAGATTTTAAGTGCTCAGTTCAATGACTGTTGACAATTATACACAGCTATGTATCCACCCCCAAACAAGATATAAACCATATATAATATTTCATACAGTTTTCTCATGCCCCTTTCCAGTCAATCCCCATCTCCTTCCTGTAACAGGCAAGTGCTTTCTGATCATAATGATCTTTTTAAAATCATAGTATATTCATTTGTCTGTTCTAGGTTTTATGGTAATGAAACCAAACAGGAGGTATTCTTTTGTGTCTGGCTGCTTTCTTTCCATATTATGTTTTTAAGATTCATTTATATTGTTGCATTTACTTTTTATTGCTGAGTAATAGCAAATGAATATAACCTAGTGCAGTCCAAGGTCAGCCCTCTTCAGAAGGACTCTGCAAAGGTTCACTCCACTTTCCAGATGATAAAATTGAGAAACCTTCAGGAGCATTAATTCTTTTGTTACTGCCTCTGAATTAACATGTGAGAGAAGCTCTCAGAGCTTGGAGGAGGATGACTACATGATGAGTTTGGAGCCAAACCCTCTGCTCCTTACCTCACGTATCTTCCTAGTCATATACCTAATATCTGGTTTAGTGTAAAAAATGAAGAATTAAGAGGCAGAAAATACACTACCCTGTTCTACTTCCATCACTAGTTCAACATATGTCATCCACTTTCTGGATTTTTTTCTCCTTTGAGTAATGAAGAGCTTGATTTGGTCATCTCTAGGATGCCTTTCATCTCTGATATACTATTTAGTTGTTGGTCAATGACATCTAAGTATGAATTCGTTTATGAAACACAAAAGCAATTTTAACTATGCTTCTCTGCAATGGTAACCATTCTCCCAAGAGAAAGGCAACAAAAAGTGAAGTGATTCAGGAATCCTAATTTTGCCCACCCCACAGTTACACACAGCACTTGGCCTCACTTATTAAGGAAAACAGAAAACAAAAAACAAAAAGTCTCCCCATTAGCAGGGCAGGAAGGATACAGTCCCTTAGGAAACCAAGAAACCAAATGACCTGACAAATGAATTAAGATTGTCAATGTCTGCTGCACCTTTTAGGTTTGGAAGTTACAAAGTAAAGAGTTTAGACTAAACTAGAAGAGGATCAAATTTAAGGATACATGTATGTAAAAGTAGCATGGAAAGCACCAGATATGACTGGCTGTGATACAAGTTCTGGTCTGCACTTCCACGTACAAGATGTCCATGCTTGCCTTGATCTCTTATTCCCTTTTGAGCCATAGTTTCATCTGTGCAAAAAGAGAAGGGTTGCAGGATTTTGTACATTTTGCAATTCCTATATCCACCTTGTAACCACTATGCAATTTTTATTAACAGAAACATAGAATTGTTTAATAAGTATAAGGTCTATTTAAAATTTTGTAAGTACTTCCTCTATTTTTCTTATTTTTTAGAGTTATTATGTTAATGGAAGTAAAATACTGTATTCAAACAACTTAAATAATTAACTTGCCCAAATCTCTACCTCTAGAAATAAGGGAATAGGGTAATTCAGATGAACTAAGAAAACAAAGCAAAGCAAACCAAAGGAAAAAAATGAGAAGAAAAGCAAGGATGTCTTGAGGGGCATATTGGCTTAGGTTTTGAGGATGACAGTAGTTAGAATTGGCCAAATAACTGTGCATTAATCAATAGTATATATGTTACGCCAATAGTTTGGAAGCATACATTGCTCTCAAATTACATACTGATTCAGGTTCTGTTGTTCAGTAGCATTTTCATCAAATATCTTATACATGGTCTCTCTTTGAACAAACACTTCAACAAATATTTTTCATTTCTATCAAGCAAACAATGGCTTTTGGATTTCTATTACCTTTGAAAATATTTGGAAATGATTTATTCTTTCTTGGATAAAGTATAGACTGAAAAAGAAAAGAGAGGATTTGAACAAGGTGATGTGTAAGGTAGACCCTCTTTCAGTTCTAACATTTGGCTTTTATGATCATAATGTGCAAACCTGCCAGAATCTGCAAGGCGAACAAAGAGGTGCAGTGACCAATCCAAGAGCAGCCTCTAGAAAAGCAGCTGCAATGTCCAACAACACAGACCCAGTTGAAACCATCATGGGTGATTCATGCAATTGACTACGTAATAGGATGGCAAAGTGGTCATGACACATTGCTAACTGAAAAAGCAGACCACAAAACATCACAGTGTGGCCTAATTTTAACAATGTACATGCATGTGTTACATGCACACATGCATGCACACACACACAATTCTGAAATAATAGACACCAAAATCTCATGATGTCCAAATGGGGTGTTAGCAGCATATCTTCATTTTTTATGTATATATATATTAACATTAAATGTGCATATCTTAAGTGATAAGAAAAATAAAGATTATTTTTTAATACGAGAAGAAGCAGCAAGGAAAAGTTTTGGGTTAATGGCTTTAGTGTTCACATGGGCTTGAGTACCAAATTGGAACTGAGAGGTAAGAAAAGGTTTTAATATATTCAAAGTGCTTAGAGAGTGGAAGGGGTGTGGGAATGGACTGCCCGTGTGTGCCATCTGTTTTAAATAGCAGGCCTCGGCAAGAACCTGAGAGAAGGGCTTCTTCCCTCCAGCCTGGTGCAGAAATGGTCTCTGAGCTAAGGGCCATTGATTAAAGGGGATTCCAGGGCTCTTCATCTCCCTGCCTACTGGGCAATACTACACTGGCTCCATCATGGGGATCTCACTGTCTTACCAAGAAGGAAGAGCATTGCTTGAATGGAAGCATGTCCCAGACACTTTATCACTGGTGAAGAGCCGAGCTCATTGTCTAAACTTGGCTCCTCATTTTAAAAAGTAAAAAAACGAGTTATCAAAATGATTAGTTATTCTTGAGTCTCACAGCTAGTTAATGGCAGAGCTGAGATTAGAATCCAGGTCTCCTTATTCTCTGGGCAGTGACTTTCTTCCACATCCATCTTTCTTCCTTACTTTCACATCTGGTGCCTTACAGATCCTCAGCACAGCCAAGAACTATACCTGGGAGTGGAAACCAAAACTGAAAGTTAAGGCTGTGTTTTAGAAAGCTCCTAAGAACAAATATTTATATGACTATGTATAGTAGCAGAAATGATAAAAAATACACAGTGAACTTTCTCATTATAGAGTCTTATTATAAGTTTTTTTTTTTTTTAAACTCTTAATGGTTCCCTTACATAGACCATCGTGAGTAAACAGCCATCAACACACGGGGAGAGTTTGCTTGATAAGAATTCTTGTGAAAAATGGCCATTATCCCAACATCTGTTAGCCTTGCAAATAAGCTAGTAAACATTAATGTTTTCCTGGGCTATAGATATAGACCAAGTGGTATTGTCCTGATCATGAGAGAAAATGGCCCCATTGTACTCTGCACTGTAAGACCATATCCAGAATCATGTCCCCAGCCATAGGCATCACATAAGACAGATACTGAGAACTTAGCCTCCAGAGGGTGCAAACCAAGAGGCTAATGCATCACATATCTGTAGTCTCTACACTGAACAGTGGGAGTTTGGTGGGAATGCAGTGCGTGAGTTCAGGTAGTGGAAGCAAGAAGAGTAGAAAGGAAAAGAGAAGGCAGGATGATGGCAAATGGATGAAACTTTCAGAGAGGGAGATTTGACTCAACCTAAGGAGGGCGTTCCTGTTAACTGGTGGTGCTCAGCCATCTATCATAGAAGGACTTGGAAAGACTTAGATGACTTTGGTCAAAGATACTGAAGAGCGACTTCTGGTACTGGGAGGTGAGGACTTGAACTACATCACCTTTACTCTCCCTGCCAACCATGAGAGATTATAACTCTTAACTGAGGTTGTGGGCTGAGAAGGGATTTCTAAGACAAGGTCAGAAACACTGGACCTTAGGGCCAGGAGAAAGGAAAACACTGCAGTTTGGGTTAATGAGAATGGTGGGAGAACACCAAGAGGAAAGGGTCTCGACTTCTCAGTGACCTGGTTGCTTTGTGTGGATTTCTTCTCTTGTTCCTTGTTAACAAGTTAATTCCTGCATGCCTAGGTTATTTACCTTTTCACAAAAGAGGGAAAATACAATGCAGTCCAACAAACGAAGCACAATCTGAAAATATAACAGCTTATTGTAGCTGCCTGATAAACCACTATTTTGCCTGCTATATATATATATTCCACCTTTTAAACTCTAGGAGGATTTTTGATCAGTGCCTGGCTATTCTGTAATCCGTTATCAAGTACGTAATACATAACTGAGAAGACTTGGTCAATACAAACCCATTAGGATAGAAGTGGGAGGAGTAGATGGATTTGCAGGGGAGGGTTTTGCAGCATCCTCAAACTTCTCTCGGAGCTGGTAGGCTCCAAAGAGATTGAGACTTCGAGGACAGTTGGCCATTCTCAAATTAAACATAGTACCCACATTCATGTGTGGAAATGTTCAATATTTCTTAGGCTTTGAACTTGATAACGTAGTGGACTATCAGCCCTAGAGAATAGGGAAGAAAAGGAAGGTGTATCAAATCCTTATCAGATGTAAATTCCAACTTGTATATAAAAAATTGCCCCATTGGTTGAGTGGAAAAGTGAGTAGAAATATGATTTCCAAACCCTATTGCTGTTGGAATTCTCTAGGGTTGATTTAATCAGGAATATCTCTGTCCTCAGGGAGCTATGTCAGTTCTCAGTTTAGATGACTGTTATGCAAACATGTTTACCATCCTGAAGACAACCATACAGTTATCACAAAACTCAGTGAAACAGATATTTAAATCACATGGCAGAAATGGTGCTAGTGAAACAAAAATGTCTGCTCAGGAAAAAAAAAAAATCAACCCCCAAAGTTATCGGTAACAGAATAAGAGGACTCAGGGCTCAGGAAACCATGGGTACAGAGGCTTTGGATCTTTTAATATTGCCTGGGCCTCTGGATTTGACTGGGGTTTAAATAAAGCATGTAATGGGAAGAAGACAAAAATCATATGATGCAATAGAGCTAGTGGCATGTCTACAAGTCCTACTAGTTTATTTTTGGTGAACTGGTAGAAGTTTAGAATCTATTTATGGGACTTAGTTATTACCCAGGAGAAATGGACATTTTTGCAGCAGGAACAACATAAATATCTATGGGTTTAGTAAGTCACAAATTTTCTTGCTGAAGGCTGGTTTTAGAGCTTCCCCGCTGGGACCTCTGTCCAGGCTAGTTAACCATTACAGGGAAATATACAACTTCCTGAGGTCCCTAAAGGTCCCTTTTGTCACTCTCTTACCCTAACCACCAGTATTTTGGGATAGGAAAGGGAGTTATGATGATAATGATAATTATTGATGATTGCAATAATAAGAATAGCTTTCATTTTGAGGGCTTACTATGTGTCAAGGACTGTTTAAAAAATTTGTAAAATTAAGAGCACTCAGCAGTTATTTTTGAGTTCATATTTTATGATCGTGGAAGCTACTGGTGGCTCATCTTTCCATTACAAGCTTTAATCAGTTTGTTATTTTCACACATGTTGCTGACAGCTTCATAAGTTTCCATGTATAAGCCCAAGCAAGACTCCACTATTTGTTCTACCTGAACATTTCCTTGCCCGTTTATGCAGCGAATACCCTTTCAAGAAACAAGACCTGGCCAGTTTCTTCAAGGTCTTGGTCCCAGCGTACACTGCTCAGGAATTAAGGCCCCCAGGCAATGCCAGCCTCCTAAAGAGGAGAGGCAGAGGGTCTTTGCATTGCTTCAAAGGAAGCCCGTAGACATTGCTGGAGACCAGGCTGTCTTAGATGTAGGTGTGTGTTGTGGGTGGGAAAGGGGGGATAGAGCTTTTCTAGCACAGCTAGCTCTTTGTCGCCTGTTAAGTGGCTCCTCTGCACCCCAACGAGTAAATCGGAAAGGCCACAAAGGGTGCCAGCAAAAACAGAAGCCAGGTTTTCTCTTTGATTTTAGAAAGTGGGAAAATTCTGGAATCCACCGTGATGGCAAGGCATAATGGTTAACAACATGAGCTTCTGCTTGAGATCCAGTTGAATGTCTAAACTTTCTGATTTTCAAGTTCTTCATAATAGGAGGAAGATGCCTTCTGCTTCATGGATTTGTTGTGTCGATTAAAGGAGATTAAATGCACTGTTCACAGCTTTGACTATTACACAGCGAACTCCTCAATTCCTTTAGATCTCTGCTAGTATTTCTTCCTCAGAAGGGCTTTCCCTGCCTATTCTTCATAAAATAGACTCTCCCTGTCTGCCCATAACTTCCTAGCACCTTACTCTGCTGTTTTAGTTTTCTTTACAGTATATATCATTACCCAAAACATATATCTCTGTGTGCTTTTTTTTTCTTTCTGTTTTCTTCCCCAGTAGAATATAAACTTTCATAAGAACTAGGTTGTTTCAGCCTTGTTTGCTGCTCTATGTATAGCTCCTTGGGGACTGCTGGCATGTAGTAGAAGCTCAATAAATGAGTTGAATGAGTAAATGGATGAATGAAATGAATGAACGTAAAATGCTTTGCCCATGATGAATACCTGATGGATTAAAATTTATGTTATCAGTTATATGTAAATGGGGCACTTAGTGGAAAGTGAGTATCTCTGAGATTGTCTTTCTCTCTAGAAGAACTATCTCATTCTACTCCTAGTTGAGCCAGGCAGAATGTGCAAGGCTCAAGGACTAGTGGTCAATGCAGCAGCATCTGGAGAACTTTTTCAGGCCACTGGAAGTGTAGGATCCAGCCAACGGGATCTGGAGGAAATTCCTCAACTCTCACCACATATAGAAATCAAGCAGTGCTTGTAGGTCACAGGGGGATACTATGAATGGATGCCCATTGCATTTAGGAGATCACCATGGCTAAGACATTAGCCTGCTTCCAGGTATGTGTTATCTGCTCCCATTTTTCCTCCTGCTATGGGAGTAGGCCTTTCACTTGATGTTTCCTTTCTGGTCTAGACTTGTATAGTGGACACTCTCTCTATTTATATATACATATATATAAAATATATATATACACACACACATATACACAAACACACATATACACAAACACACACATATAAACATACATATAAAAATACATAAACACACACATATATATACTATATACACACACACACACATATATATGTATATCACAGATGCAATTAATCAACTTGAACTCCTCTACAGTGCTCTCTGGCTTCCATACTTATGATAATCTTAAGAAACCTTCAGGAGTACTAATTTATATCTAGGGAATAATCTGAGCCTCTTCCTCTTTGCCCCAGCAGACACAGTTCAACCATTCTGCCTTGTTAGGGTCCTCCAAAGCAGATATCAAGATACTAGTAAGTATTCCAGGAATTTATTAGGGGAAATGCCTATGTGAAATGACACAGCAAGGGAGGTGGAGAAGGCCGGGCTAGCAGTCAGATCACAGTGTTAGCCTGACCCTGAGTGAAGGGGAGACTGAGAGAAGACTGGGTGGAAACTTAGAATGCTAGACTGCCGCTCAGTGGAAGGAAGCTCCAGCAAAGCCACTGGGGAGTCCGTGTGCCAGAGTCAGCTAAAGAAGGAGCCCAGCTTCTCAGAGGAGGGGGTCCCCTCACAATACCACATCATTGGCCAGCAGCAGCCTTGGAAAGTGAGGTCAAGGTACAAACACAGCAACAGACTTAAAATACAGCAGTTGGGACCCTGGATTAATTCTACCTTCTATAGGAGGAAGTCTATGTGGCTTATTTTCATGGCTACCACACTCCATGAAGCTAGAAGATGCCATAAACATCCCTGAAGCTGGTTGCTTTACAATGCAATACCAGGCTGCCAAGTGGGAGAGCTGGTGTCAAGCCTCTTACTCAGGAAAATGCAAATTAAATGGGTTAACCCTTCATGGCAATGGAGGGAGGGGTAGCAGAGCACCTTTTCTCAGCAGCCCCCTAGCCACAGTAGTTCTTCCCTATTTCCTGACCCAAGAATGCAGCTTTCAAAAGTTGGCCTGTGTTGCATTTGGTTCCCCTATATCTCCCTTCTCTAGGGAGCAAACTTGTGTCCAGTAGGGCTGGGTCAGTACCAGTCCTGACAGTTTTGGCCTCAGAGAATCAGAACCACTTACTACTCATTCTCAGAGGTCCGTCTTGGTGTACAGGCCTGCCCTCTAGTCCAATCTCTTTCTACCTATGATATTATGGTTGTTATTGTTGTTGTTTTTAAAGAAGCCAGTAGTTCCTTCTTGGGCCTTGACTGGGGTCACCTAAATCTACCCTGATGACTTTCCATTAAACACTTGCCGTCCCTTTCCTCTTAGAAGGCCACTGGGACCTTTATAAAAGTTTCCTTACCTCTCCTAGCACCTTAAAAGTCATGCATCAGTAATTTACCTCTGGGAGAAAGTTCTGAACACATGCCTCACTACATCTTACTCTCCTCACTAGCTGAGAATGGAGCAGTTGAAATAAGAGCTCAGACAAATATTTTCCATAATCTGTAGAGAGTAATCAATACTTAGAAGGAACGTCACTTGGCAACAGTGTGAACATTCCATTTTCTAAAGCATTCTTGTATGTTCAACTTCACAGGCTCATACCTTTTTAATATTTCTTAATCACTGGTTAATGTGAATTCTCAGAACTGAGAGGTTCTTCTTGTGTAGCTGATTTCCGCTGAGTTCCTTCTTTTTTCTAATTTTGGTATGATGGCACTGTGTCTAATGAAGCAAGTCAAATAAACGGCAGATTCTGTTCCCCGAAGCCCTCTTCATCCTGGAACATTAACTGTCTAATTTGTTCATGGGAAGACCCAGCTGTTAGCAGGCAGCCTGCGGGCCCCAAAGCAAATGAGGAGAAGCCTTCCTGTGAACTTCAGAACACATGCTGGGGTGGGGGCTGTGGGGAGACATTTTGTTTATCACTCATTTAAAGTATGTTGCTCCCAAATAAATGGCTGTAAATGGAGATGAAGGGATAAGACTTGTGACTAATTTCTCTGGGGAGCCTAAGTATCTCCACTCCTGACCCCAGTGTGCTGCCTCCCCCATCTTCCCATTGTAAGACTCACAGCAGCTTTATGACAAGGTGGGTGTTTATGATCCAGTTCAGGATGGGGACTAACCCAGTCCTCCCTGGTGGAGGCATTCTTTCCATGACGGGGCTGACGCTCTGCCAATAGGATCCCAGTGAGCTCAGGGAACAGTGTCAGGTTGATTCAGCTGAGGAAGTCACGGCCTTGATTTAGCCTTAAAAGGCTGAGGTTCCGGTGGAAGCGAGTCTGTCTCAGCGTGAAAGCCCAAGGCTCTGAGCATTCCCAGATGACATCTGTGATTTTTCCAACACACATTTGGCCTCCTTGGTTCCTTGCAGTGCTTTGGTTGTGCAATCACCACTTGGCAGGTTCTTCGTCCAGTGAAATCTGTACATTTTCAGCTCTGACATCTCAAAAATAATCATTGGAGCATTTTTTTTATCAGAGTGGTTTATCGTAAAACAACCACTCCCACCGACATTTCTTGTAACCAGTGCTAGGAGAGTGACGACTTAGAAGGCCTTTTGAGGAAGGAGTAGTGGAAGAAGGGCTGGTTTCGGAATTGAACACACCAGGGTTCCAATTCTAGCTTCCTTTTATTACATGTTGCCGGACCTTAGGCCTTCAGGGGCTCAGTTTCATCTTCTATAAAGTAGAGAAAATAGTATATACCTTGCAATGTAGTTGTGAGGATTAGATATCAAATCTATCATTAGATTAGTTCATCAGATGGACTCAGTACACTTTGTATGAATATATGAGTGGGATGTGTGTGTGTTGTGTAGTGTTGGTCCTAGGTTAGAGGTGAGAGTGGTTATAAGTTTAGTGTATATAGAGGGAATATCAGCTCTCTTTTTAGCCCTCAATAAATCACAAACATGCACATACACACTGCACGTGTGCACACATTCTTGAAAACCTCAGCTTTTTTCTTTTTGATGTTGAGATAGCTAAAGATTCCTTTCTTTAGATTTTTTTTTATTTGTAGTCATGGATACATAATTGTTGTACATATTTATGGGGTACATGTGATATTTTGATATAAGCATACAACATGTAATGATCAAATCAAGGTAATTGGGATATCTCTCACATCAAACATTTATCATTCCTTTGTGTTGGAAACATTCTAATTCTTTCAGTTATTTTGAAATACACAGTAAATTATTGTTAACTATGGTCATCCTAATGTGCTTTACTTTGATAAATAATTTGCTTCTGAGGTTGGTCCAAGACCACATGCCTGTAAGCTAGTCCTCAAACCTCCATGCTTGCACGCTGCCTGGGAATGTCTGAACTGGATTCTCTGATGATATCCATAGGGACAGGCCTAAATCTTTTCCTTTTCAGCCATCAGCTGGCAGCATGCACAGTTAAGAGACATTGCTTCTTGTTCTCACTAATGTCTAAGATCTGAAGACAGAAATAATTCTGAATCTTAGTTTTAGAGGTCTGGGAGAGAAATACTTTTTCTCCAACTCTTGGAATATTTCCCTATTACTATAGTATTCATGTTGTTTCTGAATAGAGTTTATGACAGACCTTCTTTGGTATAGTGAGAAAATATGTTGTTGTTTTCCTTAAAAAGATCTATGACAAAATATTGGTCATCAGCTTTTTAGTAGTAAAAGGCTTGATGTCTGATAATCATAAAACGGAACCCAAGCAATATATTGAAAACAAAAACAAATCCCACCTGGCAGAAACTTTGTAAATTTGCCTTGTAACTTCTTTTAGCTATTGATGTGTTGAGCTTCTAGCACTGGGGAAGATATGAAAGATTCTTTTTTTTTAAGACAGGATCTTGCTCTGCCACTCAGGCTGGAAGGCAGTGTCATGATCATAGCTTACTGAAGCCTCAACCTCCTGGATTCAAGGGGTCCTCCTGTCTTGGCCTCTCAAAGCTAAGACTATAGGTGTGCACTGCCATGCCTGCCTAATTAATTTTTTTTCTGGTCAAGATGGGGTCTTGCTATGTTGCCTAGGCTTGTCTTGCACTCCTGGCCTCAAGCAATCATTCTATCTCAGCCTCTCGAAGTGCTGGGGTTACAGTTTTGAGCCATTGTCCTTGGCTATATATGAAGGGTTTAGAATGTGTTTATTTAGGGGAAGGTCAGCACTTCATTTCTGAAAGATTAATCTGGTGGCAATGTAGAGAACGGTTGGAGGGCCTTAAGTCTGGACACTGGGAAGAGATTTGGAGTTCATTGCCATAAATCAGTGGAGATGATGGTGGTCTCACTTTGCAAGGCGAATAGAAAGAAGTGATGGATCAAAAATATTATTTAGCAGATAGAATCAGTAGGACCTGGTAATTTATTGGCTAGATAGACTGAAGAACAGAAAGAAGACATGGATGGCGTCAATTTTTCTAATTTGAGCAACCAGTTATATGGTGGTGCCATTTACTGAGGAGCATAGAAGGACAGGGGGTACAAGGAGAGGAGCAGGCTTAGGGGAAAGAGTAAATTCACTCTGGACATGCTGAGCCTGAGATGTCTGTGAAACCAAGTGGAGATGTTGACTACATGGTTGGATATTCAGATTTGAAACTGCAGAAATACCGCCTGTAAATAGAGATTTGGAAGTTGTCAACATAGAGTTGGTAATTTACGTGATGTGATTCACCCACCAAGAGGTGAATAAGAAGTGGAACAAGATCTCTGAGGAATGCAGCACCTCAAAGCTGGGCAAGGGGAGAGAAACAGCTGGAGGAGACAGAAGGAGCAACCAGAGAAGGAGGGGAAGAATGGGGAGATGTGGAGTGCTGGATAACGGAGAAGACAGGGTTTCAAGGATGTGTGTAATGCAGGATAGAGATCCAGTAAGATACTGACTGAAGTCTCCTGTGGACTCTACATAAAGGGACCATGTGCATCCTGGCAATGGTGCTTTAGGTGAAGTAGTAGTGATAGAGGTCAGATGCCAGTGGGCTGATGAGTGAGTGGGAGGTGGACCAGTAGATGAGCATGTGAGGGTAAAAAGATAGGGCAGGAGCTAGAAGGCCACATGGGAGAGCAGATTTAGTTATTTCCTTCTTTTCCTTAATCTACTTATTTTCTAAGTTTAGGAGAAGCCAGAGGTATCCTCTTACCTCAACCTCTTGGGTCACTAGGATTGCAGGTGTGAGCCATCATGTTAGGTTTGACTTGTTCTTAAAAATATATTTTATTATTTGGAAGCCATTGAAATATAATTGACTTTTATACTCTTTTTTTTCATGGCTGAATTCATGTTTATTTCCTGGAAACCCTTCAGGATGAAGGGTTAATTCATTACCATGTTTCGCTACATTTAATGTTCCCTACCCCAGCCATATTCAACAGTGTGGTACTTGGAGAAAAGAAAAGGGGCTATCTCTGGGGAAACAATTTGGTTTCCATGTAAGTAGCCCCTGTGGAGAAGATGAAAACCAAGGAAATGTACTACTCCGAGGAGCCCAAACCTCATTTCAGTAGTATTTGATAGCATGTTGTTTAAAGATGAATTTAGAAATGGTTTCTTTGTAGGATCAACATTACTGAGGAAGTGGGAGCTAAGGAGGGACCTCATGTAAGTCCAAAATGTCTAGCATGGTGTGTTCTAATTCTATATTGACTAATTTTAGTATGCCCATGGAAATAAATCAAGTAACTCTGTAGTAACCCCCAGGTTTTAAGTGTTAGCATGGCTTGAAGTCTTAATATCTGTATGGGCTCTATAGGAAAGAACTTAGAGCCATTTCTATTACAATGTGAGCTAATTTTTTTACAGTGAAGTAAATAAAAGCAATGCACGTTTTCTTATTTCTCAATACTCAAGTACATTAACCTGGCGACAGTGTGACATCTGGAGAAGGTATCAGGGAGGACTGAAGGTCTGAGAAGTCTTCTTTGTGACTTGAACAGGTCTTGTGTTGAGCATTATACTTGAATATTCTCCCTTTGTCTTCATCCAGGCCCCATATTTCCTCAAGGCTCTTCACAGCTTTAATAAAATGGTGGTGAGAAGAAGCCTTAGTTTTTTTATAGGTAAGCCCTTCCAAACTGGTGGTTCCTCAGAAGAAAATCTTCATATTTGGAAAGCAAGAACTTTTCCTTGGTGGACAACTCTTTTTGTTGTTTTAAGTTCCAGATTGTTTATCTGGTCACAGAGTTATTTAGTTTCCTTTTCTTCTGTGGTATGCTTATGGTTGATTTTGTAATATTCTCAGTCTTGATCATTGAGGGCCACATTCACATTTAAAAAAGAAATGAGGTCATTTTACAGCTCTTCTAGTCTTGCCCTCTAGGAATTACATTAATCCATTTCTCAAGCATACGTTGAGAAAGAAGACATGGCGTCTCATTAGCTCCTCTACTGCACACAACTCCAGTGCCTTTGGGAGCCTTGGACTAAATGTGGTGAAGACCAGTGCTCCTGTGAACGTGATCAACTAAAAAATTCTTCCTGATGGAATGGAGATTGGGGTTTTGCACAGGAAGGGACTGCTCTCATTTTATGTATAATTCAACCTGCAATATCTCATGAACTGTCTCCTGGCGGCCATTCAGCATTAGGGCTTTCTGTAGAAGAAAACAGGGTCAGCACAAACATCTCCCAATTCATTGAGCTAGAAACCTTGGAAATATGAACTTATGGGACGTCTTTTAGGTTTCTCAGAGAAGGGGCCCAGAGGCTGGGGTACAAGGCAAGGTCTGAGTCACAGAGGAACTGTGGGACCAGGCAGCAATCCAGTTACAGGAAATCCATAATTCAAGGCAAAAACGGAACTTGCAACAAGATCAACTTGTGCTGCACTGATGAACTCTTGAACTTCTCTTCTTTCCTTTGGAACATGTTTAAGGCAGGTTTGACTCTACCAGTGGGGATTATGCGGCCCAATGGTGAAGGTCGGGAGATAAGTAAATCCATATATACCTGTAATTGAAAGGTTCTTAATCTTCTTTGTGCTGTGGACTCTCTGATGTTGGAGAGGTCTATAGTGGCCTACTTAGAAAGATTTTTAAAAACATTAAAATAATGTACATAGCATTACAAATAATAATTTTATTGAAATATAGTTGTTGAAATTAAAAAATGTAATATGTAATATAAGTACCTCTTCATTAATGCATGAAATAGCAAGATCTTTCAGTGGATCTTGTAACTATTCTAATTTCAAAATAATGATACAGAAACATGATATCTGGAAATTTCTGTGGCAACTGTAATGTAATGTGAAAATACCTATAATTTTTATTGGTGATAAAGTCACAAGGACTACTAATACTACTAAGGTGCACGCCTACGCTCATCATGGAAAGAGAAATGCTAAATTTCAGGTAGACATTAGTGGGGAAAAAAGTGTAATAGATATTATTATTTTGAGACAGAGTCTCACTTTGTTGCCTAGGCTGGAGTGCAGTGGTGTGATCTTGGCTAACTGCAACCTCCGCCTTCTAGCTTCAAGCGATTCTCCTGCCTCAGCCTCCTAGGTTCAAGTGATTTTCCTGCCTCTGTCTCCCAAGTAGCTGGGACTACAGGTACACACCACCACCCCTGGCTAATTTTTGTATTTTTAGTAGAGATGGGGTTTCACCATGTAGGCCAAGCTGGTGTCAAATTCCTGACCTCAGGTGATCTGCGCACCTCGGCCTCCCAAAGTGCTGGGATTACAGGCGTGAGCCATCGCACCTGGCCTAGATATTTTTTTTCATCCGGGTTTGTAGCCCTCCTCAGTTCCATCCATGGATCCCATGAGGTCTGGCACTCTATGTTAGAAATCCCTGCTCTAGTTTAGGCCTCTGGTTTGCTCCCTGATTGGGATGGCCAGCTGGCCTGCTGACTTGTGCCATGTGCATTTCTTAGGGACCAGGCTGGGGAGGGGGCTGTTGTGGGTCACATCCCCCAGCAGGGGGGCTCTGGGAGCAGGAACAGGAGGGTAGAGTTAGGAGTAAAGGTGGCTTTCTAAACCAAATGTCTGTCCTGACCCCTGTTTTGGTGCTGGAAATGCCATTGTTTGTCATTCAATCCTTCGGGTTATGAGGATCTTAGCTTTAGAGTCACCATTTGAACTCAGCGCTTCTGTGTAGGCCAGGCACTTTAGTCTTTCCAAAGAAGGTAGGAAAGAGCAGATGGGAAGCGAGGACCTGGGACCAGGACACACAGAGGCCCAGGCCCAGGCCCAGGGAAGGAGGCAAGAGAATCAGATGAGGGAGGAAAAGCAGCTGAATTTAGAATTTTGCCTGAGCAGCATCTTTTTCTGCTATGAAATAAACAACTTGAATAAGCCTAGGATTCGTAATATTTCTGGAATCATTTTCTAGCTTCATTTCCCCAGGATTAATGATTTGAGATTCTCCTCAGAGGACCTGTTTCTTCTTTCATTCGAGACTTATTTCTGCTGCTTCCCTAACAAAGCCCAATTTAAAATTCGGGCTTTACTCTGAAGACAGATTCTGGAGCAGAGAGAGCGAGTCTCCTGTGGCCCTAAAATTGAGCCAGGCCTAGAGGTGGCTCTGAAAGCTGCAGTCGCAGAGACATGGCCCATCCAGAGCATGACTGGGCCTGACCCTTCCAGCTGCCGCCTCAGAGCGTCTGTGAGGATGGAGGCCTGAGCAGTGGCCCAAGGTCAGGGCTTCTGAATGCAGTTGCAGAGATATGTGTGGGGCCACGGCCTCTTGGCCTGTGACGCAGGCTGTCTCATCCAATGGGTTGGGATGTATGTGTGCTGAAAATGTTTGACAGTTTCATGCCAAATGGCCACATTTCCCATTTGGTTTCCTAATCTGGGGAGGGATTTCTTTAGTTTATGGTTTAATTTTAACAAGACATTTGGAAAAGATTAAAAATTAGAAACTAAGCCCCTTGTCATTGGCAGTTAAGTGAAGATGATCTCTTCCCTTGAGAATGCTGGCTGCAGGGACACAATGCTGAGGGTTTGAGCTCCTCTGTTTGAAGGAACCCTGAGGGACAGAGTAGTTGAGCCTGATATTATTTGGCAAATAATTTCTCTAAACTCTGTTCACTGAAAACACGGGCAGGCATCAAAGAGGTGGGAAAAATAGCTCCAGCCTGCAGCATCTTTGGCCCATGGGGAGACAAAATTTGCACATGTCAGCCACAGGAAAGAGCAAGGCGAGGCTGTTTAACATTTACAAACAAGGATTTTTTTTTTTGTTTTTACTTGAGGCTCACATGACCTGAGTTGATTGGGATTTTGAAGAGAAAGAGATGAGTGGGAGGAGAAAGAGTTGGAGTAGGCCCTCCAAGCCACAGCTAGAAAGGAAGCGTGGGTGTAGCCAATGAGAGGAGGCCCAAACAAACTAGTTCACTGCCCTCTTAGAGCTACAGACCACAGGAGTCAGAGGGAAAAGCTTCTAGACCCTCCAAATCCAACCCTTCACCCTCCAGGAGAAAACCGAAGATCAGATAGGTGCAGTGCAGTCCCCAAGGTCACAGGCATAGAATTGGGTCTCCTGAACCAGTGCTAATTTCTATGGCAACATGGTTTTGCTGCTGTGTATATTGGGGTAATTGTGGGAAATAAGGTTAGATGGTGTGGTGATTTTTTAAAAAATCATGTCCACAAATTCTTCAATACTGCTCCTTTCAACAGGTGGAGCTTAGTTCCTCTCCCTTTAAATCAGGGCTGACATAATGACTTGCTTCCAGTGAATAAGATGGAAGTGAAGATATGATTCAGACACTAGGTCGTAAAAAGGCATTGTGTCTTTGGTCCCATTTGCTTTCTGTCTCTCTCTTGTTCTCTCTCCGCCTGTCTCTCTCTGCCTGTCTGTCTCCGCCTGTCTCTCTCTCTGTCTCATCACTTGCTCTAGAGAGGTGAGCTCCAGCTATCATGTTGTGAGGATACTCAAACAGCATATAAAGGGGGCCATGAGGGAAGGGATAGAGACCCCTTGCCAATAGCTGTTTGAATGAGTCATTTTGGAAGCAGATCCTCCAGCCTCAGTCAAGCTTTCAGATGACTGCAGCCCTGGCTGACCTCTTGATTGCAACCTCTTGACAGAGAACCAGAACCATCCAGCTAAGCTGCTCCCAGATTCCTGAATCTCAGAAAAACTGTGGGAGAAAATAAACGTTTATTTTTTATGCTGCCAGGTTTTGGGGATAATTTGTTATACAGCAATAGATGTCTGGTACAGATGGTGAAAGGGAAGGAAGGTAAGGTAGAAGCCTAAAAGCCAGCCTGCCCGGTTTAGATTTGATCTATAGGGAGACACTGGTTTTGAGTAAGACATTTGAGGAAGGTTAAGCAATTAGCAAGGTTACAAGTAGTTGGAAAGGAAAAAAATTGCACTGAAGAACTGTGTTTGAATCTCCTAGCGATGTTTTTTGAATCTGCATTGAATAGATAGCTTGGATGGTTGTTTAGTTCTTCACTTTTCCTTGTCAAGAAAGGCAGCAAAGAAGAGCCTATTGCTTAGGGAGAGGCAGTTTAGAGTACTGGATATGAAGATGAGCTCTTGCGGGCAGGGAGCTTGGGTCCTAATCCTGGCCCCCTTACTCTGTTTTGTCATCTTTAAAAGGGGGAAAATAAGAAATAGTGCCTAATTCATAGTTTTTAAAAAATGAAAATTAAAGGTTTGATTATTATAAAGCACCTAAGCAGAGTGCCTATACATTATAAGCACTGTCTGTGTTTATTAGACAGACTTTACACAACTTCTAGTTTAACTTTTCAAATTGACAAGTAAAAGTTGTGTGTTTATGGTGTACAACATGTTTTGATCTATGTACACATGGTAGAATGGCTAAATCAAGCTATTTTACATATGCCTCACCTTACATACTTACCCTTTTTCGTGGTGAGAGTACTGAAAATCTAAGCAATTTTCAAGTATACATGAAGTTGTTTACTGTTGTCAACGTTGATGTACAACAGATCT
Source organism: Homo sapiens (assembly GCF_000001405.40). Classification (NCBI taxonomy): domain Eukaryota; kingdom Metazoa; phylum Chordata; class Mammalia; order Primates; family Hominidae; genus Homo; species Homo sapiens. The sequence continues at coordinate 39,464,384 of NC_000015.10, read as the reverse complement.
CTTGAACTTTCTACTGTCTAACAAAAATTTGGTATCTGTTGGCCAGCATCTTCTTAATTCCTCAAAACCCAGCCTGTGGTAACCACAACTTTTCTCTCCTTTTCTGTGAGTTTGACTTTTCTTTTTTTTTTTTTTTTAAGATTCCGCATTTAGGTGAGATCATGTGATATTTGTCTTTCTGTGCTTGACTTATTTCACTTAATGTTCTGCAGGTGAATCTATGATACGACAGGATTTCCTTCCTTTTTAAGGCTGAATAGTATTCCAGTGTGTATCTATTGCACATTTTCTTTATCCGTTCATCTGCTGATGGGCACTTGGGTTGATTCCATGTCTTGGCTATTGTGAATAGTGCTGCAGTGAACATGGAAGTATAGATACCTCTGACATACTAATTTCATTTCCTTTAGAAATACATTCAGTGGTGGGACTGTTAGAATTTCTGAAGTCTTAAGTTCTACAGCTTTAGTCTTCTAAGAAACTGCAAGAATCGATATTATGTGCTGACTTGTGCCTGCATCACATTCACTTGTTGAAGTCCAAAAAGTCTTAATCTCCAGTACCTCAGAATGTCACTCTATTTGGAGATGAGGGCTGGGAGAGGTAATTGGAGTAAAATGGGGTCATATGAGTAGGCCCTTATTCAACATGACTGATGTTCTTGTAGGAAGAGGAAATTAGGACACAGAGACACACAGAAGGGAGACAGTGTGTAGATACTGGAGGAAGATGGCATCTACAAGCCAAGGAGAGAGGCCTCAGACAAAACAAACTATAATACCTTCCTCTCGGACTTCTAGCCTCCGGAATTGTGAGAAAATGAATTTCTATTGTTTAAGCCACCTAGGCTGTGGTAATTTGTTAGGACAGTCTTAGCATACTGGTACAAGTATCTCCCTGGCCTCACTAGTAAGCAGTCCTCAGGTCCCTTTCCTCCCCATGAAAGAGCAAAATATTCACAGAAATGACTGCCTGCTTATTAGAGCCAGGGCTCCTTCTGGGTAGTAGTAGTGGTCTGTGGATGAATGTAACTTTTTCTTTGGTATATTATTTCTTCATTTTTTTTCTGATGAGAGAGTCCAGAGTTTCTTCAGGATTCTCAGAGGGGTTAATGACTTTTCCAAAAGTTTGGAGCTGCTGTTTTAGACTGTGTCTTATCATTCTAGGCCTTTCAACCTTGGCTCCAGCTGCACATAGAATATACCTTGGCACTAGGGACCATCCCTGCAGCTGAAATAGTCAGTTTGTGCATTTCCTGTATGTGGGGCTTTCCTCATGATCTGGAAAATATATGAAATCCAGGAGAACCAAGTGAAGGCATTCACTCAGCTGTAAGTTTAGACATGGCATTAGGTATAGGGAAATATAAGGATATATAAGGTAATATTCCTAACTTCATATTTTTAGAAAGTTTCAAACCTAGACATTTTCTTTCATGACTCATGGTGGGTCATGGCTCTTTTTGGCTGAGGCTAGACAGACAGCACTCATATTCCTGACCCTCTGATCTGCTATGAGCTTGCCAAGCCTACAGCCTTCCTGTGGGTCTGTGGAGCCCCACCCCTTCCACAGGAGTATCTTTGGATAAGCAGCTTCATGACTGTGCCTCTTCTCAGGGAAAGGCTAGAAGACAAAAGAGAAAAAAATTTCTGACAATACCAAAAAGTGGTGAGGATGTGGAGCATCCGGAACTCTCACGTATTGCTGGTAGAAATGCAAAATTATGCAGCCACTGTGAAAAAACAGTTTGGTGGTTTCTTATAAAATTAAATATACACCAACTATATGACCCATCAATCTCACTCTTAAGTGCTTGTCCAAAAGAAATAAAAATGGATTTACATTAAACTTGTATGCAAATGTCTACAGAAGCTTTTTTTATAATCACCCCCAGATGCAAAACCACCCAAATGTTCTATAACTTGAGAATGGATAAAGAAACTGTGGTACGTTCATACAGTAGCATACTACTCTGCAATAAAAAAGATGAACTAGTCATATGCAAAACAGCTTGGATGAATCTCTACTGCTTTGTGTCACATGAAAGCAGCCAGACTCAAACTTCATACTGTATAATTCCATGTACATGACATTCTAGAGCAGGCAAAATTGTAGAAACAGCGAACTGGTGGTTGGCAGGGCTTGAGAGTGAGGGGAGGGTTTGACTACAAGAGGGAATCATGAGGGAGCTTTCTAGGGGTGAAGGAAATGTTCTGTATCCTGGTGGTGGTGGTGGCTACCTGTCTCTAGGCATTTGCCAAAACACACAGCTGTACAGTAAAAAGAGCTAATTTTACTGTGTGTATATTTTAAAAATAAATTCTAAGGAAATCAAACAGGAAAGAAAAAAGTGGAGCAGAGTTTATTTCAGAGCCAAGACAAGGAGCTCAAGGTCACTAGGGATGTTCCACTGGCTACTGCATTTTCCACTGGCCTCAGCCCAACCCGTGGGAAGGCAGTGAGAAGAACAAGGTTCTCTTCAGGGTTAAGGAGCCCAAAGTTTTGACTCATGAAACTAGGAATAGGGATAAGTCTTGGGAAAGAGCTGTTGTGTTGAAGTTGACAAATTAGTCTTCAGAATGAAGTTGGGGACAAGCATTTTGGTGTTGCCTCTTTGAGAGAGAATTATGCAGACCAGGCTTCTTGGTATTTTGCCAAGAGATCTGAACAGCTGCTGGATGACTTCTGAAGCTTGGACTCTTCATGTCTTTCTTCTCTGCTAGCAATTCAGTAAGTAAAGGCTGTATCCGTCAAGGGAAGCCAACTCTTTGGAGCAACCAGGCTTTATAGCATCAGTCTTTATGTGTTTATGTAAGAGTTGATGAATTCTGCTTTTATCCTAAACATCAGGCAGGCAGGAAACATGGTGGAGAGAACAAAAGATTTAGCTTATCTGGATTACGATAGGCTGTGTAACCTTAATGGAGTCACTTACCTTCTCTATGCCTTCATTTCCTCCTCAGGGACATAGTTTTTGTGAGAATCAGAGATGAGGTAGAATGAACTGAGAATGAACGCATTCCTCTCCCCGACACCATGCAAACATCTGAGATGGCAGGGGAGTCATCCTCAGCCAGGGTGCATCGGGAACACATTGAGAGCAAAGCCACACTCAGAAGAGGAATAGCCTTTCCTTATATAGAGCCAACACAGGGGTGAGTGGTGTCTCCAGAAAATACAATGCCCACCATAGCGCAGTGGCATGCTTCTTAAGGTAACTAGTGTGAGATCACTGTAGCTCTTTCCAATGGAGTGTTGGACGGGAAAGAGATCCCCTGTTATCCCTTTATTCTTGGAGCTGGGTCTGCTCATTTGACCAAGCTTAAGGACTAGAGTCTGGAAATCCCTGTCTTGTATGGAGGGCTGGAGGCTCTCTGGGTACAGATGTAGGAATGAGGGAGTGAACTAGTGGTGATTTATGAGAGGAAGAGACAGGGTGTGTGTGTGTGTGCGCGCGTGCGTGCGTGTGTGTGTGTGTGTGAGAGAGAGAGAGCCTTTGTGGGGCAGAGTGTTTTTAACCTCCGCATCTGTCTTCAAGCTCTTTCCTTTGTGTGGTATAAGGGAACTAACAAGCTAGGAAAAAGGACACCTTCTGTTCCTTTTACAATGACTTGCTCAGCATAGTGGTATGAGTGATCCTTCATCTCCATTTGCACGCTTCCATCGCAGTTCCATGGTGTGCTGGGTCTGAGGAAGATTAATTAGGCGGAAGTATCTAATGACAGTGACCCGAACATTTATGTGCTCATCATGATCATCCTAGTAAAGGTTTACTGAACACTTACTACGTGCCAGGGCCTGTTTTAAGCTCTTTAATCATTTAAATTTGTATTTAATCCTCACATGAACCCCAGGTTGGTGCTTTTTAGAGATGGACAAAGGGGCTAAGTGACTTGGCTTTTGTCACATGGTGAAACCTAGGCCATTTGGACCTACAGCCCATGCTTGGATCACCATCCTATACACAGTGCACCCTCAGCCATCCCTTCCCCCACATGAGAAGCCACAAAATTCTCAGACAGGTGTTCATAGGTTATCAAGGGACCTCCTTTGGCTTTGAGGCCAATGAGATGGATGTAGCAATAACTTATGGCTTAGAAGCGTGCCCCACACATCGTCAGTGCTGTTAGGATCAGTATGGCCATTGTAGTCATCATTAGCTGTGTGCTTCAGAGGGGCAATGATGTGGCCTTTACTCCCTGTATTATTTTTGGGTTCTCTCCATGGCTACAGCAGAACAAATTGCATTTTGGTTAGTTTATGACAATAAAGATGAACTTTTCATTAAAATGAATTGAACAAAATGAGATCTTGTTTGATATTGGCAATTAGTGCTACGGACTGAAGGTTTACGTCCCTCCCCACACAAATTCATATGTTGAAGCCCTAATCCCCAGTGTGATGGTATTTGGAGATGGGGCCTTTAGGAGATGATTAGGTTGTGACAGCAGAGCCCTCATGAATGGGATTAGTAATCTTATAAAAGAGATCTTAGATCCCTCAGTCCTTTGGTCATGTGAGGACACAGTGAGCAGATGTCCCTATATGAATCAGAAAGTGAGTCCTTACTAGACACCTAATCTGCCAGTGTCTTGACCTTGGACCTCCCAGCTTTCAGACTGTAAGAAATAAATTTCTGTTGTTTATAAGCCATCCTGTCTGTGTTATTCTGTTATGACAACCTGAACAGACTAAAACAGATGATGTAATAATTCCACACTCAACTGTAATAATTAGTAATAGAATAAAATATCTAGGAATACAGCTAACCGGGGAGGTGAAAGATCTCTACAACAAGAATTATAAAACACTGCTCAAAGAAATCAGATGACAAAAACAAATGGAAAAACGTTCCATGCTCATGGATAGGAAGAATCAATATTGTTAAAATGGCCATACGGCTCTAAGCAGTTTATAGATTCAATACTCTTCCTATATCAAACTACCAGTGACATTCTTTACAGAATTACAAAAAACTATTTTAAAATTTGTATGGAACCAAAGGGACCTTGAATAGGCAACGCAGTCCTAAGCAAAAAGAACAATACTGGAAGCATCATGTTAAGGAAGTTTATACTATAATAAAAGACTATAGTAACCAAAACAGCATGGTACTTGTACAAAAACAGACACATGGATCAATGGAACAGGATTGAGATCCCAGAAATAATGCTGCACACCTGCAACTATTTGATCTTCTACAAAGTTGACAAAAACAAGCAACAGGGAAATAACACCCTATTCAATAAATGGTGCTGGGATAACTGGCTAGCCATGTGCAGAAGATTGAAACTGGACCATATACAAAAATCAACTGAATATGGATTAAAGGTTTAGATGTTAAACGTAAAAGTATAAAAATCCTGGAAGATAACCTAGGAAATACCATTCTGGATATAGGACCTGGCAAAAATTTCATAACAAGCCAAAAACAATTGCAGTAAAAACAAAAATGGTTAGATGCGACCTAATTAAACGAAAGAGTTTCTGCAGAGTGAAAGAACTATCAATAGAGTAAACAGACAACCTACAGAATGGGAGGTGTAATATCCAGAAGTATATAAGGAACTTAAGCCAAAAACAACCCCATTAAAAAGTGGGCAAAGGACATGAACAGATGCTTTTCAAAAGAAGACATACACATGGACAACAAGCACATGATAAAATGCTCAATATCACTAATCATTAGAGAAATTCAAAGCAAAACCACAAACAGGTACCATCTCACACTAGTTAGGTTCCCTATTATTAAAAAGTCAAAAAATAAAAGATGCTGGTGAGGTTGTGGGGAAAAAAAAACACTTATACACTGCTGGTGGAAATGTAAACTAGTTCAGCCACTGTGGAAAGCAGTTTGGTAATTTCTCAAAGAACTCAAAGCAGAACTACCACTGGGCCCAGCAATTCCATTATTGGGTATATACCCAAAGGAATAGAAATCATTCTACCATAAAGCCACATACATGTGTATGTTCATCACAGCACTATTCACAACAGCAAAAATGTGGAATCAATCTTGCTGCCCGTCAACAGTAGACTGAATAAAGAAAATGTGGCGCATACATACTGTGGAACACTATGCAGCCATAAAAAGGAATGAGAACATGTCCTTTGAACAAATGTGGATGGAGCTAGAGGCCTTAATCCTAAGCAAACTGACACTGGAACAGAAAACCAAATATCACGTGTTTTCACTTATAAGTGAGACCTAAACATTGAGTACACAAGGACACAAAGAAGGGAACAGCAGACACCAGGTCATACTTAAGGGTGCAGGAAGAATGAATAAACTACTTGTCATGTGCTATGCTGATTACCTGGGTGGCAAAATAATCTGTACACCAAACCCCTGTGACTTACAATTTACCTGTATAACAGACCTGAACACGTACCCCTGAACCTAAAAGTTAAAAAAAAGAAATTGTGGTGTATATATACATACACACAATACATACAATGAAATATTATTCAGCCTTAAAAAAATAAGGAGATTCTGTCATTTGGAACAACATGGGTGAACCTGGAGGACATTATGCCAAGTGAAATCGGCCCGAAACAGATATAAAAATACTGTGTGACTGCACTTACAAGTGCAGAGATCCAAAAAAAGCTGAATGTGTAGAAATAGAGTAGAATAGTGGTTACCATGGGCAGCAGGGAGGAGCGGATGGAGGGAGATGTAGGTTAAAGCGTATGAAGCTGCAGTTATGTAGGATAAAGAAGTCTAGAGAGCTAAAGTACAGCACGAGGGCTATAGTTAGTGTTGTGTTGTGCACTAAAAATTTGCTAAGAGAATAGATTTTAGGTATCTTATCACAAAAATAACTATGTGAGACAATAGACATGTTAATTCATTTCACAATAGTAATGATTTCACCATGTAGTTGTATATCAAAACATGTTGTAAAAAAAAATTCTGAGGTGCCTTGGGGACCCCCCATTCATAGAAAGACATCAGTTTGTTTCCTAAGGCACACTGAACATTACATTTCTTATATCTTATAAAGAAAAGATTCTTGGTGACTTTCCTTCTACTCACACACCCGCTTTGTGCCTGGTGTGTGCAGAGCAGTGAGCTTGTGGGGCACAGTCTATCCCTTCGGGAAGATGCTAGAGGCAAACTGTGAAGAGTGCAGCATGGATATGAGGCAGAATGTGATCAGGCTCTGGGCAAACAGGATGAAATGTAAACTGAGTGTCCGGTGGCCAAACCAAGGCCTCCTCTTCCCAGCTGAGCCTCAAGTCCCTGCGTGGACAGCTGGTCACCGCCACTCTCATATCTTCAGAGCTGTGAGGATGGAAGTCCTTGTGGTTTCTGGGAGTCTGTTGATGCAGCCCTTGCCTCTGTAGCTTAAAGTAGAGTCCGAGTGTGAGCCAATCTTCCTGATGGGTTAATACATAGATGCAAATCCTTTTTTCTGAACTTACGGACAAGTATTATCCACCAAGAACTCTGTCTTAGGGCTGCTTTACTAAGAATATATTAAGCCATTAAGGACTACTGATTTCTAATATTCAAAACATGATTAGGTAAGAATTCTTGTTGTCATACATTTGACATATTGCAAAGTTCTCACTGGGCCTGCCAGATCAGAACTATAGTCTCTGCCAGAAAAAAACAAAAAAAAAAACCACTCCCACCATGGCCACCGCCACTGCCAACAACAAAACTCGAAAGTGCATGCTTGCTCTATTGCTGCAGAACAGTGCTTCTTCAAATAAGAAGAAACGCCTTCATATAACTTCACTTTCAAAATCTGGAGATGTAGGTCCGATTGTCTATAGACTGTATTCTTGAGATGAAACATTTGAAACTCTTCACAATACTAGTTGACTTTGCCCAGATTTAAATTCTGCCACTCTCCCATCATGTCACTCTTTGGCTTGCTGACTATATCCGCCTCTCACACTCATCATGCACACACTACCTTCTTCATGCTTTGCTGAAGCCATAATCTCCATGTGGGAGTGTCTACCTGCTCTTACATCTTCATGCATGTGCTTGAATGTGTAGACACACATCCACATGCCTCCTGACTCTGTGGAGCTTGACTGTGTGGTGACAACATGTATAAAGATGTATTGCAGCCTCTTATGGTTCTCTTGTATAGCTTTTACATCTGTGTGAACTTTTGGGTTCAGGAAAGCTGGGTTTTTCTGAGTTCCATTGTGCAATTGGACAAACGCTTACTGCTTTGTTTTCTGTAAAATGACAATAATCCCTTTCATCAGGTGAAGTTTACTAAGTATTTGTAGGGATTTGCAGATAAAAGAATTAATTTAATGAAATGAGTGTTGTGTAACTTGCCCAATGAGCCAAATACTTTCTTGCTTTTGTTTCTGATTTTTGTGTGGTGCATGTGTGTAGTTTGTGAGAGAAAGACATAATGTGGAATGTATATTGTTTCATGCTTTCCCATGAGCTCGGTCAAATGGACTTTGTATGATATTTACATTTCATTCTGTGTAGTATAGAAAACACTGTTTGGTCAGTGACACATTTCCAACAAGTGACAGCTCTGGGAGAAACATGTTTTTAGGAATGTACAAGATTGCACAGGAGAGCTATAAAGTTTGATTAGTCCATACAGTACTGTGTACTTTGCAAACAGAGTGAGACAGACGTTTGGCTCAATTTCATTTAAAAGGTATTTTCCTCAGATCTATACACTGAACCATATGACTATGTTTTTTTCATAACTCTCTTCCCCCATGTGTTATCCATTATGGATTGAGAGGACTGCAAACACCGAAGCCAGCGTGAGTCAGCAAAATTTATATGCAGATCATACGCCCACTCAGTGGGGCTTTCCCCAGTCTGTCCTGACCATCACACCCAAGATGGCCCTCCAGTATTTGGAACTAGATTCTGGTACTCTTGGATGTAAATGCTAGGCCATCAAACTGTGTCTCTTGGCTACTATTCCTTTTGGGCCTTTTACTTACAATGTCATGCTGGGAAGCATCCAATTATTGACTAGAAAAATACACTTTTTAAAAAAGTTTGAGATAAATTATCATTACTCAAGAAATATTTGTGCATCTCATATGGGCTAGGCACTGTGCAGGGTACAAAGGACATAAAGGTGAACAAGAAGAATCTTTGTTCTTCAAGATGTGTGACTAACTGATGGGTGCAGGAAAGGCTCATTGAGAAGGTGACATTTGAGTTGGGTCTTGAAGGGCGAGGAGTGTTTCACTAGTTTCAACCTTACAGGTAGAAGCTAAAGATGATCTTGCTTCATTGCAGATAGAATAAATTGATGTTCCAAAATCTAACTTGTTTGGCAGAGGGTAAAACATAAGATTTATTGGATAGTTCCAAGGCAGTCAGTGATCAAATATAATCTACTCTGTGTTACAGTTATAAGCAAATATTGATAAGACACGATGTTTTCCTATCTAAGAATTTCCCAAAAATAGGGCAATAAAGAAGTCATAAGAGGTCTCAGGGCCCATTAAAAGGCTTCCAGCAGAATATTTCACAATACAGGCAGCTCTCACTTTGCAGAGTTCTGATATGTGTGGATTTCAGTTACCACGGTTTGCTTCAATAACACCAGTCCCTAACAGCATGGTTCAAATTTCAGTTACCCTGGTATATTAACCGTGAGTGATTGCATGAAGCACAGACTATGCTGCTGCCTCTGCAGAAGAAAAATTGCTACATCAGTGACAGATGCCCTTCATAATCTGTCACCAATCTGTGTCTCCTTGTCACTAGTAATAAATTCATGTGACATTTTATAAAAATGAATGTTAGAAAATGGGAATTGACCACTAAAGATAAAAATAAAGCAAAGAACAAAATTTGATAATGATGAATGTAAAATTTGAATCAAATGTCAATGGAATTAGAAGAAATAGCTGACTGTGGAATTGGTGACCTTGCTGCTGACACTCTAGATATGCAGCCAGGGAAACTTAGTAAAGATGGACTTATGCACGTAAAGGAGGAGAGTGGCTGTGACGAAAAAGATGAAAATGTCCCAGAGGAAGTGACGCTCAAAAGAAATCACTTCATGTTAAAGGAACTCTTGGAGATATTTCACAACATTGAAAGCACAAAGGATAAAATGTTGGAAACTAACCCAAATTTAGAAAGAAGCATTACACTTTGCCAAGGCATAGAAAAGATGCTCATTCCATAATTGTACCATGAGAAAAAGAAGGCAAGCCCTGTTCAAACTACTGTGGGTAACATTTTTTTTTTTTGCAAAGAAATAAAATATTTTAATTCTAATTATTTCTAATACTTAAATAATAGTGTACTAAATAAATATAATTTTATCTTTTCATTTACATATATATAACAAACAGGAGGTGTTTTTAATGCTTTGACAACATTTTTTAAAGGCTGTGGAATAATTATAATTTTCCTCATTGATTATTCAGATCACTTTACATGGTTTCATCTTGCACAGTCATTTCTATGGTCTGTGCTGTCGTGCAAAGCAGGGACTTCCTGTATTTTGATTAAGACCAAAGACACGAAGTACCAGTAAAAGCCCATAATGGGGAAATACACGAATCTGCTTCTGTTGACAATTTCATTCGTAAAATGAAGTCTGTTTACATAGGGTGCCTTGCCTTTTTTACATTTCAGAGCTCTTGCATTTCACAGGGCAGGAGACATGTCCCTGATGCAACACCAATTTTAACAAATTGTGTATAAATTTTGCTGAATAGACTGTTTTTATTTGGCCCCCTAAAGACTTTCCCAGTTGCTGTTTGGATCTGTTACCAGTGTTCACCTTCATGAAGGGCAGCCGTATGTTCTGTCCAGGATGGGATATGCTTTTCCAGTTGTAGGTCATGTACTTGTGGAGTCACTGTTGTAAGGGACACCTGTTCTTGCCTGTTCAGGGTCCATTTCCCGATATGCTGGTAATAGTCACCCACTTTGGGATATGCATTTCTCCATGGTTTACAGTATTGGTGGGATTCTGTCCAAGTGCCTCACGCTTCCTTAGCCTTTCTGTCTGGAATTCAAATACTGAATAGAGTGACCACTGTGGCTGTTTCCCAAGCAGGTGTACCCTGCAGTGCTATCCATGGCTTTTGTTCCCTAGATCCCCAGAAATACCTTAATTTCCTTTCCTTCGGAGTCCATTCTTCAATTTTCCCCTAAATTTTCTAGTCTATCTTGTGTTCTTCCAATAGATTTCTATTTTTTTTTCCCCGACTTGGGAGGCTGAGGCAGGAGAATTGCTGGAACCCAGGAGGTGGAGATTGCAGTGAGCCGATATTGTGCCATTGCACTCCAGCCCGGGCGACAACAGCGAGACTCCATCTCAAAAACAAACAAACAAAAAAAGTAAACTGTGTTTTGTTCTTAAACTGGGCCTAGTTAAAAAGTAAAGGCAAACCTTAAAACTTTTATGTAAAATAATAAGCATGAGATATGTTTCAAAATCTTAACAACTCAAAGGTTAAGAAAATATCTGAGACATCTGGCTCAGTTCAAGAGATTTCATCCTCTCCTCTTTCTCCAAATGGAGAGTTTTGCTGGGGCAATAACCCCAAACTCGCAAAAATGTAACTATATCTAAAAAATGTGAGCATACTGGAGATTCGGTCTTTTGTTCACTCAAGGTCCAAGTGACATTAGAAAGAAATATCTTGCCACAGATTTTACTTACTTATTAAATTATTTGTTAAACACTTGTATGGCAGGCACTGTTCAAAGCACTTGGGAAAATTCAGTCAAGAAACCAGGCAAAAATCCCTGCTCTGTGTTAGCTCCCATTATAGTGAGTGAAAACCTAAATGGAAATTTTCTTGGTCATCATTAATTAATTTGATCTAGAAACTATTGGGTATAGACCAAGTAAAATATAGATAAGATACAGGTCAAGTAAAATTTTATTTGAGATTTTGATTTCTACATCCAATAGAAACCAAACCCAAACAAATAGCTTTCAGAAGTGTCAAATTCTTTTCACATTTCTGGCTTTTCCACTGATTTTTCTCTTTTATCAATCATGGCCAAAATTGGAAGACAATCATGTCTAGCCTGGGTGAATTTAGAATCTCACTAAGAGATTCTACAGTGTCTGGTGCCTAGGGCTTGGCAAAAGACCCTTCACACTTTGTTGCTCAATCAACATTGGATGATGGACATTTCTGACCTGAAGATGGATTTCTCAATAGTAGATACTAGTAATCCTGCCCTGGGAGGAGAAAAGGGATTTTTCCTGCTCTTCCTTCCCCCGTTTATGGAATAAAAGGAAAATGACTATGGAAATTAATAACCGGAAGACATTTTACTGGCTCAGTTTCAAGATATTAAAAAAGGGATGGGTTCTTTGGCGTTCAGTATTAATTCTAACATCTCTGACTGCATTTGGACAGTTAGCTCGTGCTGTTAAGAGACAGTTGAATGTAAACAACTTAGTTTTTCTGAAGCTGCCAAACTCCATTACGAATACCTAAAGGTATATATCTTGAAAACAACCCATTGCCCTGCTTGTAGAATCGTGTTACTTACACGTTGTTCAGTAGAAACTGTGAAATCTGATGGAAAACACTGAAGATTGGAAGCTAGTGGGCACCTAAAATTTAGTTCTGGATTTGCCAGTAATTGGCTCTTTGACGTGGGGTGTGTCCTTTATATAATCTGTGTTTTAAAAACCTCCTCTGCCAAATGAATATTTAAAAAAATCTTACTCTCCTATCAATGTTCTTGTGATGATCCCATTAAGTAATAGATAATGCTTTGAGAAAGTGCCAATAAATGTAAGGCATTATTTTGCTGTAGCTTAATGTTGTCCTATTATGATAAAAAGAACTTTTTTATGGGAAGCAATATAAATCAACAGTACAGAATTATGTGAGGGCAGGGTGCCCAGGCAAAATGGCCTTTGCTATAAATGTGTCAGAATTCAATCTGGGTGGAGTTTGCTATAGACAGACACATTCAATGAAGCCTAGTTATCTTGGAATAGATGGAACCTTCTGGGATTTTAGCTCATGTGAAGGCTGCAGAAATGAAACCATTGAGGGGCAATTTTTCAGTTCATTCAGTGGAACTTTGGAAATCTGGTTCTCACGCTATAAAGTAATCAAATCCAGTGGAGTATTTACACTATTTCTCTTTGCTTGCTTTGCAATTCTTCCATCTGAGGTTCCTTTAGGAGTTTGGCCACTGTGAAAAGGATTATCTTGTGGATCTATTTAAACTAGATGGTTAGACTGTTGTCATCTTGGGCTAACTGTCTGCTTTCTAGGCACATTACTTTTCCACTTAGTTTTTCTTATTGATTTGTAGAAGTTCTTTAGTGCCTACTGATATTTATATTTTATCTGTTTCTCTGTGCTGCAAATACCTATGTTATCCACTTGATATTTTACTTTTGTGTGTATGTATGTCTCTTTTTCCAGGAAGAAGTTTCAGTCAAATCTGCCAAGCTTGCCTTCTTTATTCCCCCAAATGATTTCAGATTTTAGTTATACTTAGGAAAGCCTATTCTTCACAAGATTATCTATGAACATTTTTTTTTCCTACTTTTACGTGGCTGTTACTGTTTTTATGTTTGTATGTTGGATTCACCTGACGTTTGTTTCTGTGTAGAATGTGAGGCAGTGTACTGAATGTAGCTCCTGCGCCTCGTGCATTCTCTCAGCCTCACCAGTCTCTGGGACCCCAGCCACTCCCCCACCTCAGCTGTCATGGCCGTGTTCATGCCGTCTTCGAGGCTCGCATTTGGAGCCTGCATCTCTGGCTTCTCATTCACCCCAAGACTAGGAAAGGAGTACAACTGGTGTCCCCAGAAGTTGTAGCCTTGGCCCGGGGACAGAACCCAGAAGCATGGAGAGTTAACCCCCATGGGTAAGAGCAGAGAGGAAGAAGTCAGAGGACAAACTCTCCCTCCTTGTGTTCTTCCGATGGGCTGATCAGAAGCACTGTTTTTTATGTAGTGGGTTTGTGGATGTCCTGCCTAGCTGTGTGACCAGCTGTGTCTCTTCATAAAGCAGTGGCCTTCTCAGTATCCATTGCCTCATGTTGGCCTTCCAAGCTTCCTTATCTCACCTCTCTTCCCTTACCCTTACTCTCCTGGAGTTGCATCTTGTAACAAATACTAGCACCTAAGCCTTGCTTCAGGTACTGTTTGTAAAATACCCAAGCTAAGAGAGAAAGTGATCCAAATCTATTTCTTTCCACATGGATAGCCATTTGTCATCAAACTATTTATTGGATAACCCGTCCTTCCTCATACATAGACCTGGTACTGTTTCTGGGTTCTATTCTCTTCCATTGATTTATTTGGCATTTTCTGAATTGTTATCAACTTTTTAATTCTTATGGATTTAGTGTTTGATGTCTGGTAGGTTCTCAATAATTCTTAAATTCACTATCAGCTTCTTTCTTTCACTCATGCCCTTGCATTCAGCTCTGTTTGTTTTTCTGTTTCAGCTTGTTCTCTTTCTCAGCACACAGTCTGCCACCTGCTCCTCTGATCTACTGCTGGCCTTTCAGCCAGCCTCATCTCTTAATTCAAAATTCGCTGTGATTTGAAAATTTATGAGAATAGCTGGTCATGTGAAAGAGATTGCTGGAAATCCCCTAATATCTATTCTCTCCTTTTTCCATGGTGAGAGAGCCTCTGACTTTTGACTGGACCTGTAATCTCCAGAATGGTGATACCATTTCCTAGACTCTCTCATATCTAGGTCTGGCCAGGGAACAAAGTTTTGTTTACTGGGACTTTAAGCAGAAATGTCACATGAAAGGTCCTGGTGAAATTCTTAAGAGACAGCATGAGATGCCCTTTGTCTCTAACCTGTTGCCAGAAGTGTAACAGCCGCCATCTTGGATCATGAAGCCAAGGCCGTGGGGGCAATTAGCTTAAAGGGACCTAGAGCTCTAGGTTTGTGAAGAAACCAGGACAGTCTTGAACCTCTTACACTGAGACATAAGTCAACTTTTGTATTATTTTAGACACTGCTATTTTTGGTTTTCTACCATTCACAGACAAATGAAATCTGAGCTACTATGTTGGAGGAAAGCAATGAAGACTGAAGGGCAGAAGGAGGGTATTGGCTGGAGCTGTGAGTTCAAATTTCCTCTCCTAGTCTTGTTTAGAAATGTAGGCACACTGAAGAAACTTTTAGGTTTGGTCTAGTATGACCCCTTGTAGACTTTGAGAAAATAATTTGATGAAACAAATGATTAGAAGGCTTAGAGAGTCATCCAAACCTCACAATAGCCCAGAAGCTTAGAAATCTACACCTCTAACCCCCACACTGAATCGAGTTATTGTTTCACAGAAGTTAAACACCATTTTTACATGGATTCTCGACAAAGGTAAGTGAAACAAAAGTACATATTTTCTGGTTATATGATTAAAATATTCTAGAGAGCTCTGTGTGTTGGGAGACTGGCTGAGAATTGCTATTAGATACTTCTGTTGTTGAAGTTACTATACATGCACACTTGGCTGTTGAAAAATAAAAAGAAGATACATTAATGAGGATTATCTTATAAAATCAGTACTTTTTTCATCTTTGTAAGTTATCATCTCAAAGATGAGCATTCTCTTCAGCCATGATGCTTGGCTCGGTAGTGGGTCAGCACATGCTGGTGTAAGCCTCCCTCTGCAAGGTTCAGGAAACCTTTTAAGACAAGTGTGAGGGGTTTTGCCTAGCGAAGGGAAAAGAGTCCTGGCTCTAGGGTCAAGGAGAGGGAGGTTTAGTTCCTTTCTTTGGAGCATATGTTTATGTGGACTCACACAAAGGCCTTGATCTCCCACACACCTGCAGATCTGGTTACGCAGAAGATTCCAGGAAACCAGAGCTAAATATTTTCCTATTTACATAATGACCATCAGAGTGAAAGTACTGGATGCAGGAGAGAAAGAAGGGCCAAAGCTCCACAGCTCTGGACTCGCTAGAGAATTCATTCAAATATCAGAATTATTCAAGTTGTGGCTGGCATAGGAAAAATGACAAGGGCCAGGAGCATGGGATACGTAAGAGTACCAATTGAAACTAAAACCACCAAAAGTAAAATCAAACAACCGAATGCTTGCTTTGGTGATTATTTCGTTCACTTTCTCTTAAAAGGCTGCTGGGCATAAGAAGGAAGAAATCAAAATAATAGGACAGGGCTTTGCAGTCATAATGTGGAGGTTGGTGGGCCTCTGGGAAAGGCCATCCTTCCCTGGTCTAGCCTTGCACCATCTCCTGCATGGAGACTCATCCATGGGATCTTTAGGTTAAGTTGTTACTCTAGAGTACTCTGTTTAAAGGTAACGATGGAAGCTGAGAGGATTATTTCATCAGTTCACTCTCACAGCGAAAGAGGAACTGGCTAGTTTAGGAGTTTAGGGCCTGTGGGAGTTGAATCTAAGACAGGTACGTTTTGAAAGGTGTTTAGGGCCAGGCCATTGCTGGGTTAAGACAGGGAGGTCAGGGCAGTGCCCCTGCCAAAGGCAGGGTGAGTAGTAAGGCACAGTTTTGTATCAAGGCAGCTTTATATTCAACTCGCCCTTGAGAAACCATATCCTAAATCCCCAGCCCTTTATTTACTAATTTACACCTTTAAAATGATGGGCTTTGGGGATAGCGAATATCTGTTCTTTTCATTTATGGTGTGCATATTCAGAGTTTTAGAAATCAGATGGGAAGCAAAGGAGCTGGAAAAGTTTATTTGTATGTTTGTGCATGGGGAGGTCCCAGTTTGATCTTAAGCAGTGTTCATTTCTTGAAGACAGGTCAGGACTCCTGGTGAGACGGAGCCTGCAAAGAATGTATTTGCATGAATGCTTGATGAGGGCTGCTAGGAGACAACTCATCCTAAGGGGAGAGGAAATCAGATGTGCTTGGTCTAGTGAAAGAGCATGCATCTTTGGCTTTCGGAGGGGAGGAGAAGGCTTTTGAATAATTTACACTGTATAGTACTTGGCTTTTTTTCTTGCCCAGCCTTTCATGGAGTACTGCCTTAGTCCCAGGAGAATGAGACAGATGGTGAAAATGGAGTCTTTCATTCAACTCTCTGTAAGCCATCCTTACACAGCAGTATTGTGTTAGTCTTCAGCTGGGCAAGGATCGTCCACAAAAGAGATGTGGATCTCACGTCTGTGTGGAACACAGTGTGGCTTTTGTGGACTGAGGACACCAGAGGATACAGCTTTGGAAACCTGAGAATTTCAATATATTGGTCCCCGCATAGGAGGTCCTCCAAGCAGGTGGCTGCAATGTTCAATAGAAACCACAGAGGAGAAAGTGGATATTCAGGAACTGTGCAGGTAGGGGCTGGGTAGGAGAGAAGTGGAAGAAAAGTAGGAGATAGCACATGGCAGAAGATCTGACTTGTTTGTGATCAGAAAAAGTGGTAATCTGCCCTCTTTATATATAAAGACACAACATCTGTCAAGCAAACATTCAAAAACTTGTAGTCCCAAAAGTAAAATGAATTATCTGGTGTACTCATCCCCCAACACACATACTCACACATTTTCATTGAGCCCCTTGCTATGACAGCACCCATCTGTAAGAAGGTTACAGAGATTGGGCATGAGATCTTTTGAGACAGTTGCATCTTGTGAGCCTGGGACCCCTTGTTATTCTTGGGGAGAGGGCATCAAAGATGCTGGTGTGATGCAAAGGTCCATAGAGCCCTGAGTGTGTGCGTGTGTGTGTGTGTGTGTGTGTGTGTGTGCACGTGCATGTGTGCTAGAAAAAAGTAAGATGATTTTCTTGTTGGTTTTATTTAGATCAAGATAATTGATCATATTTTTCTACTGTAACATACTGTCATCAGTCACAGTTGCTCACCATGACAGTGATTGTCAATTGTTGCCCAGTGAAGAGTGATGGGAGAATTCCTCTTTAGGTGAGAGTGCAGCCAACTCTCTAGTGAGATGTATGTGGTCAGGAGAGTCCCTGCGATACTTCTATTAAACTTTCTGGTGTGTGTGTGTGTGTGTGTGTGTGTGTGTGTGTAATCTCTGTCATTGATAAAGTTGCTAATTGCTTTAAGTATCTGGGATCCTTCCTAAATCCGGATTTTCAGGGCGGCAAAGTCATAGAACCCATCTCCACAGTCACAGATTTCAGATAACTAGTGCTCATAATGTCTATTTGACTCCTGCCAGATGGCATGAGGTGCTAATGAGCCCAGGGTTATGGGTTCAATTCTTGTACAGGTTCATGAGATGCAACTACCTCCATAGATCTCATGCCCCACCTCTTTAACCTTCTTACAGATGGGTGGTGTCATAGCAAGGGGGCTCAATGAGAATGCGTGAGTGTGTTGTGATGTGGGTATGCCAGATGAATCATTCTATTTTTGGGACTACAAGTTTGTAAGTGTTTACTTGACAGGTGTTGTATCTTTATACATAAAGAGGTCACGTTACCAATAATAAAACCAGTGTGCAATTTATTGAGCACCTGTGTAAGTACTTCACACAGATTCTATTATTGCTCACAAAAACCATATTAGATAGGTACTAATATTATCTTCATTTTATAGATGAGGAAAGGGTAGTTTAAAGTGATTAAATAACTTGTTCCAAAATGCTCAGCTAGTCGTAGCAGAAACAGGTGTAATTGAACCCATACTTCTAAAGTGTGTTATGTTCTTAATCTTTGTGCTGTGCTACCTCATTTTTTAAAAAGAAAAATTTAATCTTTAATTTGTTATTACAGAATCTTAAGTTAATTTTTTAAAATTTTTATTTTTAATGCTACCTCATTTAAAGTAATTTTTAAAATTTTAAAATATTAAGAAAAACATCAAGTCTATAAATATGAAAATATGGACTAACAAAAGAAGAACAAGATTTAAAAAAATCTTCAGTTCTACCTTCCGCGTAAGTGTGTGTGTGTGTTCTAATGTGCTTTGGTGAGCTAGTTCATGATTCACTTTGGTTTATAGATGGATTAACCAAAGCCCAATGAGGACATGAAGGAACATCACTAAAGTCACCCTTGCAGGTGATGCCAGGACAGGATTTCTTGGTTGTTCAACTACTGAGGAAATTAGATAAGACAAATAAAATTCTGCCAGGAAGCTGAGTTTGGGGCCATTTCTACCACAGCTAAGACCAGAAAACAGCAGGAATTTGAATCACTCCCATCCCTCAGAGAGCCCCAGGGAGGCAGCATTTTTCCAATCTGCTGAAGAGTCTAAGGGACCGCAGCTTAGGGACTTTTCAGTACACGAAGAAGCTGATTACCGGCTCTCCCATCCCAGGTAATGCTACTTTTCCCTGGGTCCTGGCTTGTTGGAATCTACTTTTCTCCATCACCAATATGAATGTTTGTTCCTGGATCCTTTTTACCAGATCTTTTTCTTGTTCTCTTTTGGTAAGGACTTTGAAATTGGGAGCATTCCAAGCAGAAAGCACTCTGTACAGCTCTGTAATTCTTGAGAGAGAGTGTGAGAGAAACCAAACCTAAATGATGAAATGCACGTGCTCTGCCATTTCCCCCAGCAGCGGGCTCTGTCATAATAGAGTCTGACGCTCCCGTTGGAATGCGTGTCCGGAGCTGGAAACAGTGCCCTGTTTCCCAGTGTCCACTGGGAAAGCAGTAAACGTCCTCTCCACTGAGATGTGAAATGTCAACATAATGGGCAGATTGGGATTAAGCTGGGCTCCTGGTAGCAACGGAGCAAAATAACTTCACTAAATAAATGGAGATAAGAGGATGAAACTGGTGCCCTTTCCCTGGCTGTCACTGACGGCCTTGGGGAAAAGATCTCAAAGGTTGCTGGGTCTAACCTCTTCACCTCTTCTGAAAATTGGAATCTGGACTTCCTTAATAGGAATACTTTTGGATCAAGAGGTCTCCGAGGGCTTTTGGGGGCTGACCTGCCCAACTGTTGCCACTCCAGGCCATCAGAGAAGTATTTGTTTAGGTAGCAGCACTCGTAGGAGAGTTTCTCGGAAGGTAATCTCCAGACCACCTGGACATATGGCATTGTTTCTGTAAATGAATATTCCTGGAAGATAGAAGAAGAGTCTTGTATCAAATGAATCAGAGGGCTTGAGACCTGGGAATATGTATTTCATCAAGCTCTAGGTGATTCTTATGTCAATTAGAATTTGAAAACCATTGACATGTATTCATAACAGACACCAGATGCCAGGCGCTAAGATGTATCACGTGTATGATGTTATTTAATCATTGAAAATCATCGTATGCGCAAAGTATTCTCATTGTATAAATGAGAAACTGTGTACGGCAAGTTTAACTTATTCTGGATTGCCCACTAGCAAGTGGTGAAGGTAGAATTGGCACCCAGATGTTTCTTCATGCTCATGAACATAATATTGCATCATTAAAAGCCACATTGAAGAGCAGGCAGCGATGTGGGGCAGAGTCAGAGTGAGTCTAAATATGGGGGAGTGTGAAAAATGCACAGGCATAATGAGTGTCTGCCTTTTGAAGTGGCTTTAAAAAGCAGGAGGACATTACTCAGTCAGTTTCCTTCAGTTGTATTAATTGCCCTAAATATTGTCTTGGTTGCATCCCATCCATGGCTGGCCATGTGTAGAAGAATAAGAGATAATTTCAGGCCTTGGAGAGCACCAGGGAAGGGAGTGAGGGAAACTGGAGACTCTCACTAGGGTAGGTTGGGGTAACAGAGTCTTCACTGAGTTTGACTTATCTTACACTTCCCATGTTGATGAAATACATATTCCGAGGTCTCAAGCCCTCTGATTCATTTGATACAAGACTCTTCTCGTATCTTCCAGGAACCTTTTGTACCCTATACTTTTGAGCTTTAAAGTTATTATGGACATGCTATTGTCATGGTAGTATAGTTCTAGACTCCCAGCTATGAAGATTCAAGGGATAGTTGATGTTTTATTTTTTTCCAGATCCAGGTTAGCACCAACCACGTATCCTCATGGTGGGATTATTGATTACCACTCTCAGATGAGAGTCTGATCCTAGAGGACAGAATTTGCATCTAGATCTAGGATCACCTTGAGATTACTGTCCTCCTATCTTCTCTGGCCTTGTCTACTTGTTGTCATCAATATCTTTTTGGAAAATACTTAGTTCTCAAATGTTGCACATTAAGGGGAAAATGTCAAAAGAGGTAGACCGTTTTCCCCTTCCTGCTTACTGCATTCTTCCTTCTTTCCTCTCTCCATTCTTGTCTTTCTTCTTTCTTTTTTTCCTGCCCTTCCAAAATAATGATATTAGTTATGGTTTCCCTATAGTTAATGCTATAATGTGTGGTTTAGACGAGGGGAATGATGTCAAGTTTATCAGCAATGAAATAATTTTTAGGAAAATATTTCTGACTCATCTGATAGAAATTTAAGAGCAAGTGACAAGATACCATCTTCTCAATATTGTGAAATCTTCCTTAGGTCCTGCATAGTTAGTATGAAATCAAATACTGACTAGGATAGATTTTGGTGGTCACGACTCCTTTGTCATTTGTGGGTGTAGGTTGGAGGTGCAGGATAAGTGAGGCTTCTGGATTTCTGAAAGACTTCTTTTCTAATCTCATAAGGAATCTCAAAGGTACACAGAATTCACATTCACACACACACACACACACTCTTCAGTGACCCAGGCCTTTTGGGAAAGGGAAGAAAAAAGCAGATTTAGAGATTCATATCCATCTTGCCCATTCATGCTATGAAAATGGTCTTCAATCACTTTGAGGAATCCTGTTTTGTTCCTCCCGCTGCTTTGTAAATATGTGAATTCTGCTGAGTAGGATCTGCAGGTGTCCTCATGCTAACCTTCTCTGTGTTCTTCAGCATTTGTCCTCATAAACAGGGTTCACCCTTAATAATTCCTGAAGATTATTTTGCAGTGAGAGGTGGTCAGAAACTGTCCTAGCAGGTCAGCATGTAGTTGTTGCCGGCTGGGTCTGACATACCTTAGCCACAGCCTGCTAGCATTTAGAAATTCCATCTAGCAGAGTGAAGGACACTGAGTTGGGAGTTAGGAGACCCATGCTACAGGTGGGTCATGATGCCAACCTAGGCAGGTGTGTTCTCCTCTCTGGGGCTTAACTTCCTCCATTGTTCCAATAGTCCTTTTCCCCAGAATAGTTCTATGCAGCTGCCAGAGTAGCCTAAATCACATAAACTCTTTGCTTCAGAAGCTCCCCATAACCTAAACAGTGGCTTTCAACCCTGACTGTGAGCCTAAACCAACGGTGAAGCAAATCACAACTTCTGAACATGGCTCCTGGGCACCTAAATTTGCTCAGAAAGAAATCTTTTAGATCCCTGGATGCCTGCATTCCAAAGACATTCAAATCCCTCCCCAGTCTGGCAGCAGATTCCTATGCCAGCTTCCTAGACTGCAGGGTTCCCCAGTGGGTGCCAAACTCAACAGTCCCACAGCTCTCTCTTCAAAGCCACACGTCCTCAGACCCTCCCTAAGCTCGGATGAGCCCTGCCACCCTTCTCCCCCAGGGATCCCCACTCTGGCTCCATACGCCAGCTTACGCGTTCCACAGGCAGAGTGGGGAGCCCCTTCCTGCAACCCTACAGCACTTCGTATTCATATTTTTATTTAATATTATAACTAATATTGTACTTTATGAAGCTTTTTCATTTTTATGTCTATTTCCCTTAAAAGAATGAGACTTACTTGAGAATAAAAATAGCATCATAAACAGTTTTATATGCCTTATAGCCTGCAACAGCAACACATTGTTTTAACATTCCATTTATAGGTCATCACATGTGTAAGTCCTCCCTCATTACATGTCTTTTTCATGATTTTTATGGTTACTTCATATATATTTTTCAAGATGAATATCATATTCATGTTTTAAAATTCAGCAACAGCCGCAGCAAAGAACAATTAAAAACAACAGGTGGGCGCGATGGCTCATGCCTGTAATCCCAGCACTTTGGGAGGCCAAGGCGGGTAGATCACCTAAAGTCAGAAGTTTGAGACCAGCCTGTCCAACATGGTGAAGCCCCGTCTCTACTAAAAATACAAAAATTAGCCGGGCGTGGTGGCGGGTGCCTGTAATCCCAGGTACTAGGGAGGCTGAGGCAGGAGAATCTCTTGAACCCAGGAGGCGGAGGTTGCAGTGAGCTGAGATAGCACCATTGCATTCCAGCCTGGGCGACAAGAGCAAAACTCCATCTGAAAAAACCAAAATAAAACTAAAATAACAACAAAAACAACAGCTTGGTGGGGTTTGGATGGACTTGTGTAAAATTTATGGATCAGTTTATTAATGGCATGCTTTCGGTATTAAGTTTTTTCATCTTGAGTATTGAGTGTTTATGCATGGGTTCAATTCTCCTTTTATTTCCTTCAGTAATTTACAGTTTCTTTTTTAATAAAAAATAGGTATCTTACATTTCTTGTTGAGTTTATTCTTAGCTAGCTTCTCTTTATTACTTTTTAAATGGATTTTTCTGTTTTATTTTTAAATTTGTTATTGCAAGTATGTTGAGGAGGTATTTTTATTTTCTAACTGGCCTCTGTCAGGAAATCTTATTCATTCTAATGGTCTTTTAGTTGATTCTCATAAATTTTCCAAATGAATAATCCAATGTTTTGCTGAGAATGTTACTTTTATCTTCTTCTTTCCAATAGTAATACCTCACTTGACAATTTTTCTTGTCTACCAATATGTAATAGAGCTTCTGTAACAATGTATTGTAATAGTTGTGGTAGCAGGCATCGTTGTTTAATGTGACTTTGATGGGAGTGCCTCAACTATTCTAGCTTGTTGGCTTTCAATAGACAAACTCTTTATCATTTTAAGGAATGTCTTTTTCCAACTTCACTACAATTTTTTTTTTTTTTTTTTTTTTTTTTTTTTAAAGACAGAGTCTCACTCCATCACCCAGGCTGGAGTGCAGAGGCGTGATCTTGGCTCACTGCAACCTCCGCCTCCCGGGTTCAGGCAGTTCTCCTGCCTCAGCCTCCTGGGCAGCTGGGATTACAGGTGTATGCCACCACACCCAGAATTTTTTTTTGTATTTTTAGTAGAGACAGGGTTTTTCTCATGTTGGCCAGGCTGGTCTCGAACTCCTGACCTCAAGTGATCTGCCCACCTTGGCCTCCCAAAGTGCTGGGATTACAGGTGTGAGCCACCATGCCCAGGTTAACTTTTTAAAATGGAGAAATGAACGTTATGTTTTGTCAAATGTCCTTTAGGCATTTTTTGAGCTGGTCATCTGTTTTCCTTTGACCTACTAATAAATTATACAAATAGAATTCCTAACACTGAATGACCGTGTATCCTTGGAATAAAACTTAACCATTTTGAATGATTCTTTTAATATTTAGGTTGATCACATTGAAAGACATATTTATGATCTTTACATATTATACATTATATTAATGGTGTGTATAGTATGTGCCCTGTGTGTCCATGTTTGTGGTGTGATGTGTATGTGTGTTGACTTAGTCAAGTTTTGAATATCAGGCTTGTACTAACATTTTAAAATTAATGAAAACCTTGCCATCTTTCTGAATTCTCTGAAATAATCTCAAAAGCTTAGGAATTACATAGCATCTATGCCTGGTAATTATTTATTGTATTATTTTAAACTTTTTTCCCTCCAATTTCACTTAGCATATTAATGTTTCTATCTCAGTCAGTCATTTTGTCCATTTAAATGTTCTAGAAAATTTTCTAATACTTTAAAATGCATAGAATTATATGCATTATTGCCTTGTAATTTTTTTATAGTTATATATCTCTTTTCTCTTTCTCAAAGTTATTAATATTTTTCTTCTATTTTCTGCTCAGCTTATTATTTTCAGTTCTTTCTAGTTCAATGTTTAAGGTATGTATAAAACCACAATTTTTTTCTAAATAAACTTTGGTCGCAGACTATGCATTTTGATATATAGTTTTGTAAATGTCCCTTTTTTTCCCCTCTAAAAACTCTTAAACTGCAAATTTGATTTCCTCTTTGACTCAAGAGTTATTCAGGGAAGTGTTTTTATCAGCTTCTTTCTAACACAGACCATTTTCCTGCAGTAACATGAAAGGCACTGCACGCGCATTTTCATAGCGGGGGATGTTGAGGGAAGTCTAGACTCAGACAGTACTGATATGGGCTGCGTGGGTGAGGTGGTGGATAAGCAGTCTGGGATTCCTCAGAGAAGGATGCAAAACAGAGGGCAAAGGACACTGAAAGCAAACTTGAGACAATTAAAACTCCAAGATTTCATCAAGGGCTGGCCTTGGTTTTGGCTACTCCACAGGTGCTGGGTGACGGGTGCGGTTCTCCCCCTGGACCATCTCTCTGGGCTTAGCAGCTTGGAGTGCTGCGTGGGGTGTTGAGATTCACGCAGTCACATCCCTCCTTCTCAGAATGTGTAGCACCCACTCAGGAAGCCAGCATGACAGGGCCAGGTGCATTTGCCACCTGGGCAGAGGAGACCTTAACTGCACCTTCCTTCTTTCCCCACTTGAGGGATCTCCTCACAGGAAATATGAAAAGGGTCTCCCTGTCAGTGGCAAAATGTGGAAAAGCTGGATAACAAATTTCTTTCTCTCCCGTACTTGGATTGTACCAGCAGCACCTGTGCCTGCTGCTACACAGGATGGTGCAACTCCCTTTGGCAAAGATGGATTTCATTTTTGGGTCCTGTTTTTTCTTTTTTTTTCTTTTCTCTTTTTGGTAAGGCTGAAAAATTGACTATGTGCAGTTTGACAAGTAAAGCTTCAAAATGACAAGCAGTGGCTTGGAGGAAGCCTGAAATAAATGGAATGTGGGGTCAGCCTGTACCTTTTTCTTTGCCACAGGTGTCTGAATTCATTTTTCCTTTCTTTTTTGTTTCATCTGGCACAGGTTTGGTGGATCCTGGGTGTGGGGGGAGCAGGTCTGCCCACCTCTTTCCTGTTGTTTTTGATTTGCCGATTGGGTAGAGCTGTCCGAGCTTTGGCTGAGGCAGCACTGTGCTCTCACCCCATGTGAATGGCTTTGGAAGTGAGCTTCCTGGTTATTCTGCCTTGTGCTGGCACTTCTGTGTCGCAGACGCCAAGCAGGACATCACATGATGGCTGGCAGCCCACACCAGACACAGTCTGAATTTTAGTAGGAAGGTCATGCCCTTTGATCTGGAACCAGACTAGGGACTATATGAATCTTGAAACAAACAAACAAACAAACGAACAAACAAAAAACTCAAAACTGTATGGGGTAATGTTGGTCCCAGGAGAAGTTTGGGGAAGTCTATTACCAGGCTCATCCACCTCTTTTTTGGATATTTTCTCCAAATATGATGGTGCCTTCATTTTCCCTTTACAGAATTTGTTATTTTTTCTCCCAGTTCACGTCTTTTCTCAAGAAATGATATGTTAGACTCATTCATCCTGAGGCAATATTTCTCCATTGTAGTAGAGGATGCTAGTCGTCTCCTGGTACCAGTCCTTCAAGCACCAGGATGCTTGAATTTTTTCTGGGGCCACGGCTTCCTACAATAAAAGACGACATTTGTCAGCCTCTTCTGCAGCTCCTCATGCCCAATTGCCCAAGTGACTCAGTTCTGGTCTGTGCTGCCTCTTCCCTGCCCCACCCCTCCTGTCCCTCTGAACTGAGTGCAGACATGCTGGGGCCTTCTTGGGCCATGTGAAAGGACAACAAACTGAAGATGCCAGAACAATAAGATGGAAGGGGCCTGGGTCTTGACACGGAGAGGCTTCCATATCAGCCCTGTTTATGCTTAGTCTCTGGGGTTTGGGATCTGTTCTCGCCGTTCATCTTGATCCTGATGAGTGTCCATGAGATGTGACATATGAGTGGTGCAGCAGCTCCTGTTCTGCCAAAGGGAATCAGTGAAGGCAGTTGTCTAGCTTCACTCTACTGCTTCAGACACTTTGTCACCTCATCACACCTGTGTCCAGCGACCCCTTTTACAGTTTACATTGATAGACTTTCCATGTAAGTTTTCTACTTCTGAGCTCCCTCCAAGTCTTACCTAACATAGCATACGTTAGCAGGAGAAAGCTCACTCTCCTTTCTGAGCAAACATTTTGAGAAATATAGCTGTCCTTTAAAACTGTGTTCTGTATGCTTTTACACTGTTGGTGGGAGTGTAAATTAGTTCAACCATTGTGGAAGACAGTGTGGCGATTCCTCAAGGATCTAGAACCAGAAATACCATTTGACTCGCAGTACCAGAAATACCATTTGACCCAGCAATTTCATTACTGGGTATATACCCAAAGGACTATAAATCATTCTGCTATAAAGACACATGCACACATATGTTTACTGCAGCACTATTTACAATAGCAAATACTTAGAACCAACCCAAATGCTCAACAATAGACTGGATAAAGAAAATGTGGCACATATACACCATGGAATACTATGCAGCCATAAAAAAGGATGAGAACATGTCCTTTGCAGCGACGTGGATGAAGCTAGAAACCATCATTCTCAGCAAACTAACACAGGAACAGAAAACCAGACACCACATGTTCTCACTCATAAGTGGGAATTGAACAATGAGAACACATGGACAGAGGGAGGGGAACATCACACATTGGGGCCTGTCAGGGGGTGGGAGGCAAGGAGAGGGTGAGCATTAGGACAAATACCTAAAGCATACGGGGCTTAGAACCTAGATGACGGGTTGATAGATGCAGCAAACCACCATGGCACACATATACCTATGTAACAAAACTGCACGTTCTGCACATATATCCCGAACTTAAAGAAAAACTGTGTTCTGTGTGTTGATTTTAGAATTGGCAATAAACTCTTTTCCTTGAGTATGAAGATGAAGTGTTCTCTCTTGTTTCTATAAAGAGAAGTTGTAATTTTGGATACTTTCCTGGCATGAGATATATTAGGTAGAGATAAACAGTTAGAGACCACTTGTTTGAAAATAAGCGTGTGAAATAATTTAGGGCAGGGGTTGGGAAACTAAATAGCCAGCTAGTCAATGCGTTAGGCCTTGTGTGGGCAGTATAGTCTCTGTTGCAAACACTCAGCTCTGCCATTGTAGAGTGAAAGCCATCATAGACTATATTCTAGTGAAACTTTGCTTACAAAAACAGGTAGCAGACTGGATTTGGCCTGTGGACTGTAGTTTGCTGACCCCTGATTTAGGGCCCTTTTAAATTATTCACTTTTTAAGGAAGTTGTATACAAGGTCATTTAAAGGGTTTTAAAAAAAAATTCTGCTTGTCTTGAGTCAGAAATATTTTGACAATTGCATTAATAATAATCTTATTTAAAATATGTGAGCATTTTGTTTGGCTCTTTGCTTGGACAGCAACTATCTTACTATTTGCAAATTAGAAGAGCTGTCTCTGACAGCCCATCTCCTCACACTGACTGCATGATATAAACACTCGTTGATAAACCAGCAAGGGAAAGGCAGAAACTTGGGTCAGGAGTCTAGGCTCCTAGGTGTTTTGGAAATATTTTGGAGGAAAGTAGATTGACTCAAGACAACAAACCTGAATTTTCAGATCTGGATTCTTTTATCTTTAATATTACTTCCAAGAGTCAACCAGAAGATACTGGGGATGGAAAAGGGTTCAGTGATTTCTGTGTGTCTTCTTTGCTTTCAGAGTTAAAATTTTAGTATACGCCTTCCAAAGTGGGAAATCAAGGATTATGTCTTGGCCCTTTTCCCCACAAGGGAAGAACCAGAGATGATTGGGAATTTTTGTGCTTTCTTTTATATGTAGGAAATCCTGACAGGAAAGAGGCACACCCATGAAGAATTTAGCAAAACGGAGAACCATGTCATATACTGGAGGATTTATGTACGTGCTTCTAAGGTACTTTTGTAGTAAAGTGTCCCTGTGGTTTTGGAATAAGGAATGAGATGTTTGTTTTCCTCTTGGCAACTTGTGCCCATGCTTTGATTTTAATTCCTTTAAATTCAAGAAGTCTTCACTGAGTACTCTCTATGTGCTCATGCCATATAGGCTGGAGAGGAAAAAGAATGGGAAATCCAGGAGCTTCCTTAGAGAAAGGAGGCTCCCGTTTTTGTTTTGAAATCTTGTTTGCATAGATCAGCATCCCAATGCAGGACAACCCTGGTGGTTTCCTCTGCTGTTATTTATCAGTAGCTAAAAAGAACATACGCAACTGTGGTCCCTCATTCCATCCAAAATGGTTAAGACTTTTCCAGGTGTCCTCTTTCTTTCAGATGTGACCTGGAAGCACATGATTTTTTTTTTAAAAAATTAATTTTATCACAGGTGCCCTCAGAAAAGCATCTCTGTGGTAGTCAAAGGGATCCAGGCTCACTTCATCAAACTCCTGTTTCAGGCCCAGGGAAAACAAAGGGTGTGGACACAAGATAACCCCTCTGCAAACAGGGTGCCCTTTGAAAGTTAACAGCAAATATTCGAGGTGCTTTCCTTCCCGCCTTTCCTCTCTTAAGCCATATATGGTAGAGGGACCCAAAGGAATAGCCTTACTGCTTTAATAAAAGGAATTCTTTGATGTGGGAGACTGAACTGGGCTGTTTGCAGTCCGTGGTGGGAGGGAGTCAAGGAAAGGGGAATTAGAGTTCATGGAGGAAGCTGTAGTCTTAGGTCAAGCTGAAATATGACCTTTGGAGCTTGCCAAGTCCATGAGGGAACATAAGTTGCCTTTGGACAGCTTCTCAACGGCCCCTCTGTGGCTCTGAGTCCCAGGCCCTGGTAAGACGATGCTCTCTGATCTGATCTTGGGGGTCAGCCCACTCAGCAGGGACCCGCCCTATCGACACGGGAGGCTAACCAGTGGCATCTTTTCAGCAGAGTCACAAGACTCTTACTTCAAAACTCTAGCTACCTACCTCTGATAATTGGCTTTTTTGTTAACCAATAAAGAGGAATAATTTTTTTTAATGTTTCTGTTCCTACAGAATTAACTAGGGCAAGGTAAATGATCTTTTACTACTTCATTTGGAAGCTTCCAGTCCTTCCCGAGCTCTGTCAAAATATTTCAAAATGTGTCTTGCTGATCCCAAATCTCTGAAAATGACCACTGCTTTCTCTGACCCAAACTCTTGTTTGTTTAACCCTCTTAAAAGTTGGAAGTGTTGCCAAGCCATAGTTTTTGTTTGACTTTGTTTTTTATTCTCCCAGAGACACGAGCAACATCAATTTTAAAAGGGACCATGTTTATGGTTATTGTCTAGTTGGTTTGCCTTACTAGTTCTCAGGCACTGACCTAAGACTGTTGTGTTTGGGTTCCCAACACTACCAAGAATGTTGACATTTTAAAGTCCCTCTCAACTCTCTCTCTTGCTTTCATTCTCCCTCTCATACCCGCACAGGCATACGCACTCAATGCTAAAGGAAAAAAGACTTTACTTAAAATATGCACAGAAAAGAGATTTATTTTTATTTTGTCTTTGTGTCACTAGCATATTTTTAGGGCAATGTTTTCTTTTGGAATTTCAAATTAGTTTCTGGAGCCTCGAAGTTTGTGGTGACATGTTGGTGGCCAGTCAGAATGCCTCGGAGAAATTTTGAATCAACAACCATCATGCTCTTCCAATTTGGTTCTTTTCCAGGTCTCTTGAGTTTGGAAGCCAGGTTAGAAGTCTTCTGAGCCCTGGTATTATTTTCTCAGGAAATTTCATGGGAGAAAACAAAGACCTTGAAATCAGAAAGTCTTAGGCTAAAATCTTCCCTTACATTCTAGCTGTGTGAACTTAAAAACCTTATTTGATTTCTCTAAATCTCAGTCTCTTCATGTGCAAAACACCCTGCTTCTGATCCTTCTGAAGATTAAATGCATTCATATCTACAAAACGGCTACACCAGTGTCTGATGAAAGTGCACAAGTGATGTTTCCTGCTCTTCCCCAACTTCCTCCATGCCTGTCTATTGGCTTCTCTGCTTGTGTGGGATGCAGAACAAAGGCAAGCTAGCCTATTGCTCTATAGCAGCTCCCCTGAGGAAGGGAAGTTGAGACTCAGCATCTGAGGCTGCATGTCCAACTGAGGGAGGGCAGAGAGAGTGCCTGCTGGATGTACTGAAGGCAGGGAAGGCACACTCACGTTTGCTGTGACCTCTTATGCACCAGGCTCTTTAGGCCTTTCATCTGTACATTCATTCATCCTAGGAATCAGTTGGGAGACTGAGCTGTTGGAGAAACTGAGCATGTGGTCTGGTTTAGCTGGGTGGTGCCTGGCTGCTAGACACAGAACAAGAGTGAAGGACAGTACCTACTCCTGATAATGGGGTGATGCCTACAGAATGGACATTGAAGGTCAGCTATGTAAGAGCCACCTGTTCTCTTTTGACCTTACTTAGTTGTAGGGTGTGAGAAACGATACTACACACAACGTCCTCCAGAGGCAAGAGGCCAGGTTTTAGGAACTTTGCCAGTTCCCTTTGTACATTCAACGTGATCATACTTGAGGACAGACTCTTTGGGTGTTTTCCACAGTGCTGAACACATTGTTGGCACAAAAAAGATGAGTTGTGTTGAATAATGGAAAGACTAATCCCTCTTCCTAATGCTGCAATGCTGACAGCTCCTCTTACCATAGACTATTAACAGGGTGGCATGCTTTCTTTTCATCTTCATTCTCAGTCTTTCAGAGCACAGTGTTGTAGCTACCAAGTCATTGGCCGCTGTGTTGAGTGGCCGATGACCTGCTAGCTTAATTCACAAGAAGCCAGTTTTCAGAGGTAGGTGCACTTATGTTTGCTCAAAAAGGCAGCAATGGTACTCTGAGAGAACTTTATTCATTGTATCTGGTCCCTATTTGCCCAATTTTATGGATTTTCTTTAAAATTCCTTCCATAATTCTTGACCTTTGGACTATAACTTCAAATGATTATAGACACTGGCCTGTGCTGTCTCACCTTTCTTTTTATATATGAAAATGAACAGTACAAAGCACAGACCCAGGTCTTAAAATAAATAAGCTCATTCAAAAGAAATCAAGCTACAATTAAGTGAAGACATATTACAAATTTAAGAACATCACCATCGCACTAGCAGCACATTAAGGCCACCAGTGCTCAAGGATCTTGGCTATCCCATTGCTTTGACATTGATGTATAGGCTAAGAATGTTGACTAAATTAACAGACTTTTTAAAAAGTATCTTTTAATGTAGGATGCTATTAATACTTCCACTGAGCTTGTAAAAGATCCCTGGGGTGCTGATCCTGAGAATCTATTAATGGAAGTGCACACATGAAATGACTTGCTTCCTTTATGTAGATGCTTACTCAAGAAGATGTTGGACACTGGGGACGTTTTGTGACCAGGAAAATACAGTCATCTGAAAAGACTGGCAGAGAATACTGCCTGGAGGGGGATGTGCTCCTTGTCTGACTCCTTTGAAGATCAAAAAGATAGAGGGAGGATTGGGAGAGGGCTGAGCAGGAGAGAGCAGGAAGGAGACACACTGAGCTGGTACACATCATGGGATGAAGGCCAGGAGAAACCAGGCTGCAATAAGTTAGGAGTCTACAGAGAGGGAGATATGAGAGCCATTTTGTGAAACTTTCCCCTAAGAATGGAATCATGCTTTGTGAGGTAAACTAATGGGGGGATAACATAGGTTTAATGGGGGACCTTTCAAGGACCTCTTGACTTGGTGCACCTATTCATCTCATCAGTGATTATTCTGTGCCCAAGACACCATAGTGTCCTGGATTTACAAAAGATAGGCATGAGACTGTCTCTGCTTTTGTAGAATCAACAATACCTCTGAAGGACCAAACCTATGCAGAGACATGCTCAATTTCATTTATCTAGTGATGGAACTTCATGGAAAGATGGCTAATGCAACATAACATACACTACATGAAGGATGAATCAGACTTCCAAAACTATAGTCTAATTCACTCCTTGAAAATATTCTTTTTCTTTCTTTTTTTTTTTTTTTTCCTGTGGCCCAGGCTGGAGTGCAGTGGTGCAATCATACTTTTGTAGTAAAGTGTCCCTGTGGTTTTGGAATGAGAAATGAGACGTTTATTTTCCTCAACTCACTGCAGCCTCAACCTCCTGGGCTCAAGCTATCCTCAGGCATGTACCACCATGTCTGGATAATTTTCTTTTTCTTTTTCTTTTTTGTAGAAGTGGGGGTCTCACTATGTTGCCCAGGCTAGTGTTGAACCCCTGGTCTCAAATGTTCCTCATGCCTTGGCCTCCCAAAGTGCTGGAATTACAGGCATGAGCCACTGTGCCTGGCCAAAATATTTTTCTTAAACAATGAGTTCTTTTTCATATTACCATGAATTTAAAATTTCTCTGAAATGACCAAAGACCACTTTTTGTTTTCAAAAGATATACAGTACATCCAGGGAGCTGGCTTCCAAGTTTCTTTTTTCTTTGCTGTTAAAGGCAACAATGGAATAAGACTTCAGAAGGTCTCTGTGCTCAGGATGGTGAATGATGTAGGAAATAGCTCCGTACTAGGGACTCTGGGGCAACCAAAACATTGGTACATTGCTTGTCTAGCCTAAACCAGTGGGAACTATTCTCTGGATGCTTTTCCCCTTACGTTTTCCCCTTTATTGCCCTCATGGACAAACTCATACATTGATTTATTCAACATATATTTTGACCTCCACCTATGTGTTAGGCACAGTATCAGGCACTGGGCACCCCATTACATACAGGTCCAAGCAGTCCCTGCCCTCAAGGAGGTTAATATCTAGCCAGAGAGACAACATTATTAGTTTAATAATAATTATACACGTTTTTGTTGTGTAATATTACTGCTTAAAGATTACAATTAGCTCAATTATAAGATAATTTACAAAATGCCCAACGACTAATGAATATGGGTAGTCATTGTCCAAATAGCTGTGCACACATCATCATTTAATTATAGTACTGAAGACAGCTGCACTGGCAAAGTGCAGGGTGTGATGAGAGTGGGTAATGGGGCAACCTGCCCTAGCCGCAGGGGCTGGGGAAAGCTTTCCTGAGGAAGTGGCTGTTAGCAAAAGACTGGGAGAGGGAATAAAAGTTGGCCCGGGAAGAGGAAGTAGAGAGGAAGGACAGAAAATGGTCCAGGCAGAGGCAACAGGACAAGAAAAGGCCCTGGGGCCTTTGAAACCCAGTTCCACTCTTGATCTGCAAACCTTTTTAGGGATACTACAAACTAGTCCCCTTACACTTTTCAAACAAAGAGAGTTCACAGTGCTTTCAGTTGCCCACTTTTATATGCTATCAACAAATTCCTAGCTCCCCCCATTTTCTCCATTTCCTCTGTCCTCAGTCTTCCCCCCACAGTGTTCAGTTACACAAAAGGGCCTACGTGTTTACCAGCCTCTTTCATGACCCTGATCAACAAGCTTTGGTGGAAGACATCTGCGTCTAGACAAAAGATTGGTTAGTCTTTGTGAAAGTAAATGTTCCACGTCTGACTCAACCTGACCAAGAGCCAAGAAAAGGATGATAAGGCTGATGGAAAAGATTTTCTTAATGAATGGCAGTAAAAAACAGCCCAAAGGTGAAGGCAAGAAACAGCCTTGGTGTTTCCTGGGGCTCCTGGCCCCAGACAGGCTCTTGAAAGCACTCAAGGATAAGAGGTAGGAAGGTTATTTCATTTCCTCTCTGCCTCTTTCTATTTTAACACTTTCCTCCCTCTCACGCTAATCTCTATTCCCCACACCTCATGCTCAAAACAGTCACCCTTTAGGTTTTGGGGGGTAAGTATTACCCCTTTCAAGTGGGTTAAAATGTCTGGAATGGAGATTATTAAAGCTAACTTTCCTGGTTATACCTTTTTTTTTTTTTTTTTTAAACTCTTTCAACTTCAGTATCTTGGAAAGTTGAGCCTATCATATCACCAGGAGGATTGAGAGTTTAAACAACAATTACAAATTACGTGGAAAGTTGGAAAAAGAAGAGAGTTCCCTCTATTCTTCCCTGGCATCTCTGGGTGGCTGTTGTCCATGCTGGAGGAGTTGTCACCTTATGTGCCCTTGAGGGACCTCCCCTCAGGAATCAGCAGTGGGATAACCTTGCAGGTGTTTTTTGTTTTTTCCCAGAAATAAGAGACGTAAGCAAGGTTTAAATTCATAGCCAAGTAACATAATTTGCTGTCAAATTTAATGAGAAAAATTTAAAAATTAAAGCCACATCTAATTTTTAAAATACATGATTATGTACTGAGCTCTTTCAACACAGAATCTTACATAGGTCTTCTTTCCTTTTACAATGATCCTTGTAAGGTAAGTCACACAACTGTTTATTTTACAGAAAGGAATCTGAGGCTCAAAGAAATTAAGTCTCTGGCTCAAGATCATAACTAGTAAGTGGCAGAACCGGGATTTGACAGGTGTTTTGATTTTAGGTCCAATGATCTCTTTGTTACACTCACTTCCTCACCTGTGGGCTGTGAGGGACTTTGTTGCTTAAATAAGCTAGGGCTCCAAGAACCCAAGCTTCTAGGATAAATAATAACCCAACCAATGCAGGGTGTCCACTATGATTCACCGTGGCGTCCTTACGTATTTTGGAAGACAGCAGTATTTGAAGGATAAGATTTTTTTTTTTCCTCTAGGATCCTCTAGGAAGGCAACTCAGGTCCTATAAAGAAGCTGCTGATTTTCACCCAGTGGCTGGGAATTTGATGGGTCCCCCTAAGATCTGCAAAGGGATGAAACTGGAACTTATTCTCCAGTTCTATGTCTAGGGTGGGTGGAGATCGATATTTTGGGAGAAAAATGGGAGCATAATGTAGAGGAGAGCCCCTGAAGGTTTGGGTTCCTTGTGCTGAGACCTAACATCCTACAACATCTCCTTTGCAACTGGGAGTGCTTTGGAATGTTTAAAAACACGTGCTTGAGTTGAGCAGTGGAGGCTCAGAGGACACTCTTGCATGAGGTGGAAAGGCTCAAAGTCCTGGCCTTCCTTCTCCTTGTCTCTTGACCTTGCTTCAGGGGGAGAGATGGTGAAGTGGAATGATAATGGATCTTGGGCATCAGACCCAGGTTCAAATTTGTGTTCTACTATTTTTAGGCTGTGTAGTCTGGACTTCAGTTTTCCTATTTGTCAAGTGAAGCTTAATAGTACCTCCTAAGAGGATTTCCCTGGGGATTGCATGAGCGAATAAGGGTTCCACATACTCTATGTCAGAGCCAGTGCTCAAACGTTGGTCCTCACATCCTGCACAGAGGACCTCTTCATATGTGATTATTTGTTTTATTTTACTGTCATTTATTATTTGTTTATCGTGTGCTCCCCCATTAGAATGTAAGCCCTAGAAGGAGTTATATAATATTGTTTGTTGAATAAATGATATTACTTTGAATACATAATACTCTAAGAAGTTCCAGGCACTGTAACAGTTCCAGCAACAGTTCCAGGCACTGTTCCAGTGCCCAGAACATGGTAGATTTGAATAAATAATATTACTGCAATACATGCATATGTCAATGTTAAAGTGGAGAGATAGAAGCACTCAGGAAGCATAAAGAAAATTCAGCCTCTTAAAATCTGGGACACCTTGAAACCATGAGTGGCTCAGAAAGAGCCAGCAGTCTCTGGCTATTGCTGGCTTTGCTGGGCTGCCCCCCTAGAGGCGTGAGGTTAGGATATTGTGTAACGACAAATGACACAGAGGGGACTGTCTGTTCTGGCTTCTTATCTAGAAGCCCTGCACCTCTATAACCCCAGGGCTGTTCTTGGAGCTGTGGCTCAGAGAGTCAGGCTGACAGCACAAGGACAGGGAAAAAGGTCCTATTCTGACATTCAGAGGATCTGTCTTTTCTCTCCTGGGTCTCCAGGACCCTATCCTTCTGAGCTAGATGCACCTACGTTTTGAAAATGAAGATGGGTAGCTGTGCTGAAGCTCTTGTCAGCATGCAATTGAGATACTCTTTGGCCAAAGCAGAAATTGGTTGGAATTCTGGCATCCTTGGCTTAGAAAAGAGCCTGAGCAGGTAGATTTTTCTGCTTGTGTTAGCTTATGAGAAAGCCCAGAGTCTCTGCATGAGCTTCTAAAATGCCTAATACTTCTTACACAATTCAAGTTGGACGGCAAGTGTCAGTGATGCAGCACCTTCAGACAGCATTTCCCAGAAAGTATGCTACAGATACCATGTCTTTGTCAAAGGCGGCGGCACGTGTGCAGCTGTGATGACAAATGCAGCGGGTGTTGCTAGTTGCGGAAACACAGCTAGGGGTTTGGTTAACCACAGGAAAGCTGGGGTGAGGGGCAGTCCCTCCGTTCTTGTATTCTCTCCCTAGATGATTCAGGGTGGTCCCTAGTTCAGCCTCAGACACGAGACCCAGATCACTGCAGGCTGTCTGTTGCCAAGCGACGGGAACCATTTGGCACCAGCCGTAGAGAGCAACCAGAATGGGCAGAGCAGAGACTTAGAGCCCAGAGGACTGGAAGACGCTGCCACAGCCGCACGCACTCTAGCCTGATGCTACAGGTCTGTCACTGATGATACTAAAAGTTACGCGGTTGACAGATGCTATTTACAGCCAGAACTGAACAAACTCAAACACAATTCTATGTCGAACAGTCAGGGAAAATAAAGTTAAAACACCAGCAATTCCCATGCCATATCATTTATACATATCTTTGTGTTTGGAATTCACTTCTGAAATTCACTTCCTCTTGTGGGCTGGCTGGTGTAAGACATAAAAGTGAGCTCTGGGTCACTTTGGTCTTTTTTGATTCAATTTGAGCACCTTCCACCCCATGATTGTCCTAGGCATTGGAGAGAAGGTCTGTGCCCCTCTATCAGATGGTGAGTTCCCTGAGGACAAGAGCCTTATGAATTCATTGGCGATGTCTCCCCAGTCCATCCCATCCCACACACACAGTGCCTAGTGCACCACTTTGGGCATTTTGGCACTTGGTAAATATTTGCTGAACGGAAGAAAGAAACTCTTTTTTTCACTTCTCTTCTGCTGTCACTGCTAGGCATTACATGTCTTTTTTTTTTTTTTTTAAATTTAAGTTTTAGGGTTCATGTGCACATTGTGCAGGTTAGTTACATATGTATACATGTGCCATGCCGGTGCGCTGCACCCACCAACTCGTCATCTAGCATTAGGTATATCTCCCAATGCTATCCCTCCCCCCTCCCACCACCCCACCACAGTCCCCAGAGTGTGATATTCCCCTTCCTGTGTCCATGTGATCTCATTGTTCAATTCCCACCTATGAGTGAGAATATGCGGTGTTTGGTTTTTTGTTCTTGCGATAGTTTACTGAGAATGATGATTTCCAATTTCATCCATGTCCCTACAAAGGACATGAACTCATCATTTTTTATGGCTGCATAGTATTCCATGGTGTATATGTGCCACATTTTCTTAATCCAGTCTATCATTGTTGGACATTTGGGTTGGTTCCAAGTCTTTGCTATTGTGAATAATGCCGCAATAAACATATGTGTGCATGTGTCTTTATAGCAGCATGACTTATAGTCATTTGGGTATATACCCAGTAATGGGATGGCTGGGTCAAATGGTATTTCTAGTTCAAGATCCCTGAGGAATCACCACACTGACTTCCACAATGGTTGAACGAGTTTACAGTCCCACCAACAGTGTAAAAGTGTTCCTATTTCTCCACATCCTCTCCAGCACCTGTTGTTTCCTGACTTTTTAATGATTGCCATTCTAACTGGTGTGAGATGGTATCTCACTGTGGTTTTGATTTGCGTTTCTCTGATGGCTAGTGATGATGAGCATTTTTTCATGTGTTTTTTGGGTGCATAAATGTCTTCTTTTGAGAAGTGTCTGTTCATGTCCTTTGCCCACTTTTTGATGGGGTTGTTTGTTTTTTTCTTGTAAATTTGTTTGAGTTCATTGTCGATTCTGGATATTAGCCCTTTGTCAGATGAGTAGGTTGTGAAAATTTTCTCCCATTTTGTAGGTTGCCTGTTCACTCTGATGGTAGTTTCTTTTGCTGTGCAGAAGCTCTTTAGTTTAATTAGATCCCATTTGTCAATTTTGTCTTTTGTTGCCATTGCTTTTGGTGTTTTGGACATGAAGTCCTTGCCCATGCCTATGTCCTGAATGGTAATGCCTAGGTTTTCTTCTAAGGTTTTTATGGTTTTAGGTCTAACGTTTAAATCTTTAATCCATCTTGAATTGATTTTTGTATAAGGTGTAAGGAAGGGATCCAGTTTCAGCTTTCTACATATGGCTAGCCAGTTTTCCCAGCACCATTTATTACATAGGGAATCCTTTCCCCATTGCTTGTTTTTCTCAGGTTTGTCAAAGATCAGATAGTTGTAGGTATGTGGCGTTATTTCTGAGGGCTCTGTTCTGTTCCATTGATCTATATCTCTGTTTTGGTACCAGTACCATGCTGTTTTGGTTACTGTAGCCTTGTAGTATAGTTTGAAGTCAGGTAGCGTGATGCCTCCAGCTTTGTTCTTTTGGCTTAGGATTGACTTGGCGATGCAGGCTCTTTTTTGGTTCCATATGAACTTTAAAGTAGTTTTTTCCAATTCTGTGAAGAAAGTCATTGGTAGCTTGATGGGGATGGCATTGAATCTGTAAATTACCTTGGGCAGTATGGCCATTTTCACGATATTGATTCTTCCTACCCATGAGCATGGAATGTTCTTCCATTTGTTTGTATCCTCTTTTATTTCCTTGAGCAGTGGTTTGTAGTTCTCCTTGAAGAGGTCCTTCACATCCCTTGTAAGTTGGATTCCTAGGTATTTTATTCTCTTTGAAGCAATTGTGAATGGGAGTTCACTCATGATTTGGCTCTCTGTTTGTCTGTTGTTGGTGTATAAGAATGCTTGTGATTTTTATACATTGATTTTGTATCCTGAGACTTTGCTGAAGTTGCTTATCAGCTTAAGGAGATTTTGGGCTGAGACAATGGGGTTTTCTAGATATACAATCATGTCGTCTGCAAACAGGGACAATTTGACTTCCTCTTTTCGTAATTGAATACCCTTTATTTCCTTCTCCTGCCTAATTGCCCTGGCCAGAACTTCCAACACTCTGTTGAATAGGAGTGGTGAGAGAGGGCATCCCTGTCTTGTGCCAGTTTTCAAAGGGAATGCTTCCAGTTTTTGCCCATTCAGTATGATATTGGCTGTGGGTTTGTCATAGATAGCTCTTATTATTTTGAAATACGTCCCATCAATACCTAATTTATTGAGAGTTTTTAGCATGAAGGGTTGTTGAATTTTGTCAGAGGCTTTTTCTGCATCTATTGAGATAATCATGTGGTTTTTGTCTTTGGCTCTGTTTATATGCTGGATTACATTTATTGATTTGCGTATATTGAACCAGCCTTGCATCCCAGGGATGAAGCCCACTTGATCATGGTGGATAAGCTTTTTGATGTGCTGCTGGATTCGGTTTGCCAGTATTTTATTGAGGATTTTTGCATCAATGTTCATCAAGGATACTGGTCTAAAATTCTCTTTTTTGGTTGTGTCTCTGCCCAGCTTTGGTATCAGAATGATGCTGGCCTCATAAAATGAGTTAGGGAGGATTCCCTCTTTTTCTATTGATTGGAATAGTTTCAGAAGGAATGGTACCAGTTCCTCCTTGTACCTCTGGTAGAATTCGGCTGTGAATCCATCTGGTCCTGGACTCTTTTTGGTTGGTAAACTATTGATTATTGCCACAATTTCAGCTCCTGTTATTGGTCTATTCAGAGATTCAACTTCTTCCTGGTTTAGTCGTGGGAGAGTGTATGTGTCTAGGAATGTATCCATTTCTTCTAGATTTTCTAGTTTATTTGCGTAGAGGTGTTTGTAGTATTCTCTGATGGTAGTTTGTATTTCTGTGGCATCGGTGGTGATAGCCCCTTTATCATTTTTTATTGTGTCTATTTGATTCTTTTTTTTTCTTTATTAGTCTTGCTAGCAGTCTATCAAGTGTGTTGATCCTTTCAAAAAACCAGCTCCTGGATTCATTGATTTTTTGAAGGGTTTTTTGTGTCTCTATTTCCTTCAGTTCTGCTCTGATTTTAGTTATTTCTTGCCTTCTGCTAGCTTTTGAATGTGTTTGCTCTTGCTTTTCTAGTTCTTTTAATTGTGATGTTAGGGTGTCAATTTTGGATCTTTCCTGCTTTCTCTTGTGGGCATTTAGTGCTATAAATTTCCCTCTACACACTGCTTTGAATGCATCCCAGAGATTCTGGTATGTTGTGTCTTTGTTCTCATTGGTTTCAAAGAACATCTTTATTTCTGCCTTCATTTCGTTATGTACCCAGTAGTCATTCAGGAGCAGGTTGTTCAGTTTCCATGTAGTTGAGCGGCTTTGAGTGAGATTCTTAATCCTGAGTTCTAGTTTGATTGCACTGTGGTCTGAGAGATAGTTTGTTATAATTTCTGTTCTTTTACATTTGCTGA
Source organism: Homo sapiens (assembly GCF_000001405.40). NCBI lineage: Eukaryota > Metazoa > Chordata > Mammalia > Primates > Hominidae > Homo > Homo sapiens. Next base: position 39,423,188 of record NC_000015.10, on the reverse strand, counting down.
GGAGAGCTTTACTTCCAACTATGTGGTCAATTTTGGAATAGGTGTGGTGTGGTGCTGAAAAAAATGTATATTCTGTTGATTTGGGGTGGAGAGTTCTGTAGATGTCTATTAGGTCCACTTGGTGCAGAGCTGAGTTCAATTCCTGGGTATCCTTGTTGACTTTCTGTCTGGTTGATCTGTCTAATGTTGACAGTGGGGTGTTAAAGTCTCCCATTATTAATGTGTGGGAGTCTAAGTCTCTTTGTAGGTCACTCAGGACTTGCTTTATGAATCTTGGTGCTCCTGTATTGGGTGCATATATATTTAGGATAGTTAGCTCTTCTTGTTGAATTGATCCCTTTACCATTATGCAATGGCCTTCTTTGTCTCTTTTGATCTTTGTTGGTTTAAAGTCTGTTTTATCAGAGACTAGGATTGCAACCCCTGCCTTTTTTGTTTTCCATTTGCTTGGTAGATCTTCCTCCATCCTTTTATTTTGAGCCTATGTGTGTCTCTGCACATGAGATGGGTTTCCTGAATACAGCACACTGATGGGTCTTGACTCTTTATCCAATTTGCCAGTCTGTGTCTTTTAATTGGAGCATTTAGTCCATTTACATTTAAAGTTAATATTGTTATGTGTGAATTTGATCCTGTCATTATGATGTTAGCTGGTGATTTTGCTCGTTAGTTGATGCAGTTTCTTCCTAGTCTCGATGGTCTTTACATTTTGGCATGATTTTGCAGCGGCTGGTACTGGTTGTTCCTTTCCATGTTTAGTGCTTCCTTCAGGAGCTCTTTTAGGGCAGGCCTGGTGGTGACAAAATCTCTCAGCATTTGCTTGTCTGTAAAGTATTTTATTTCTCCTTCACTTATGCAGCTTAGTTTGGCTGGATATGAAATTCTGGGTTGAAAATTCTTTTCTTTAAGAATGTTGAATATTGGCCCCCACTCTCTTCTGGCTTGTAGGGTTTCTGCCGAGAGATCCGCTGTTAGTCTGATGGGCTTCCCTTTGAGGGTAACCCGACCTTTCTCTCTGGCTGCCCTTAACATTTTTTCCTTCATTTCAACTTTGGTGAATCTGACAATTATGTGTCTTGGAGTTGCTCTTCTCGAGGAGTATCTTTGTGGCGTTCTCTGTATTTCCTGAATCTGAACGTTGGCCTGCCTTGCTAGATTGGGGAAGTTCTACTGGATAATATCCTGCAGAGTGTTTTCCAACTTGGTTCCATTCTCCGCATCACTTTCAGGTACACCAATCAGACGTAGATTTGGTCTTTTCACATAGTCCCATATTTCTTGGAGGCTTTGCTCATTTCTTTTTATTCTTTTTTCTCTAAACTTCCCTTCTCACTTCATTTCATTCATTTCATCTTCCATTGCTGATACCCTTTCTTCCAGTTGATCGCATTGGCTCCTGAGGCTTCTGCATTCTTCCCGTAGTTCTCGAGCCTTGGTTTTCAGCTCCATCAGCTCCTTTAAGCACTTCTCTGTATTGGTTATTCTAGTTATACATTCTTCTAAATTTTTTTCAAAGTTTTCAACTTCTTTGCCTTTGGTTTGAATGTCCTCCCATAGCTCAGAGTAATTTGATTGTGTGAAGCCTTCTTCTCTCAGCTCATCAAAGTCATTCTCCATCCAGCTTTGTTCTGTTGCTGGTGAGGAACTGCGTTCCTTTGGAGGAGGAGAGGCACTCTGCGTTTTAGAGTTTCCAGTTTTTCTGCTCTGTTTTTTCCCCATCTTTGTGGTTTTATCTACTTTTGGTCTTTGATGATGGTGATGTACAGATGGGTTTTTGGTGTGGATGTCCTTTCTGTTTGTTAGTTTTCCTTCTAACAGACGGGACCCTCAGCTGCAGGTCTGTTGGAATACCCTGCCGTGTGAGGTGTCAGTGTGCCCCTGCTGGGGGGTGCCTCCCAGTTAGGCTGCTCGGGGGTCAGGGGTCAGGGACCCACTTGAGGAGGCAGTCTGCTGGTTCTCACATCTCCAGCTGCGTGCTAGGAGAACCACTGCTCTCTTCAAAGCTGTCAGACAGTGACATTTAAGTCTGCAGAGGTTACTCCTGTCTTTTTGTTTGTCTGTGCCCTGCCCCCAGAGGTGGAGCCTACAGAGGCAGGCAGGCCTCCTTGAGCTGTGGTGGGCTCCACCCAGTTGGAGCTTCCCGGCTGCTTTGTTTACCTAAGCAAGCCTGGGCAATGGCGGGCGCCCCTCCCCCAGCCTCGCTGTCGCCTTGCAGTTTGATCTCAGACTGCTGTGCTAGCAATCAGCGAGACTCCGTGGGCGTAGGACCCTCCGAGCCAGGTGCGGGATATAGTCTGGTGGTGCGCCGTTTTTTAAGTCGGTCTGAAAAGCGCAATATTCGGGTGGGAGTGACCCGATTTTCCAGGTGCGTCCGTCACCCCTTTCTTTGACTCGGAAAGGGAACTCCCTGACCCCTTGCGCTTCCCAGGTGAGGCAATGCCTCGCCCTGCTTCGGCTCGCACACAGTGCACACACCCACTGGCCTGCATCCACTGTCTGGCACTCCCTAGTGAGATGAACCCGGTACCTCAGATGGAAATGCAGAAATCACCCGTCTTCTGCGTCGCTCACGCTGGGAGCTGTAGACCGGAGCTGTTCCTATTCGGCCATCTTGGGTCTGGATTCGGCATTACATGTCTTAACGGGTAATTTTTTCTTCCCTTCTCCTGCTGTGTGTTGCCATAGTGCACTGAGCTGGCTTTTTGTCCAGGAAGCCCCTGAGTTTGGTATTAGAAAGTGATTTCCAAAGAAGAATTATTTGACTCTAGTCATGGAGAGAGATGAAAATAAGGACAGAGGGGCCCAGGGACTCTGTGATGTGGTCCTTAAAGCAGCCATTCCCACCACGTCTCCTGTCAGGGTCCATCAGCAGCTGTGGCAGGCCCATCAGTGGCAGGAATGGAAACAGCAGGACTGGGATTAGGACACCCAGGCCCTGGCAGGGGCCCTGCCACTGATGTTGGGCAGGTCCCATCATATCTTTGGGGTTCAATGTATTCATCTCTAAAAGGAAGGCTTGGGGTTGATGATCATGATGGTGTTTTTTAGCTGAGCTATTGAGTATGCCATCTCCCCACTCAATTCTCCACCTCCCCTCATATGAGTGTCTCCCTACACCTTTTGGCATGATGATTTCCTGTGAATAGCTGTGGTGACTTTTAGAATCGTCTAGCAAATGACTTTATTCTTTTCTGCTTGTATCTCATGGAGAAGGGCTAAGTTTATGAATGTAGGCCTAGTGTTGGGAGAGGATCTGTGGAGGAGGAACGGGGACTTGTACAGCATGATTTGCCCTTGCTGTCACCTAGCAAAAGAATTTTTGGAATTCTCAGGGCTGTCCCCTTTCAGCTGTAGAATTTGTATATGCAGCATCTGATTGGGCCTGTCGTGCCTGCATGAATCAGACTAACCTACCACAGCAAGGTAGGAACAGCAAGGCAGAGACTTTGAATCCACATGCCTGTTTTCTTTTGTTAAGCTTGGAGAAAAAAGTCTAATGGGATTTAAAATGACACAACCCATTTCTTACCTTATAGAAAAATCAACTCAAGATGGATTAAGGACTTAAACCTAAGACTTGAAACTATAAAAATTCTAGAAGATAACATTGGAAAAACCCTTCTAGACATTGACTTAGATAAGTATTTCATGACCAAGAACCCAAAAGCAAATGCAATAAAAACAAAGATAAATAACTAGGACCTAACTGAACTAAGAGCTTTTGTGCAGCAAAAAGAACAGTCAGCAGAGTAAACAGACAACCTACAGAGTGGGAGAAAATCTTCACAATCTATACATCTGACAAAGGACTAATATTCAGAATCCACAACAAACACAAATCAGTGAAAAAATCCTATCAAAAAGTGGGCTAAGGACATAAATAGACAATTCTCAAAAGAAGATATACAAACGTCCAATAAACATGCAAAAAATGCTCAACATCACTAATGATCAGGGAAATGCAAATCAAAACCACAATGTGATATCACTTTGCTCCTGCAAGAATGGCCATAATCAAAAAATTGAAAAACAGTAGATGTTGGCGTGGGTGTGGTGATAAGGGAACACTTCTACACTGCTGGTGGGAATGTAAACTAGTACAGCCACTGTGGAAAATGGTGTGGAGATTCCTTAAAGAATGAAAAGTAGAACTACCATTTGATCCAGCAATCCCGTTACTGGGTATCTACCCAGAGGAAAAGAAGTCATTATTCAAAAAAGATAACTTGCACACACATGTTTATAGCAGCGCAGTTCACGATTGCAAAATCGTGGAACCATCCAAATACCCATCAATCAATGAGTAAAGAAACTGTGGTGTGTATATATATATATATATATGATGGTATACTACATAGCCATAAAAAGGAATGAATCAACAGCATTTGCAGTGACCTGGATGAGACTGGAGACTATTATTCTAAGTGAAGTAACTCAGGAATGGAAAACCAAACATCGTATGTTCTCACTGATATATGGGAGCTAAGCTATGAGGACGCAAGGGCATAGGAATGATACAATGGACTTTGGGGATTTGGGGAAAGGGATAGGAGGGGGCAAGGGATAAAAGACTTCAACTAGGGTGCTGTGTATACTGCTCAGGTGATGGGTCCACCAAAATATTGCAAATCACCACTAAAGAACTTATGTAACCAAATATCACCTGTACCCCAATAACTTATGGAAAAATAAAAAGTATAAATAAAATAAAAAATAAAATAAATGCACACCCCAACCCCATGCCAAAAAGAAAGAAAGAATAAAAGATACAATCCTATAGACTTAGATTCTCTAGAATTCCGTGTGTGATCATGGTTCATAGCCTTCTGATATGTCCGTTTTAGTCCACCTGTGGTTGAGATTTCTCTAGGCGCGGACCCATCCACCGCATGTACCCCTCCTTCATGTCTGCTCTGCTTGCCTTCATCGGTCAGATGGAAACACAGGTGAGAGTGAAGACCCAGGGACAGGCAGCTTTGCTTCTCCCTGGTCCTCCCTCAATTCACCTGGGAGAGAAGTAAAGAAAATTTCTTCCCTCCAACACTTTTGTTATGAATAGTTTATACAAAACCTGCAAGGCAATTGGCTGCTATCTAGTTCTTTAATCTGCCTATTTAGACTACTAAGGACCATTGCCAAGAAGCGCCCATGATCTGAAATGTTTGAAATGTTTCAATGCCAATGCACAATAGCTCCTCAGAGAACATGTGGTCACGTGCGGATGGTTGGATCAGGTCCCCATGTGCAGAAAGGCTGAGTGCACATCCCACTGCTCCAACAGCATTCTGGCTCTCCACAAGATGGAAAATACATTGTTGCTGAATTGCCAAAGATAGGATGAGTGTGCAGTAGGGGTTCTGTCCAAAGTGGGGGTCATTCCGGGAAAACTCTGCTTTCCGAATTAAGTATTACAAAGCTTGGCATTTGATTCAACACTTCTCTTTGTTCTATTGTAACACCTGGCAGAGATATAGTGAATGATCATCTTTTTTGGAGTTTATTAATTCCATAAGCCTCTGTTTATAAATGGTTGCTTTAAATAAAGAGCAAATAGATAAAAGTGAGAGCTGACAGATGGAGCATCAATCCTTTGATGTCATCCTTGGATCAAACAGGCAAGTCCTCGTGAGTAACTTTCCAAATTAGCCCAGCCAGGCTTGGTGGAGCAGGGCATTTGGGCCTTTAGGAAGGATAGCTAGGCCTGTTTTGCAGGCCCACACCAAAGCCCAGTTCATACCCACTCTCTGGGGACCTGTTGAAAATACAGATTTAGCAACCTCTTGGACATAGTGTTGGAGGCTGTTTTAGACTCTTCTGGAAGTCAAGGTAGGTTTCTTGGTGGCTTATGAAATACTAACCTTTCACAGAGTTGAGAAGTTATACAAATTCATCAGATACACACACACACATACACACACATACAATCTAGAAGTTATATCTAGGTTGGCAGAGAAAACTTGCTGTGTCATCTTTGAGGTGTGGTCTGCCTAAACATCTGGAGGTTTTTATCTCTTGCAAAGAATTCTCTTCAGGTCTTTGGAAAAGCCATCTGCTCATTTGTCTTGAGCCTTGTCTTCCCATCTAGATGATAGCCTTCTTGAGGAACAGTGATCTTAGTCTACATTCTCCAATGAAGCAAGCATAGTGCTTTGCAAAGGTGCTAGGTGATATAACTGAGGCACAATAAACCTGCTGTTTCTTAGTATCCCCGATCAGTCCATGCAGATGCACCAAACAGATAACTCGGACATGTCTTTGACACTGTGTCAGCTGGATTCCCTGGGAAGAAAATGCTGAGATGGAGCTAGAGGTTTATGGAGTGGAGGGATAATGCCTATGAAAGGGGAAGAACACAGGATTGAGCAGGGGATGTCTTCAGAGACCCATGCGAATATCATACCTGTGGAAGGAAAAGGGGGAGGAAGTAGGACTAAGAATCGGGAGTCTCAAACTATAATGCAGATCTGACAAAGTCTAGGGAAACCCAAAAGGGGGCTCCAGAGAAAACGATTACAGGAGTCCTGCCTTAGGTAGAAAGGAATGGGCGCTAATATCCCTGCTGTGTGCGGTCATTGGCTAACAGCTGCCTGGGGAAAGTGTAGCTTGAGCACAAAAGCTGAAGCAAATCCTGAAGGTGCTAATGGCTGGAGCTTATCAGCTAACTGCACTTCCTGCAGCCAAATAGCAAGCTCTTTCTTGAAGGGACATCTGGTAGCATGCCTCCATGGACACACAGGCATCCTCCTGTATTTCCCCATCTTGCTCCATCATACCCATTCATATGAAATCCATGATTTGAAGTCATTTTAGCTCCCAAACATTTTTCAGGTTGGCTTATTTCTTCATATCTTAGACGCTAGACCAAGTTACTGTCCTTTCTGTCCTGGACCCATGACCAACGTGATAAGCATGTGACCAGTGCAGTCATACAGGGACCCTTACTCCAAAGGACCCTCAACTTGGGATTTTATGCTCTGCATGAGCTGTCTTGCACTGCTTAATGCCAATTTTATCTCTGAACTTACATTTTGTAAGAGGAGAGTGATGGGACCATGTGCCTTGGCTCATACACTGTTCCATCTCCTGCTGCCTCTCTGCTTCCCTTGAGGGTTCTTGGCTACCCACTCCCTGGTTCCTGGTGCCCCAGGCTACATCTGGTCTCCTCTTGCCCACCTCGATGGCTGCTGCCGCCTCCTGCCTCTAACAGGTACCTGGCCACAGGTGTGAGGAGGGTTGGGGTTGGGTGTGGGTTCTTGGGACTGAAAATGGTGATGACCATCCCTGCCAGGGACTGGCAATGCCATGGCACATTTAGCACATGACTCAGCAGGGGTGTGCTTCTTGCACATCCCAGATTTACTTCCTAATGTGGAGGTTACAATTCTTTGTGAGTTCCCCTCTCCTGTGGGTTGGGGTGGCAGGCCCATGGGAAGGGCAGACACCTGGCTCAACTTCCCCACTTCCAGCTGGGGCAGGGAATTTCAAGCTGGTGGCTGACCCTGGAGCAGTTGGGCTTTGTCACAGGGTGGTACTCCCTCCTGAGTGCCAGTGAGAATCTGCACTCACCCCAGGAGTATCCCTGTGCCCAAGAGAGCGTAATACTCAGTAGCAATTTAAAAACCACAGGACCCATTAGCACAGGAGAAAGGAATAAACTTAATGTTTTCCTACCTTTAAACGCACTTTTATCCTTCTTTGTGAGCAAGGGTCCTTTCATTTTGCTTTGCACTGGTCTTTACATGTTATGCAGCTGGTCCTGCCTCTGGTAACTTCTAGCTGCCTCTTGACATCCGCCCTTCCCTCCCTCCAATCTGCTGTCCACATTGCAATGTTCCAAACCTAAATCTGATCAGGATACAGCCTCGCCCCAGGTGAGGTTGCTGCATAGCTCCCCATCACTCTTAGGGTGGAGTTGCCTAAGTCCTGTAGCACAGGCTGACCATGCTCCAGCCTCACGACATGTGTGGCAGTTCCCCCACATGCAGAGAGCTCCTGCCCTGGCATGCTCTCTCCCAGGAGGCACACTGGGGTCTCCAGGAGCACCCCTGAGCCTGGGGCTTGGGGATGAGTGGCCCACCTTTCTTGTCCCTCAGTGAGACAACTCTGAAGTATGTTTTACATGGGATCTCAGAAGTCCTAGCGGGACTGAGGCCCAGTTGCTCAGGTGGAAATCCACTGTTGCTGTCCTCCTGTCTTTTCTCACTTTCCTCCTCCCTCACTGAGCTCTCTGAAATCATCTGCTAATTAAACTATACTTGAACCCAGTCCTTGTCTCAGAGTCTGTGTCTAGGGAACCCAACTCAATCTGGCCCCACCTGCCCTCATCCTGCACTCCCTCTCGAGGTCCCTCTGTGTTTGTTGACTGTGCCACACTCCTGCCTGCCGTGGCCTCTGCAGGTGCTGCTCATTCTTTCTGAGATGTTTCCCATCTTCTGTGCCTCTGAATTCTGCATTAATCATTAATTCCTAACCACTCCAAGCCTTTCCTAACTTCAAAGTTATAGCTAGGTTCTTCGATTACATATTTTCAGAGCCTCTGTTTCTTGTGCATCAAGAAACAGTTTGTACATTTAGGGTCATTATGAGAATTTGATTAACATCTACCTTGTCCAGTAGCTGTCAGCTTCCTGAGAGGAAAGACCACATGCCTTATTGCTTTCCACTTTCTCTCCAAAGCCATCACAAAGCCTGAGTCTTTACTGGTGCCCAATAAATAATTACTAGAAGCTTGATGAATTCAAAGACATTTAAAAACTGTCACAGAAGCCGCTCGCAGCATACAAAACCTCTGAGTCATTTAAGCTGTGTGACATGGGGCAAGTTCCTTAAATTTTCCAAGCCTCAATTTCCTAATGTGAACACGGAATAATAATCATACCTGTGTTTTAGGGCTCTCTTAAGAATTAAATGAGATAATGCATGTAACGGGCTTAGCAAGGTGAGTGCTAATTAAAATGCTGTTTGTTTCTCTATGTATGCAATTTGTGAAAATATTAGGAATTATATGGAAGGATGACTATAAAGCAGAAAACAACACCTATGATAAAAGATAAAAATGAAGGAATCAGTGTGTCTGGCAAAAAAGATGAGGGAGTATGAATTGCTATACAAAAATATATAGACTTATTCCCCAGAATTGGGGCTCTTCTCCATCTTCACTGAATACGGGCTACAAGAAAATTTTGACAAACTGCAGCACATTAGATAAAAATTAGCTGTAAAGTTGAATTTCCACTAGGGCCCCAAGTTTACTGTTGTCTCCCAGTCAATTCTCTCTATTCTTAAATATTGTCATTATAATTTGGTTATGTTTAGCCTGCACTTTGTGTTGCAACAGGTTTGTGATGTGTCACTAGAAGCTGAAGTCAGTGTTTCAGGGCAGTATATTAGTTTCTACTCAGGCACAACTAGCAACACATCCTGTCTTTGCGTGTTTTCTGTTTCATGTGCTCTCCAGATGAGCAATTAACATTTAAATGCTCATTTTGGTGTTCTTTTTAAAAATGAGGAACTGTCAGACATTGAAACATACTTGTGACATGATTCTTAGAAGTAATTGAAAATTGAGATGGGTGAACTGTTGCCTAGGACTTGAATTTCTACAGGCCAAGCCTTATTTGTGTATTTACTTAATATGTAATATATGTATTTTTGTATTTACATATTTACTTAATATTTCTATTATACTCTATGTGTATTCATTTAAATATTTAGACATATAAGCATTGTTCATTAAGCACCTTCTAGGAAGAAGTGATACATGATTCAGAGAAGAGCTAAAGATGTTTCCAGTTCCAGGGAACTTTGATAGGAGAGTTGTGAGTTTACATCACAGATAAATCCTCATTTGATCAACAAGTATTCGTTAGCACTTGCTATATTCCACTCTTCGAAGGTACTGGCCATATAACCTTGAACAAACAAGAGTTTTACTTTCTTAGAGCCTGTAGTACGTAATTCCAGATAATGGTGATAAATGTCATAAGAGAGGACTAGCAAAGCACTCAGTAAATTTAGAAAGCAAGGAGCACATCCATCCAGGAAGCTTTCAAGGAGAAGATGGGCCTTAAAGTAAAGGCAGGGGTCTGCCAGCTAAAGAAAGGGTCTAAGGCTTCCAGGTAGAAGAGGGGCAAGGATGATGTCCAAGGGTTTGAACTCATAAACAATGTCTAGGTATAGGGGATTGCAAATCATCTATTAAAGAGTCAATCGAAAAAACAAAACAAAACAAAACTACACAACCACAAAGGAGTGGAGCGAAGCCTGCAGAACAGGATTCCTTAGCCTCAGCAGTACTGAGACTGGTCAATTCTTTGTGGCAGGGGGCTGTCTCATGCATTGTAGGATATTTAGCAGCATCTCTGCTCTTTATTTATTAGATACTGCCAATACCACTAGCATACCTGGAGTCATGACAAAAATGTACCCTGGATGCAGGCACAATGCACCTCCCCTTCCTCTTAGGGACCACCACAATAGAGTGGGCCCAGACTGTGAGGATCCTTAACTATCACAGTGAGGAGTACTGATTATAACTGGATGTAAAGGGTCCACCAATATCAGCTGAAGGATTATACTGTTAGCTTTGTGCATCAGATTGGAGTTTGAAGATATTGAAAGGGCGAGGGGAGATATTTGATGGAGAACTATTAATAAGAGATTAACCAGGTAGTGAGAGAAAGGACAAAAAGAAATAAGATGGTAGAAATTATATTATTAATCTGCCTTTGCCACTTGTTTCCAGGTCTTTTGCATCTCTTGTTAGGTTGTTTTATTCTTCTGATTGTTGAAGTGCTCAAAGCCTAAACTTGCTCTTTGAGGGGCGTTATAAAACTTCAGATCATTTATTTGTCATAGATGAAATAGGTTCCTCAAAAGATAGTTCTCTCTGGGGGAAGTGAAGGATGTGAGAAAACTTGTAATAATCTGGGTTGACTTTGGATTGTGGAAAGTTGAAATGCAAGAGACTTAGCTCCTTTCAGTGCTCCCTCGAGATAGTTTCATGCTGGCAAGAACTGAAATGATATACTCAAAGATTAGAGAAATAGCTAAGCCTTCAGCAAGTTTATAGAGGAAAGAACACATTCATCCAGGAAATTTTCAAGGAAAAGATTTGATATTTATGCAATTTTATAGACAACTTGGGAAGGGCAACTTAATGAAGCCCACATTTATCAGTAGTATGTGGGGTGTGTGTGTGAGAGAGAGAATGAGAGAAAGTGTGAGTTTGTGTGTGTGATTCCTTCCTCCTACCTTACCATCAGTGCTTGAGCTTACTCTGCATGCCTCTTGAGGATTCTCACTCTTAGTGTGGTCATAGACAGGAAATGGAAACCTGGTGGTTTCCAAGCCCATCGCTTTTGCTGATACACTGTGGGATGTTGGGCAAACCATTTCACCTCCCTGTGCCTCTGCTTTAGGTCATTGAGAATGAGGAAGCAAGATTCCATCAAACATTTAACTTTCAAAATCAGCTGTGGTCCAAGAGGTTGAGTGTCCTGGCTAATTGGCTTCCTCTTAGTTAATCTCCCATTTCTATGTTATGATCAAACTTTGATTGTGGTAGAGTCAATGGCTGCTCTGTGTCTGTGGTTTTAACGCAAGTCTGATCTTGAGTCTGGGTATGTGCATAGGTCTAAATCTTAGCCTGTAATAAGCCCTCTCCAAATCCTTCCTGAGGCTCTGGGCTAAATATGTCCTGGAAGTGAGAAGCAAGGTACAAGATGCCAGGGCAAAAAGAAAACACCACCTGAATAATCTAGTAGGTAGAGCCAGCTTTTAAAGATAAGTTTGCCTCCCTGCTCAGACAATTGATCTCTGCACTCAAAAGCAAATAAGTCTGTCTTACCCATTGTTTTCTTTTTTTGTTTTAACTCGAAATATGTCAGTGAAGTACTTCCTAGGTCTGGGAAACTGGGCAGTTGCAGAAAACAAAGTTCCCCTTGCCAGGGAGGTTACATTCAAGTGTAACCTGGGAGGAGACAGAAAATAGAGAAATACGTTTTTTCAAGGGGTTAAAAATGATAAAAAATAAGATAGAGGAGTCAGGATGATAGTGAGATTTTAATCTTTTAGGTAGGGTGGCCAAGGGGAGCATTTCTGAAAAGGTGGTATTTAAGCAGCCATCTGAATGCAGTGCGGAAAGGAATGCCACAGCCGTTTTTTGGGGGAGCACCCCAGGCACAGGGGAGCAGCAAGTTAAAGGTCGTGAGGAGAAGTGAGCCTGGAGTGTCAGAGCACAGAAAGCCTTTGCTTGAGGTTTAAACTGTCCAGGAATAGGCTGAGGAAGACCCGGTGGTGCTGGGATACAAGAAGAGGCGTTCAATTATTCTGTTGTATCTTTCCGGTTTTATCACTTCCAACTCAGAAGTGTGCGACAATACTATTTGCCCTATAGTTTACTAGAAAAAGCTAGATTGTACTTCTGGATAAATCAACCATCTTGAAAGGAGAAATCTGCAGGGAAGAACTTGAATGAGGTAGCTTTGCACCTACTGGAATGGGAGCCAATACAAATGGATTGTGCGATTGGGGTCGGAGCACTGGGGCCTAAAAGATACTTGAGAATCGTAGTTACTATCTATGATAGCTCCAGGGCACTGTGAGGCTTTGGAGTGTCCTCTTAACCTAGGGACTCCAGAGAAGGTTAGCAATAATTAACACATGGCTCCAAATCCATGATATTTCATTTCCTTCCAGATGGGGTACTGTGTTTTCATTTATTGCCATTCCTCATTGCAGAGAGCACAGCAATAGGAAAATCATGTGCACGTAGTCAATATTTATTGAACATGTTGTAACTGAGTCATAGACCTAGGAATCTGGTGATACTGGGAAAATCTTGGAGGAGCTTCAGGTCCTGGCCCCTGCTGATGAAAGTATAAGTTTCTTCAAGACCAATATGGAAAACATCTTCTAAGCTCATATCAGGATGGACTTAGCAGTCATAAACCAATCACTTGCCATAAACCAGTCAGAGATATTATTCTGAAGAAAATTTGTTGCTAGAGTTGTTGTAGTCACAGGATTCTAGTGTCATATTAACAATGACTTTTTGATGACCATATCCATAAGACATCCATATACTTGCCAAAATTGAGAAACACATTAGAGAACATAGCTTGTGCCATTTGCGTAGGCTGTGAGATCTCACTAAAGTATTCTAGATAACATTCATTGGAGTTGAGTATCTCTATTTCACATTTACCTATCTTTTTTGGAAAAATCTCAAGGAGATTCCACAAAGTCACTTGCAGATGTTTAAGGAAATACTGGCTCTTCTTTATTTCCCTTAATTCCTCTTGCTATCATCATTGTTGTTATGATTCCTGCTACTATTATTTAGAGTTTTTATTGCTTGTAGTGACCTTTTCTGTATTTTCCTTCCAGATATGTTACTGAATATCCTACGCCATGGGATAGGTTAGTAGATTTCTAGTTTTGTTTCGAAGGAGAATTAATGATTCAAGTTTTATTTATAGGGATAATAGTCCATAGATACTTGATGATACTGTTATCCCACTGTCTTGCAAAAGTAACGATGCATTTATTTGCTATTGTTTGAAATATCTTACTTGCTTTGTGATTTGGGGCATATTTCTTAGCATCTTTAAACCTCATTTTCATCATATGTAAAATGAGGGAAAATTAATAGTAACCATGTTAAAGGTTGTTCTTAAAATTACCTGAGATTTTATGTATATTTATCATTTTATCTATCTGTCTATCTACTTATCCATCCATCCACCCACCCACCCATCCATCCATCCACCCACCCATCCATCCAACCACCCATCCATCCACCCACCCATCCATCCACCCACCCATCCATCCAACCACCCAGCTACCCACCCACCCACCCACCCATCCACCCATCCACCCACCCACCCACTCATCCACCCATCCACCTACCCATCCACCCATCCACCTACCCATCCACCTACCCACCTACCCATCCACCCATCCACCTACCCATCCATCCATCCATCCATCCATCCATCCATCCATCCATCCATCCATCCATCTTACCAAGCCCTGTGTCTGGCAGAAGTTGGGTTCAGTAAGAAAGAACTGGAATCATTAGCTATGATAATAAACAGAGCTGGGAAAAAATAGAAGGTAACTTTAAGATACAGCATGACTACATTAATAAGCTCACTACTTCGTATAAATTCAAAGAGCTCCTAGGTAGACTAAGTTCTTCAGAAATAGGACTCATTTCCATTTGTTTGGACCAGTGTAGATTCAGTGATTTAAACATTTTTTTCCTTCTAAACAGTCCTCACATCTGATATCCCAGTTACATATTTGTCCTTTTTTAGCATTATCATCCAAGGTATTTAATTTTTAAAAACTATACATAAGAAAAGATGATCTCTACAACCATGATTAGATGATCACTTGGATAATCTAAGGGCTGCCCAACTATGAGACTTTATAAGTCTCAACCCTTATGTAGTACCATTAGTTGGTATATTCAATCATAGCAATTATTATACCCATTTTATAGAAAAGCACACTGAGATGTAAAGAGGTAAAGTAATACCTCACAGTGCAAGTTTGAATATTTCTTAAGTGATATTCATACTGAAGTTTACCTGATAACAACATCATTTTCTTAAATACAATACTGCCCATGCCAGTGGAAATTATAAAACCCTCAAAAACTCTCAAACAGTTCAAAATAGCAATATAATCTTAAGTCACAAAATGATAGGGATTTAGAATAACATAACATATTTCATATAATACCTGGAGATAAGGATGTGGCGTTGCATAGAGGTAGACAAACCAAATAATATCAAGATTTTTCAATAATGTTGTCTTTTATTACTTTAGGAACAAATTGACAACCACAAATTACAGGCTAAGAAGAATAAGCAGTTCATTTTAGCATTGTCATTTAATAAAACTAACAATTTTGTCACATTAAAATATACGTTACTTCTGTTGTATTTGGCCATACATTGATGGGTGTATGGTTATATTTAGTATTGCAATGGTTACATTTAGTATTACTTTTATAGAAAAAAAATAGAACTTTTTTCCCCCATTGTTTAGTCCACTGGTACTAATAACTTGTCTCATCATGAATAATTTTCCCTGATGCTGCGTTCTTTTTCTTTGTTATCATCAACATGTATATGATCACACTCAGATTCTAGATCTTACTCCCAGTAAGGTTCTCTTGTCCTTGATCTTGGCTTTCTTTTCCTTGAGCAGGCCTGGGGCTTTTTGTACCCCATGCTAATGCTTCAAGCTGCCTGGTCTTCTACTGAGTTGGAGCATGCCCAATATTGTGATGCAGGCATAATTTCAAATATTCTTTCAGGTTTTTTTTAGATTATGGGTCAGCCCATGGATCTCGTGCAGAAAACTAGAGTCACCATATCAGATTGGTTTAGTCCTAGAGAACTAGATGATCAGGAACCTTAGAAGCTGAGCTTCCCTAAGGAATAATGTTGTAAGGAAAGCCCGTTACCCTTTTTGAGGGAATTGGGTTGCCCTATACTGGGATAGTGGCCTCAGGAAGGGTAAAGGGCTCAGTCAGAGGGAGCCCTGCACCCTGAGTCTGGCCATGCAGGAGCAGGAAGATAGAAACAGGCCAGGCAACTCCTTGTTCCTTTCACGTAAGCATTCTGTCACTTCTTGTTGCACTCCAACCCCTAGACCACAGGGCACTGGAAAAGTTTGTATAGGTAGTTTTGGTTTAAAACCAGTTTTAGGCGTAGTGCGGTGTTAAGGATATGAAGACCTCTCTGCCTCTCACTGAACTCTCCTGCCAGAAATCTCCCCATCTGTTTTCTATTGTCTGAAATTCCTTAAACATATGTCTTAAATTGCACAAGATTAAAGACTTAAACATGCAAATATGGTAAATGATGAGTCTTTTGTTGAATTTGGGAAGGAGACTGGAAAGAGAACTTTGGAGATATAGAAACAAATGCCTGACCTTTGCAATGTTCTTTGGGCTAGTACTACCTATTTTTATCTTGCTGAGAACCTCTGTGTAGCAACCAGGTTTTTTTTGTAGAATGTTTCTTCACTTTCTGAACCTCCAATGACAAGTCATCACCATCTATCATGATGCTCTTTTCCAACAGTGATTTCTGTTGTCATCAGTGAATATATCTGACACATTGTATTATTCATATGTTCTTTCTAAAGGTCCAGTTAGATGACTTGTATTATCTCTGATAGGTGACAATGGAACTTAAAGCACCAGCCAAGTAAATCTGGTGAGGGGGCAATTGGGGTATCATCTAGGAAGCTGAGACAAAAATGAGGGAAAAGAGGGACACTGTCTTACGTTATATGAATTAGCTGCATGTTTTGGGTTGAACTTAGCATTTTATTTATTTGAGCGTTAATACACTTAAAAATACCCATTTCAGTGCCTGTTATATTCTAGAAATTGTACTTGGTGCTAGATTTACAACAGAACAAGAAAGATGTGGTTCCTCTTTGCATAGAGCCATGGTCTAGTGGCTAGAAGTGTAGCCACAAGAGACCACGAGATCATCTAGTACAAACCACCTCATTTTACGTATTAGAAAATGGAAGCACTGAGATGGGAAGGAAATCGCCCTTTGTTACAGCTGATGAGTAGCAGAGCCAGAATTCTAACTTGGCTCTTAGGACTCACAGCCCAATTACCTGGTTAAATTAACAAAGTGAATTAATGCAGGTCTGCAGACATTACGGCTACAACCCCCTCAACAGTCTCCTGTCTGTGGCCTAAAAGTCTCTGCCCTTCCCCTAGCCTCACAGATACCAGATAGGGACATAAATATCAAGGTGAATTTTAGCTGTGATGTTAAATTAGATCATATTCCTGTGTGATGAAGAAGCAGAGTGATGGAGCATTGTTCCCTTTGGGTGAAAGTCGTCTTCTCCCTCTACCCCTCAGTGCATTTCTGGGCCTGCCTGGGCAGAGAATTTTGGCCAACTACTGGATTTTTGTTAAAAATGATAATTAAAGAGGGAGCAGGAAGGGAGTACGTTCCAATATGATCCAGAAGAGTCAGCACTTGCTCTGGATAATAAATTCTTTATGCTTCAGGTTATTACTTAACCTGTGTTTCAGGTTCCCTTCTGGAATCAATAAAGGGACATTCTCAATCTGTGGATTTAATGACTGACTTCTTGCTTATAGAGCTAATACGTTAGAACCACAGGAAGGTAGGTGGTGGTCTGGAATCATCCACAGTGTGTACGCTCCTGCTCTTTGTAGGACTCTTGCAGGCAACTTTTAACCTTCTTTCAAGATTGTCTTTAATAGAGATCCATATTTCTGGAATTTTCTAGAAAATAAGAGTTTTAAGAATGTAGTGGGAGTTTTTAGACTGGTTTTATATGACATTGGACATGCATTTTAATATGGAATGCTGGGGTTGTTCCTGTAGGCCTCCCAAAGTCACAAAAAGAAGCATCCTTCCTCAAGGCTCCCGACACATTTCATTGATGGTCTTAGCCTGTGTGTGGTGCCCACCCTATGGTGAACCCAGGGCTCCTGCAATGACTCGACTGCAGCTGCCATTCTCTTCCTTTCTCTCCCATTCAAGGAAGCATATGACCATGTTTCCCAAACTTGTTTTACCTGGAACCTTTTATTTTTTTTCAGGGATTCCCTATTAATAATTCGTGGCACTATTCTGTAGAATAAAACTTGGGAAACAGTGACATATAGACAGGAAAATGAGTGAATGCAATGATGTTGCAGGGCTAATCTCACCACAGTTCAATTTATTAAAGCAAAATGTGTAATTCCTCAAATTCTGTACTTTAATTTGTATTGATAATCCAGCGCTGGAGTTAACATAGATTTCAGGAGTGAACAGAATGCTGGTTCTATTCCCTTGGTTCTGGCTTGAGAAGGGGCTGAAGAAAATGGTGAGCCCACTCAACTGAGGGTAGTGTCTACTTCTGCCCCAGAGAATTTGTCCCAGGGAGGATGCAGCTCAGAACAGCAGGTTTTTCTTAAGTGTGTACTTTCATTGATGCCTCATTTCTGGTCAGCGTGAGGGGAAAAGCGGCAAAAAGATAGTCACTCAAGTTAGTCATGTTGGGAAACTTATCTGTTTTAGGCAGTGGTTCCTCTCAGCAAGGGGTGGAAGATATGTGGTCCAGCCTCAGGCTAAAGCCGTTTCCCAGTACTATCACTAATACTAGTCCTGTGCTATTTCCAGCTCCAGCTCGTCATTTGTCTATTGGCTTGCGAAACTACCATCTAAGAGGGCAAAAGCATTTCTACTGCCTTGGGCCATTTCCTTCTGACATTCTTTACTGATGACCTCTGAAGCAGCTATGATCACTTCTTGGCATGTCAGACCATCATCTATTGGCTCTTTGTCTCACCAGAAACAGGCCAGCCCCAGCTGGTCCAAGCAATATGAGTGTGGGTTAACTTCAGGGATACAGGGTCCTGGGCTGGTTCCCAGCTGGTCTGCATTTAACAAAGCAAAATTGGGAGTTGTGATGATCTGGAGGTGTTCTGAAGGGGTGAACTGGTGGAATTACAAATTACTTAGTTCATTCCCTGCCCTCTAGTAGAAATGAATCTAAACTAATCCAGACTGGTAAGAAGGATAGACACAGTATTAAAGGCCTATTGCAAAGAAGATGCTATAGCTACTTTCCTTCATTTTGGTGACCCCAAACTTTGATGTTTCTTGGTGATGGAAGAACCATGACTGTCCCTCTTCCATAGAATTTTCCTTAGGGTCCACTGAATTCATGTACACATGCACACGCACACACACACACTCACACAGTTTACTATTACCATTAGGGACTGTGGTGCATGTGGCTGTGTGCTGAGGGAAGAAAAAAAATGCATAATAGCCTGCCTCCAAAAAAATGTATCAGATATAAAACATATGCAAAGACACATATGATAAGAACCATGTGAGTATGGACCATGAGTTAGATTTATGAGTGTGGGGTATTGTGAAGGAGGTGCATCTGCAGCTGAGAATCACAATACAACAACAACAACAACTACTACTACTACTTTTTAACATTTATTAAACAGTTGCTAAATTCCTGGTATGGTTTTAAATACCTTGACACACTCTTCTAAGTGCTTCATATATGTGTTTAATCATCACATTCCTCGAAGGAAGACAGAGGAGGAAATTGAAGCATTTAAGTAACTTGCCCAAGGTCACACAGCTGCCTAAGGGTGGAACTAGATTTAAATCCAAAGCAGTCAGGTTGCACAGCCTTGCTCCTGTCTCCCAAGTATGCTGTCAATAATCGAGGAATTTCAATATGCACAGAGAAGAGCAAAGGCTTTCCTGCTGAGAACAGACTGGTCAGTAAAGGAGTAGGGGTAGTAACGTTTTAGATGGGAGCAGCCTGGCTTGTGGGTGCTTAGTGTAGTGATTGGCACAATGCCTGGAATGGAGTAAGTGCTTGTTTGTTGAATTATAGGAATTTGAGTTATTGACTGAATGGCTAGAGAGAGATAATGTTAGAGAAGTAGGCTGTTATCAAATTGTGTAGGGTTTTGAATTTCAGCTTAAGTGGTTTAAACTTAGTACTGTGGATGATATCTTCTCTACAATGCTGGATTTCTGAAGAGGCCAACACACTAGTCTATAAATGTGCTATTCTATACATTCTTCTTTGCATTTTCTCTTTTTCAGTGCTTTGTATACAATTGCTAGAAAAAAATGGAAACCATGCTAATCGAGCCTATTACCAAATGCTTGCTAAATTTTGCTATTTAACTATAGAAGTTATATGTTAGCTTTAACTTGACAAGTCAGTCTTTGCTTGTGATGCCCATAGCCCCTTCTAAATATATGCTAATGGACAAGTCTTTAGGTAACCCAGTTATATATGGTGTGACCCTACTCTCTCTGGCTTCTGTGGGCATCATGACATGACAATGCACTTGCTTTTTAAATATCAAGAATATGGAAGCATTAGCAGTGGATGTAGAAACTGGAAGATTATGCTGAAGAGAATAGTCAAAGAGGACACAAAGAACTACATGTATAGTGAAATTATGAGGGAGTAGAGGTAATACATAGGGAGAAATTATTTTATGTATCTTGAGCCCAGACGTTTTGATTTCAAATTCAGTTCTGGATGCTTCCTGAAATTTTCTATAAAGTTAAAAGTCCTCCCACCCCTTTTCAATATTCATTCTCCTTGACTTTTCTGCTGCATTTTACATAATTGCTTGTTCACTTTTTTTGGAAACCCTTTCTACTGAAATGCGATATTCTCCTGGGTCTTCCCCCTTCCGCTACTGCCCCTATTCTCTTCTTAAGCACCTTTCCTTCTATGCTCAAGCCTTTGATGAAACACATTTCTTTTCTGACTTTCCCTCTGCATAATGTTATCCATGGCCAGGCTTTAAACCCTCATCACTTTTCATATGTGCCCCAAAGTATGCAGACAACAGAGACATCTTTTCCAAGCTATCATGGGAGGGCTCCCATTTCTAGTTCTTTGCACAGTGCTTCCAACTGGATAACACTAAATCAAGAACGTTCCATGTAGTTCCGTGGATGCCCCCTTGGTTCAAGACTTTATTACCTTTTACCTGGCATCTTTATTCCCAAAGGATTTTATATGCTGCTGCCAGATGAATCCTTAAATCACAGCTGTGATTCTGTCACTGAAGATTTTGGGTCCTAAATCTTCAGTGACTCCTGATCTACCAGAAAAAATTTACATTCCTTAACATCATACTTCAGTGCATCTTCAATATGGTTCCACCAGACGATGCCAGAATATCTATGTGTTGATGCTTTTGCAAGTAGAATCCTTCCTATTCCTCCTGTAGCTTTTGAAATTCTATTGGTTTTCTCCAAATTTCCAGAGTGCTGCCTCTTTGATAAAGCATCAGCCATTCTAAGTGGAATTGATATATCTTTTTTCCAAATGTCATGAGGTTATTATTATTTTTTGTTGTTGTTTGTAATTCAGTTAAGGCAATATTATAAGCTTATTGAATATTTATTTTACTTTCCCTGTGATAGCACTAATTTGAATTTGGCTGTTATACAGTTGTCAAAGCTCCCTATGTATGGCCTGCTTGCTCTCAAACCCTGGCCTTTCCCTGCTCTGTTCTGTATCACAGGGGCCGACCTTAGGGCTAAGCTGCCCAGACTTTTGTGTCAACTGGTTTCGCACCGGGTGGTAACAATGGCAGGTGCTAGCATGAGAAACCAGGGTCTTCTCCCACTCCCTTCTGGCTTTTGGAAGCTGTGTCAATGGAGCTGTATCTCTTTTGAGACTCCACCTTGCAGCTGACAGTTCCAGCCTCTAATGGTGGTCCCTGCCCTTGGGTTCTGGGAGCACAGTCTCCTGTTTTCCTGCCTAGGGATGACAGTGGCACCTGCTCTTGTTTATTTCTGGGCTCCTTGTTCTTGCAACACATGTATAATCAATTCCCATATATTAAATTTCTTTTATTTTGAAATACAAATGGTTTCTGCTTTTCTAGGATAGGTGATGATGAATGCACTCCCCTTCTAATTTTCACACCAGATGCTGTCTTATTCTTACACATGTGCCATGGTGCCTGGTTCTGTGATTTGCATACTGTAGGTGCCAAAAAATATTCAATAAATTCATAAGTGGAGGAATATTGCTGTTTAAAAATAGCTGTTAATTTTTAGAGAAATTACTCAGAAAAACTTAGGAGGCACTAACTATATTAGTTGCCAAGGAGCAATACCAAAAAAACAAAAAATTGAAGACAACATCCCTGTCATCGAATATTTAAAAGGCTACTGGAAGATTTAAAAAGGACATTCAATTTTGCAATAGAAAATTTAGTGGACTGGAAAATATCTACTTAAAATATTTCTTTGTCATGTTTTCTTTTCCTGAGCATTGAGGAATGCTTGTGAAGTTACGGGGCTTGAATTGTTCTTAAAATTAGCTATCCAGTGTCTTTTTCTAATCCCAAATATCGGTATTCTCCACTTTGGCCCTAGGAGATTAGGAGGGTGTTAAAATGGTTACTGTGTTACATATTACATTGATTTTGAGTGTTTTATTTCTTGAGGTCCTTGAACCAACAAGAACTCATGTGTTCTCTGAGTCACTGTCATCGCCACTGCTCTGTAGGTTTCCCACTCCCAAGAGCTGCGATAACAGGGATGACTATACAGCAATGTGTGGGTTGCAGCTGGAGTAACAAGCCAGCACTTTCAGACCCATCCTCATGGCAAAGGAAGGTGGATTTGTGCTTTAAGTTATTAATGGAATTCCCTACTCTGCCTTTGGACTGACTCATGGCCTTGAACCTTCTCTCCCCGTTTTAATTTCCTCACTCTTAAGAAAGTACACGAGTGATGGAAAGAATTCTGTTAGAAAATGACTTGATAGAATACAGAATGAGCTCCGAGGGAGGGAGAATTTAACCACTGCCATAGATAGGTGCTGCCACACAAAGTTGTTGTGAGAAGTAATTAGTCTGGCGGATCTGGGGAAGAATGTTGATTTGTTGAATCAACAATTATTTATTGGGTACCTACTACATTACCAGTGACAAAGACTTTCCCTTGACCAAAACTTTAGTCAGGCTCCTCTGAGTCCTCTGATTGACCTTGAACTTCCCCCTGTGTCCTTATAGAATCCCATTTGAGCAACAATCCTCCTAAGTCAGGTTAGAAAAAATTCTCCACCCTTGGAATTCCTTGATATCTTATCACCCTGGCCTGCCTTCGGCCATAATCCTATCAAGTTGATTTAGCCAGAAAACCTTTATCCTTGATATTTCCTGTTAGTAATTTTCTATCCACTGCCCCCTGCCCACCTGCTCCTTGGTGATAAAACCTGTCATGTATTTGTTGGAGTCAGAGTTGAGCCAGCCTCTCTCCCCCACTGCAAGACCCCACTGTGGTGGTTTCTATACCTGTAGCCATGTCCCCTGCCCCTTGAATAAAGTTTGCATTACCATCTTTAACAAGTGTTAAATGTGTGGTAGGCCATTGATTGGACTGAGCTCCTGTACCAGGCTCCAAGAGACCAACCAAAATGGAGTCACTCAAGCTAAGGTTCCCTGTCACCGAACTGAAACCTAAGCTGTTTACTTGTAAGATCTGACCTTTGGAGAAATCAGGAGAGATTATAACCAAAACCCTAAGCAGGAAAGTTTTCTGAAAAAATAAGAGATTCACAGCAACCAATCAAAAGAAGCCCAGTCCACCTAAGCCAGCATGTAAAGCAGTCTCCACTGCTTTAACCCGTAAAGGAAAGTAACCTGTAGTAAAATAAAGGAAAGTAACCTGAGGTAACCTGATGTTAACCAATCCAGTTTTTGCATTAGGCTGTTGCCTTGTTCCCGCTCAAGCTACCTTACAAAAACTGACTGTTCTGCCATCTCCAATGGAGCTCCTGTCTATTTTGTAGACTGGATGCTGCCTGGTTCATGAATCACTAGTAAAAGCCAATTAGATCTTTAAAACTCAATTTGTTGAAATTGTGTTCTTTGACACAAGTGTCATGAGTAATTTTTTAATTTAACACCAGTACTGTGGTTGGTAGTAAGAATTCAAAAGAAGTTGCCAACAAGCTTCTGCTTTTATCATAAGAAAATATACTATTCCTGTTTTCCTATTGTTAATCTTTGAAGAAAAAAGATCAGAATGACCTTTTCTGTTTGTTCAGATTCTTGGAGTTGAAAGCAATGGGGAAAAGCACACATTTGGTCTATTGGAGTTAGTATCTCTTACTGCTTTGCATGCAGATGTGGTTATTCATGTAACAATGCATAGTGTCTAAAGTCTCCTTAAAATGTCTGCCTGCATTGACAGGGAACACAGACATTTAAAAATAAGTTAGTTTCCACTTGGGAGGAGGGTCCTGAGGGAGTGAAGTCAGAACCTCTAGCCTGGAAGGCTGGCCTGGTAACAATTTGTTCATTGCTGAGTGTGTCGGAAATCAGCTGGGACTTTAGTTTTAGTAGAACTTTTTTCTTTTTTCTCCCAAAGGAGAATGTGTCCATGACTATTCACCTTAAAGGCATACGGTTTTGATATTAGATATTTCAGAGAGTTTGCTATTCCCCACTGCAGAGAAACCTGAGCTGCCCTGATCATGAGAATAGTAGGCTTAGCTCAGCAGCCTGGGACCTCACGCCTTGCTTGGAGTCTCTGCTTTTTCCCAGGCAAATTTGGGAAGGGTATGATTCCCTATCTAGCACAAGGTACAGCTTGCATGTGCTCATGTAGAACTGTTCGATTAGAGGTTACTGGATCTTCACAGCAAACATAGCTCAAGGGAGGAGGCTGAGGGTCTCCAAGCACCTGGGCATGGCTTAGCTTTTCCTCTGCCAGATCACTCATTTATTTAAGGAACATCTCTTGAGTACCTATCATATGCCAGGCCATTGCTGCTGTTAAAAACAAATAAATGACAGGTGTTAGACTCAAAGAATTGTGGCTGTAAATATATACAGCTTTTAAATTCCAATCAGGTAATTTTATAATTTTTAACATGAGCTAGAAGATGATGGATTTTAAAACCACCTCTAAGAATACTCTTCATATGGTAAGGTCAACCTCATGGGGAGGTAACCCCATAATGGGGAGAGGATGGATGTCACTGATAAAAGATCCTATTCCCAAAAGTGACTCCCTTAGATTTCTCAAGTTCTCAGTATTTTTTCAATTTCTGTTTTGGGTAACAAAGATTTTAAATCTGCAGATACCTTTGAATGACCAATTCATGAAGCTTATTACAATGGCAGTTCAAGTTTAACTTGAAACTATTATAAGTTAAGTTTAATTTAACTATTAAAATGTCAGTTCATCAGTTTAACTTCCTCTTAATGCTCTAGAATTTTCCTTTCTGAGCCTGGAGAAGTTTTCTTTTTCTTCTTCCTGCCTTGTGGCTCTCCTTCTCCTAGGTGCCTACTTTCTGCTAGGCAAGGGAACAAAAAACTCTAGGCAGGGGTGGGAGCTCCCTGAATTTAAAGTGGAGGAGGAGAGAATTGAGATAGTACCCTGTGTGGATTTGGTCACAGTGTGGTGAGAATTGTGACCATCTGCTAGCAGTGAGTTAGCTGCTTAGTCAGGTGTTAAGACCAGGTTGGGGTGAAGGGGTTAGCAACATCAAGGGCCCAACTGTGGTTGCAGAAAATGGAATTTGTGGTTGAGTCAGTACAATCTGATCATTTCTGGTGCAAACAGATAGCTGGCTAATGCTTGTGTATGTGTGTGTCCAGGTTTCCGAGCACGCGCTTATTTGTGTGTGTGTGTGTGTGTGTGTGTGTGACAGAGATAGCTAGCTAGCTAGAGAACAGAAAAGGTGTAAGATGCCTGGCCATTACTTATCCAGCTGTGGGAGCCTCAAATAATGGAATGACTCAAATAATGGAACTTTCAAGTTAGAAAAGAGAGGAGGTTGTTGACTTGCCCGGCTGGTTAGAGGTGCTTTTGGAGCAGTTGTGACTTTATGGTGCCCTGAAAATACTGCTTGAAGCCCTCTGAGAGCTGGGGATACCTGAATGTTTTCTAGATTGAAAATGATGAGGATCATGTTGGACCATCTCAAAACCCTTGGGCCTAACCTAATGTAGGCCTTGAAGAGCTTGTCTGAGTCCAGTACGTTGGAGTCATACCAGCAGAGCTATGGTCGCCATATTGCAGGCCAATTGCATGGCACACCCCAGACTAAGGCTTGTACTTACATGATTTCATTGAATCCTGTCAATAAGCTCATGAAGTAAGTATTATTAACCTTGGTTTATGGGTGAAGAAGCTGAGGCTCAGAGTGATGAGATAACTGCTTAAGATCTAAAATCAGAGGGTTTTGATGTCTCTATTCTTCATTGACTTGTGATTTTGCTTTTGTGGCTAGATTTATGATAATGATTCCCTATTCTGTCCCATGAGAAAAGGTCACAGGGCCTCCAGGTCTCCGAGCTGAACACTCCAATATGACGCAAACCAACGGCCTGAACTTCCACATTGCTGGCTCTCCTTGCGTGTTAGCTTGCTATCGCTGGTTCTGTGACGCAATGTCCATCTTCTTACTCTGCTCATAACTTGGGTGATATCAAGGCAGGGGAGTGAAACATCTGCCCTTCAAAGACCACAAAGGAAGCTATCATGTTCTTGATGACAGCACAAGTGGCAGTGGAGAAAGTGAGGAGCTGCCCCAGCCTGTGGAATCACAATGTTAAGTATCAGAGGTTAAGAATACATTTCATTGCTTTTGGTATAGAAGTTGTTGGTTTTGTCAATTTTGGCTTCCCAGCTGACTTTTTATTCTATGTAAAGAATTTGTCTTTTGTACAGAGCTTGCATGCATTTTCAATTGCTGAATTTGCACACTTAGTTGATAACACTGAAAATGATCCATCTATGTAAAACAGCAAAAGTCAACCCATGTTCACATTCACAGCTGAAATTATACCTCTTCTCAAATTATGCCTATTGTCCCATCATTCATACACAATTATGTGCTACTCTTTATTCTGGTATGACAGATTTTATTTATCTTTGGGTTGCACCTCTTGAAAATTGTTTTTAATGTAACAATAGCTGCATTAGCAACAGTAACAATAAACTCTCTCTGGTTCCATTCTTTCACCCCTGTGTCCATCATCAATTCTTCCACCCCAATCTTGGAACTCACTCTCTACAAACACTCCTCTGGAGCCTCTCTTCTTCAGTCTTCCAGCATTGCTCCCTCCTAGGTTTTCTTATGATATTTTACATTGGGATAAATGAAATATTGATAGTTCTCCCCTTCCAATTGCACTTTAAGCTCTGTATTAATTAGGGGCCTGCCACAAATAGAATTCACTCACATGGTTGAACAGAAGAAATTTTAATGAAGGCTATACAGCATGCTTTAGTGCAGGTTTAAAGGAAGTTGAGGTAGACACTAGCAAAGTGAGCAGCTATTGGCACATGTGGGTCTGGAGGAGCAAGTGGGGAAAATGGTGTTACTGAATCACAGAGAGGTCTGGAGCCACAGAAAATGGGCTGCTGGGCAGAAGCTGTACCTGTGGAAAGAGGCTGTGATCATCATAGCCAGCCTCAGAGATGGAGGGCACTTGGGCTGCTGGAGAAGGGATGAGAATGGATCTGACCCGTGGGAACAGCAAGTGGAGAAGAACCAGGACAATATATCATTCATCTTTGAATCCCCAGTGTCTAGCATGGTGCCCAGCACTGAGTAGAAGGTTAGCAAATGCTTTTAAAACTGAACAGAACTGAAAGAGATCTCAGAGCTCAACAGGCTTAGCTCCCATATTTTATAGAGGAGAGCACTGGAATTAAGAGATATCAAGATGACTTACTGAAGGCCATGCTAGCAGCTAGTGGCTAAAGGAACATGGAGGAGTCTCTGGATTCCACATCCAGGGCTCCCTCTATGCCACCTGCTATGCCGTGGCCAGTGCTGGTCTCGATTATTTTCCTCATCTCATGCCTCTGCTCCTCATATATTCATCTCAGGCTTCTTCATTCTGTGGTCCTTCTTCTCACTCTCACACCTGGAACAGCTTTCCTTTCCTTCCTGTTCTCAATCACACACATTACTGAGCACCAGATCTGAGTGTATCAGGTAATGCACTCATTCCTAGACTCAGAACTGAGGAAGACCGTGCCAGCTGCCACATTCTGTTCCCATCTGTTCCTTTGTACCAGCCCTTCCCTGTGCTTGGAATGGATTTAATCTCTTTGACCCCCTGGTCAACTTCTGTCCACCACTCAAGGCTCGACTGTTGGTCCCCGCCTTCTGAGAAGTAGCCTTGACACCCTCCACCCTCTTCCCTGGCTTTGAACTCATTGCAAGCTATTCTGTATGCAAGTCTTGCTCCTTTACTTAAAGATGAGCTCTCAAACTCTAGCTTGATTTCTCTCACATAGTGAGTGACCGAATAGAAGCTGAATGAATGGGTCCATATAGGAGCTGCATTTGAGACCATTTCCTTCCTCTTTCTCCTTCCATTGTTACACTCTCAGAAGATCAACACATTCCATTTTTAGTGGCGTCTCTGCTGATTGTGGAGCACCTATGACAAAAGCTACTGTATTCCCCATTTGACAGGTGTAGACACTGCGCTGCAGAGTAAACCAGCTTGCCCAAGGTCTCGTGGCCCAGGGGTTTGTGCTGAAATTTGACTGTAAGACTGCCTGACTCTGAACATATTAACCATGCTGCATTGTTTCATATGCTTGATGTTTATAAGAATATATTATTTTATTACTTTAACATTGAAATAATTAAAATGATATATGAAGAGCCTTTTCTTCTCCAACTCACACTCATCTCTTCTGCTGTAAATGTAGGCAGCTGCCTTTCACTGCATTTTTTTTATGGCACCTAGATGCTTACCAAGCCCCTTGCTAAATTACTTTCAAACATTAAAGGAAATACCATGTTTTATATTTTCTTAAATTACATTTGGTACCTATATGTACACAGCAGATTTTATGATCTTGTGATATTGGCAAGAGATTGAAATCTCTGTTTTTGAAAGACAGCCAGATTGAGCTTGGTGCAATTAAGCAATCCACCCAAGGTCTCACAGTGAATAGTGGCATAATTTTGACTACAACTATGAGAAAAAATTGGAAGTAAACACAATTTGTTTCTTGATCTCCTTATCTCAGTATCAGACCTTTCCAGGTTTCAAGTAAACATTGAATGAAGCTGTGAGGTGTGGTCCCTCCTAGGACAAAATGCATTTTTTATGGGTATTTTTAAGACTGAAAAAACATTAAAACTCAAAAGTGTTAAACCACAATGGTGGAAACAGAACGACAGGTAATTCCATCAGTAATTTGGGCAGCAACCAGCTGCTAGTGTTGTGGAGTGATAACATAGGCTTTCCTAATAATAAGATCCAAGTTTCTCCAATTATCTGATTTCTTAGTAACCTCCGAGGGGATGATGATGATCCCAGTTTCCACTCTTGATTCTCTCTTCCTGCCTCTGTCTGGATGTACACAGGTGCTGAGGGGTGACCTCCAAAGTAAACTCAGGACTGCATATGGTCTAACCCAAGAGACCTAGCTTGACTTGGGCTTGGAGGAGACATGAAGCACAGTCCTGCAGGAGCAAACTGCAGTGTGGACAAAGTTTACTTCAATAGTTTGATCCTGACTGTGACTCATATTTTATGTGGAAGACAAACCCAGAGATAAGGTATTTGATAAGAACTTGCTTTGATATATTCCGAAACTGTAGTTGGTTATATAATTCCAGGAAAAGCAAAGGGACTCTTCAGGTTTTCTGATGTGTGTATCCTTAGATTGAGAGAGAGAGAGCAAGAGAGAAAAGTCAAGTCATTTTTGATCAGTACTCCTCTGGTCCTTTGAGGTATTATATTGCCATTTTGGTGGGTCTCTGACAGCTGTGTCAGACACCAAGTCAGCTGGTGCTATGCTAGGATGATGCATCTGTGAAAACTCACAGAGGGGGTTCCCAACCATACCTCTGGAGCCGTGGACACTCAGGATTGGTTGCTGTGTGGGGAGGACAAGGGAGTCTGACGTGGCTGGAGCAGGAAAGGGTTTATATGCAGGTGTGAGCTATCACTGACTTGCTGGCCTGTTTGTTCTCTGTGGCATGTGCATTTTGTCTTTCTTTCCCTTAATATTTTAAGTGATTTCTTGTGTATATTCTGTCCCTGAAACTGCCACAACACTAAGCTTATTTTTCCATATCTCACCTGTACTTCACATTACTAGGTATTAGAAAATAATAAAAATACAGGCACTGGTGTTTATTTACTCAGCTTGGTTACTGCCTTAATGCTTTTCGGGGCTTGTCCTTTATTTATTTGCATTTCCCTCCTGTCATTTTTTATGTCGTTGTTTTAGCATCTAGCAAACTATCCTGCACACTTGTAGGATATATACTAAGAAGAAAATGGTAAATATGCTCTTAATTGCTGTTTTCATATTTAAGTGCTATCCCTCCATCATTGCACTACAATGGTGTATCTGCAGACTATGGCTATGGTTATCACTAGTTACATGGACAGAGCAGAGATTTGTGGGCTAGAAGCCAATTTCCAACAATGTCCACACCTTCTCTGGGACTCCAGATTCCTGGAGTACAGACAGCAACTTTTGCTTCATTATATACAGCTTAAACCTCTCAGAGTGCTGTTTTATTTTGGTTTGGTTTTGATTTGGGAGGTTAGAGGAAGAGTCTAACTAAGATTATTATATTTTCTCAACCAACACGGTAAAATGCACTTTTTAAAAGTCAAAGACACATACTACTTTGTAAAAAGTGGGTTTCAATATTTGAAGTCATGAACTAAACTTTTAGGCATAAATGCAGGACTTTTTCATAGGCCTTGTTCAATTCTCAGATTATAATACAACATTTATTGAATGGCTCTTTTTATGCAAGGCAAGCAATTTATTTCTTATTATTTGATATCATTTCCTGAGGAGATGAGTTCTGTGCTTATAACCCAGATTGGGGGTTATCTTGCAGATGAGGTGCTGCAGATGCATGTAACCCAGATTGTAGGTTATCTCACAGACGAGATGTGAGTCATCTTGCAGATGAGATGCTGTGACACTAGGCAGGCATCTGATAGCAGACGGGAGTATCTACTCAGTGTAATGGGTCATTCTGTGCCTGGGAGTGAAAATTTGACATGTAGGGATAAGCTGTCAGTCCAGCAGGAAACCTGTTTTGAATTCTCTCTAGATTTTTAGAATTTTAAAATACGTTTTTCAGAGAAAGGTTAACCATGTTTATCCATTCTTATTTGCTCAACAAGTATTGACTGAACAATTTAATGTACAAAACAGGAATAGAGCAATGAATAAGATGGTCATTTTCTCCTGCTCTCATTGTTTACGTTCTAGTAGGAAAAACAGACATTCACAGAGATCTGAATACTTAATTATTGCATTCTAATTGCAATTGTCTTGAAGGTGAAACACTGAGTCGTATGAGAAAATATAATAGGAGACAGTGTATTCACAGAATTTCACAATTCTGAAAAAGTGACATTTAGACAGAAATAATGGTGAATGAAAAGAAATGAGCTAAGATGGTGGGGTGGGGATGGGGAGGAAGATTGTGATTCAGGCAAGGACATGACATGTGATAAGGTCCTGATGCATGCAGGTTTTAGGTTAAGGACCTAAAAGAAGGATAAAGTAGAGCTTAGTGGGTGCAAGGGAGAGTGGAATGAGATGAGGCTGATGAGGGCAGCTAGTCATGCGTTTTAACTTTTTTATTAGAACATCAGGAAACCAAAGACGTTTTTGAGCAGTGGCACAACACAATCAGATCTGTGTTTCAAGAAGAGGGGCTGGCTGCTGGTGGAAAGTGGGTTGAAAGGTGGTAAAGAATGAAGGGATAGCAGGAATGAAGCTACTTCAACAGTCTAAGCTAGAGATGAGGTGGTAGTTTCTTTGTGATTTAATGCTTTAAATGCCTACTGTATTTGGGGTGTTGGATCAGCACTAATTAGTACTAGCTAAGCTGTACATTTCCTGGCAGTTTCTCAGTGTTAAAGTGAGGGCACCCAGTCCTCCACACCAACTATGTATGTCTCAACTGGGTTTGTATTTAAGGATGGTATGTGTAATGCTATCTGTTTCCTTAGGGCTTAGAACCCTGTAAAATTGAAGGCAGCAGCTTCTATGAGCTCTGGCTTTTGTAAAAGGCAGTGAAAATTTGATTATTTAACAACCTTCTGGCTGCACCCATTCTTGCTCTTGTTATTTATTTATTTATTTTTGACAGTTAGCGTGCCATGCTTTGGAAATGCCATATCTGTTGTGCAATATCTGGGTGACTAATTGAGGCAGGGTTTCCCACACTAGGGGAAACACTCTCAGCTCATGGGGAACGTGCCAGCGTAAGGATCAAATGCATCCCAATCCTGTAGGTCAGGTGCCCTGTCTTCCTGATTGTGTGCCAGATGCTGCTGCTAATGATATGAGCTTCACAGTTCTGCTCCCAGAAGCTGCTGCTGAAGCGTCTGACTTGCGGCTCTCTAGATACGGAGGCCATCTCATAATGGGAAAGTCTTTTCACTTGGTCATTTATTACATTGCACCAGGTTTTCGCACCTTTTGGTAGTCTATAAGAAATGTTAAATAGTGGAAACTTTGGAGACAGACATATCTTGATTGTACTATGTGGAGCTCTGTAGCCTTGGGCATATTATTTAACCTCTGTGAACCTGATTTTCCTCACCTGTGAAAAGGAGATAATTATAACACTGGCCTTTTGAGATTCCCAAGGGAACTAAATGTGATGGTGTATATAAAGTGCCCTGCACACAATGTGGCTACCACACTGTAGGCATCTGATAACTATAAGTTTCCTTCCCTATATTAACCATGTAATAACTAGCTTGTCTGATGTCACACAAGGGGTCCAGAGTCTTTCTGCAGTATTGGGATAATCACCACATCTCCATATTTTGTAGCTGATTTGGTTGTTTCACTTGTCTATGCTGTTTCTCTTTTCTGAGGGCACAGATAACTAAATTTTCAGTAGAAGGATGAGGCAGGTAAGACTATAAGCTCTGAGTATACCTGACTATAACTTGTAGACAATTAGCAACATAATATATGCAGTCTGGTATTTGGTCTCGGACAAATGCATGAGATGATATGGTGTTGTTCTCAAATAGTTAAGAGAATGGATCCTTCATCTATGAATTTACTGAAACCTCATTTGAACCATTGATGATCACCTACTACATCTTTGGGTTAATAGGTCCATGAATGTCTTAACTACATTCAAAGAAGTGCTTTTCCATTGTGTTTCAACTTATCCTTTTGCTAACCTTAAATGGTGCTTCTCTGTTCTATTGTTTTTTTGAGTTGAGCAATAAATTGTTTTCACCTTAAACCCTTGTTTTCAGTTTAGGCAGCTGAGCCATAGTGAAAAAGCACTGGACCTGGGTTCAGAACATTGGTGCAGAGTCTCATTTCTGCCTCCTGCTTTTTGGATAGATGCCATTTCTTTGAGCCTCGGTTTTCTCATATGTGAAATGGTGATAATTCCACTCTGACCCCTTTCTGTTAGCTGTGAGGATCAAAGGGTATCATTGAAACTTTCATAACCTGTAAAGCACCATACAAAGGTTCTCCTCCAGTTCTACTGAATTAGAGTCTCTGGTGATGGGACCCAGACACCATTACTAAAAAAAAATTTAACAAAGTGATTCTTATGTGGAATAAAGTTTAAAATCCACTGCCCTATAAAAATACAGGATGACATCCCCATTGACAAATTACAGACATTATTTGTCTTAGATGGACTCAAATCATTTTGGTGATTTGATGAATCTGGTGTTCACTCCTGAATCTGGCTGTTCACTCGTTACCCCTTCAGTGATTACTTTCAGGCCTGCCATTGTCCTCGCCTGTATTATCTTTCCACAACCTGGTTCTCCAGCCACATCAGACTACCTGTAGTTGCCATTCACCGAAAGTCCCATTCACTTCCCTGCCTTTGTGATTCTGCTGAGTAATTTCTCGGGAGAATATTCTTACTGTAGTGCAGGGACCTGGCCTTCTTATAGCACTGATAGAGACATAGACATAGGCACATAGGAAGTGATCTTACGACCATTCAATTTATCTTCTGCTTTATAGAGGGAAACCTTGAGACCCAAAGAATGTCAGTGATTTTCCTGAGGTTACTCAGTTAACGGTAGAGTCAGTATTAGAATCCAGGTCTCCTGACTCTCAAGCCAGTGCTCTTTATACTATACATCCTTCTAAAAATACTAATTGAAGCCCGGCACGGTGGCTCACGCCTGTAATCCCAGCACTTTGGGAGGCCGAGGTAGGTGGATCACTTGAGGACAGGAGTTGGAGACCAGCTTGGCCAACATGGTGAAACCCCATCTCTACTAAAAATACGAAAATTAGCTGGGTGGGTGGTGCTCGCCTGTAATCCCAGCTACTTGGAGGCTGAGGCAGGAGAATTGCTTGAACCTGGGAGGTAGAGGTTGCAGTGAGCCGAGATCGGGCCACCACTCCAGCCCAGGTGACATAGCAAGACTCCGTCTCAAAAACATAAATAAAAAATAAAAATACTAATTGAGCACCTATTATACACTGGGCACTGTCGTGTAGTTGTGCTAATAAATAAATATGCAGGCAGTCTTATGTATCCCATGCAAAATTTAAGCAAGTGCTTGTAATTTAGCACTTGTAATTTTTAAAACGATCTTTTCTAGTATACTTAAACACATACTTAATCTTCAGATATTTTCAGGACAGTATACTTTCTCCTCTAGTGTGTCCTTCTACCACCCACAGCCCATGTGCATCTTCCTTGTACTCCACATCTTACCTGAGCTGCCTGAAGTCAGGGCTTCCCTCCAGAGATTGCGTTCACCCTCTTCCTCCAGTCTCAGAGCATGAGCAGGCTGCTTCGGGCCTATTTCCTTCATCTCAGTGCTCACGTTTGGCTGCCTCACTGTGGCTCCCTTTGGTCGCCACAGATAGTCTTTAGATGGATCCTTTAACTTCACATCTGATGTCCTGACATCTGTTCCTCAGGACCGTCATTTACCTGGGGTTTGTACTTGGTGTTTTACTTTGGGAGATATTTTTAAGTTGTGATCTGATACAAAGATTTTGTTAGAATTTACAAAGTATGTGCTTGGGCCAACATACCCAATCTAATCTTCAAAGTGTCCCTATTTACAGCTACAGAGCCATGCAGCAATCTGATTCTCAGCTAGCTCAAATTGCACCCAAAAACTCCTACTGAACATATAAAGTGTGCAGAGGGATAAGTGCAGAAAACTGCGATTCTCTTCTCTTCCTCTTTATTAAATTTGATTTAAGAGCAGAAATGCAGGGATTGGAAATGCTGATTACTAGAGAGTTCTTCCTGAAAATAAAAAGAGTGGCCCAAACTTCTCTATTTCACAACCCAGTATCTGAAGGACTACATGAAGCAAGATGAGCAAAGCTCATTGTCCTTTCAACATTTCCTCTGTTTCTCTGCATTTCTAAGGCCCCTTTATTTCCAGCCTATCAGCAACATCAGATTAGAATACAAACAATAGTGACGGATCAGTACTCTATGTCATAAGATCAAATATTAACTAAAGTCTATAGCAGCAAAGAAAAGTTAGCAAATCTATGATCTTCCTTGTTTCTAATGCCAGAGCCTATCATGTGTTGTTGAAAATAAAGTTCACTTTATGAAAATCACTAGAAATTGTAAGGAAATTATTATGTGTGAAATCTTTCAAGATCTGTATTTCCTTCTAGGGAATCAGAATTAGGCAAATATCGAATATTGATATAAACAAAGGATATACTATCTTAGGCTATTATTTACTTTTCCTTCTTGAAAGAACCATGCATTTAGTAGACATATATATTTTTGCTGTGGACATTAGTTACTGCTTGGTCTTTAGCTACTTCTTTCTTATGTGGCTAAAGACCTCGCCATCTCCCCTGCCTTTTAAGTCCAAAAAGCACGTATTGAGTATCTACAACATGCCAAGCGTGATTCTAGGTGCTGGGGATACCACAATGAACAAATGTGTTCCTGCTAGTGCAAGAGACAAAGACTGTACCTTTAAAAAGGTTTAATGAAATTGAAAAACTTTTGAAAGAAATGATGGAGAATAGAGGGAGTAAATGAAGTGAAAAGGAATTATGACCACACATTCTGCATTTATTAAAATATACTTTGTATACATATATACCATCAAATTAGAAAAAAACTAGATGAAATATATACACATAAATCTTTTTTTTTCTTTTTTTTCTTATACTTTAAGTTTTAGAGTACATGTGCACAACGTGCAGGTTCGTTACATATGTATACATGTGCCATGCTGGAGTGCTGCACCCATTAACTCGTCATTTAGCATTAGGTATATCTCCTAATGCTATCCCTCCCCCCTCCCTCCACCTCACAGCAGGCCCCGGTGTGTGATGTTCCCCTTCCTGTGTCCATGTGTTCTCATTGTTCAATTCCCACCTATGAGTGAGAACATGCAGTGTTTGGTTTTTTGTCCTTGCGATAGTTTGCTGAGAATGATGGTTTCCAGCTTCATCCATGTCCCTACAAAAGGACATGAACTCATCATTTTTTATGGCTGCATAGTATTCCATGGTGTGTATGTGCCACATTTTCTTAATCCAGTCTATCATTGTTGGACATTGGGTTGGTTCCAAGTCTTTGCTATTGTGAGTAGTGCCGCAGTAAACATATGTGTGCATGTGTCTTTATAGCAGCATGTATATATACACATAAATCTTTATAAAACTATACTAAAACTGACTAAACAGAGAAAAAGTCTGAATAATACTGTATTTTTTTTTTTTTTGAGATGGAGTCTTGCTCTCTCGCCCAGGCTGGAGTGCAGTGGTGTGATCTCGGCTCACTGCAAGCTCCGCCTCCTGGGTTCAAGCCATTCTCCTGCCTCAGCCTCCTGAGTAGCTGGAACTACAGGTGCTCGCCACCACGCCTGGCTAATTTTTTGTATTTTTAGTAGAGACAGGGTTTCACCATGTTAGCCAGGATGGTCTGGGTTTCCTGACCTCGTGATCCGCCCGCCTCGGCCTCCCAAAGTGCTGGAATTACAGGTGTGAGCCACTGCACCCAGCAATACTGTAACTTTTAAAGGAATTGAACTAATTACTTAAAGTCTTCCTACAATGAAAACATCATCGCCACTAGTCTTAGAGGTGAGCTCTACCAATCATTTAAGGAACAGGTAATTTCAAACTTTCAGGTAATAAAAAAGAGGAAATACTTCCACCTTATTTCATGATGTGGGTAAAAATTTGGTGTCAAAACCAGATTAGGACAGACAAAAAAAGGAAATTACATAGCAGTTTTGCTTATGAACAAATATAAAAGTGCTAAATGAAAATGTTAGCAAAATGAATCCACAGTATATTAACAAAATATAATAAATTATGATCAAGTTGGATATTTTCCAAAATGCAAGGGTGAGTTAATGTTAGAAAATATATTAATGTCATTCACTATCTTAAAGTGAACAAAAGTATGATTATCTTGATAAATACAGGAAAAGTACCTATAAAGTCGAACAACCATTCATGATAAAGATTTGTAGCTACCTAAGAATGCAAATTTCCTGAACCTGTTTGAGAGCAGCTAAAAAAGACCTTCAGCAAATATGATACTTAATGGCAAAGTGTTAAAAAATATTCTGTTTAGGATACAGAATAAGACAAAAATGTCAGGTATCACTGTCTTTATGCAAATTCTAAAGCAAGAAAAAATAAAAGGTATAAGGATTAGGAAAAAAGAACAAAAAGCCATTATTTGTGAATGATATAAATTTTTGCATAAAAATGAATAGAATCTACACAGTTTATGGTTGTATTTCAGGCATATTAAGGTCCTTGGATTCTCAAATGTACCCTGGTTGATGGAAAGGTTAAGGGTTAATATATGTTGAACCTTAACAGTCATCAGGTTCAGTGCTAGATTGCTTATTTAAAATAGTAATAACAATTGTTATTGCAGCTACCATTTATAGAACTCCAACTTCCCTGCTGAGAACTAGATACATTTTTACAGTGAATATCTCTAATCCTCACACATACTTCAAAGTACTATTCAAGGTACCATTATCCTTCTTTCACAGATGAGAAAACAGATTCAGAGAAGTAAGGTAACTTACGAAAGTTCACACAGCAAGAAAGTGGCTGAACTGGGATTTCAAAGAGGGACCGTTGGTCTCTGAGCCCATGTGCCTTACAGTACAGTTTTCCTAAGGTACAGAGCTCATGTTCTGCTGATGTCCTAGCTGCTCAATAAATATCTATGGACTGTTTCACCTGGAGGCAAGGTCAAACACCTGTCTCACAAAAGGATCAGGACTTCTTAAACATTAGAAGTCAGGGCCATTACAGCAGTTATTACTTTTCTTGTTCTACTGCTTTTCCTCCTGGGGCCAGAAGGGACTTTCTAGGGCGTTTATACTGCTCAGGCACTAGAAAGAAATGGAGCCATCTGCATTAGTTTGCTAGGGCTGCCACTACTAAATGCCACAGACTGAGTGGTTTAAACAACAGGAACTGATTTTCTCGCAGTTCTGGGGACTGGCAGTTCAAGATGAAGGTGTGGGCAGGCTTGGCTCTCCTGAGGACTCTCTCCTTGGCTTGCGGATTGCTGCCTTCTCGCCGTGTCTTCACAGGGTCATCCCTCTGTGTGTGCGCCTGTGTCCTAGTCCCTTCTTCTTATAAGGACACCAGTCATCGCTGATTAGGGACCACCTTAAGGCACCATTTTAACTCAACTACCTCCTTAGAGGCCCTGTCTCTAAATACAGTCACATTCTGAGGTACTGGGGTTTAAGACTTAAAAATGTGAATATTGGGAGAAACGATTCAGCTCATAACACCATCTCAGGAGAACAACAGGGTAGGTTTGCAGTCTCAGAGAGGTCGGGCACTTCAGAGTGTGTGTGGAGATGAGTCTGCACCCACAGCTGTCTGTGGACAGAGAACAGCAGCAGGCAGCGCTACCGGGCTCCACGAGCAGTTAACGTAGGGTGGTTACCACAAAGCTGCAGACTTCGAAGACCAGTCTTATGGGACTTCTTGTTGAAAAGGCAAATGCAAAGTCTGCTCTCCAGTGAGAAGCACAGGAGAAACCAACAGGATATCCCCTCATCCCCATTTTCCCTTCTTCTTTCAGGAACCTGCCAAGGCTTGCTGAGTGGGAGCTGTAAAACACCTACCCAGCTGGCCCTGCATTAGTCAATTCTGATAGGACAATAGAAACTTAGAAGCGGTCTCAAATTCCCAGATGGATTTGTACAATAATAAAACTTTGACATTTCATGAGAGTATTTTTAAGCCTGTGTTTTGGCATTGCAGGGGCCACAGAGAACAGAACATGGGACAAAAACCTGCATAATCGAGCTGTACTTATCTCTCCTACTGCCCTCCCCAATTCTTAGCCCCTCCCCATATTCCTTTCAGAAGAGAAACAGAGCTTTCTTTTTGGAAAATAAATCTAGAGGCAGCCTTGAATCCAATCCAAGGGCAATTTCCCAAAGAGCCAAGCCACCATTTAGTTCCTTCCCAACCCTTCAATTGAGTGAAAATGTTGCAAGCCACCTTTACCTGATACATTGAGACTGCAGGTCTCCAGGTTACTGCTGTGGTCATCACTTGAATTGCTATTGACTTTACATCTGGAATTGATGAACTTGTATATAGTTGCATTTTTTTAAACTGCCTTAGCATTGTACTCACAAAAAGGTTCACAAAGTGTGGGGGAATTGGGGCTGAGTAATAGAGTAAGGTCAGAATAATATCATTTTCGTATTATTTTCTAACCTCCCATCTCTGGAATACACCCACTTTTGTCATAATTCATTGTGTCTTTTGACTCAGGGCTAGATTCAGAATACAGCACGCCCCTGAATGTCACAATGATACTTAAAGCGTCACAATGATACTTAAATCATCACAATGATATTAGAAGGGAAATGGTTACACTTTCATTTGATGGAGAGGGCATGAAGGGCAGTTAACGTTTATCAAATATTTGCTGTATGCTTGGCACTATGCTACTAATTTTAAATTATTTTATATAAAATAACATGGTGTTGGCAACATGTATCACTAAGACATACCACCAACCCTGGTTCAAGGCTTGGAGCAAGTCACGTGAAATGCAGGGTCCATGATCCACTTACATTTTCATGTCTCCCCTTTTCCCACCTTACCCACTACAATGGACTGAATGTTAGTGTTGCCCCCCAAAAAATCCACATTTTGGAATTTTAATTCCAAATGTGAGGATATTAGGAAGTGGGGTCTCTTGGGAGGTAATTAGGTCATGAAGGTGAAACCCTCATGAATGGGATTAGTGCCTTGATGAAAGAGACTCCAGAGAGCTTTCTCACCCTCTTTCTACCATGTAAGGATACAAGAGAAGTCAACAGTCTGCAACCCAGGAGAGGACCCTCCAGAACATGATCATGCTGGCACCCTGATCTAGGATGTTTCATCTCTAGAACTGTGAAAAATACATTTCTTTTGTTGATAAGGCACACAGTCGATGGTGTTTTGTTAGAATAGCCTGAGCTAAGATACCCATGTTTCTCAAAGTTTTGCCTTTTGGTTGCAGAATATAATACCAAAAACTGTTATCTGCCTATTTAGTTCTGATTTACTGTTCACAATGAGGAAGCCGCTTGCTTAACCTGTTTTGTTCCCTCTAACACGAGCCTCTTGACCCCCCTTCTCCCCTTCCCCACTCACTCAGTCTTTCTTTACTGGGGATATCATGAGGATTGCGTGAACACTTTATTGACAGAACTTTAGTTCCTTGGAATTAAAGTTCTTTCAATATATAAGGAATAATAATTGTGTCTGTGAAATTTGTTCACTCAGAAATAACCTCTGAAAAGTCATTGGTTGGTATCTTTCTGTCTCTGCCAAACAGGTTACTTCTCCATGCCTCAGTTTTCCATATCTATAAACTGGGAATAATGATACTTATGACATAGGGTTAGAGAAGATTAAGAGAGGTCTCATATGTGAAGCAGTTAGAACAGTGCCTTGTGCATTTTAAGTGCTACATGTGAGTTTGATATAACATATTTTTACTGCTGCTGCCAGATGTGAGACATGCAATTTAATATCACATTGTTTGCCACAATACACAGTACCAGTGTAAATGTGTTATCTTGAATTAAAGCTTTGCAAGTAAAGATCAGATATTTTATTAGAAAAAATTTAACTCAGTGGGGACCTTTTTAGGACCACAGGCATGGTGGTCATACCTCAGTCACTCTTGAAAATAGTTCTTAAAATAGACACTCTTTATTATTTTTTTCTTTCCAATTTTTATTTTAGGTTCAAGGGGTACAGGTACAGATTTGTTACATGGATAAATTGTTCATTGTGGGAGTTTGGCGTACAGATTATTTCATCACCTAGGTAATCAGCATAATACCCGCTGGGTAGTTTTACAATCCTCACCCTCCTGCCACCCTCCACCCTCAAACAGGGCCCAGTGTCTATTGTTCTCTTTGTGTCCATGTATACTCAATGGGTAGCTCCCACTTCTAAGTGAGAATATGTGGTATTTGGTTTTCTGTTCCTGCATTAATTCGCTTAGGATAATGGCCTCCAGCGGCATCCATGTTGCTACAAAGGACATGATCTCATTTTTTATAGCTGCCTAGTATTCCATGGTGTATATGTACCACATTTTCTTGATCCAATCTACTGTTGGTGGGCATTTAGATTAATTCTATGACTTTTCTATTGTGAATAGTGCCAGGACAAACGTATGCATGCATGTGTCTTTGTGGTGGAACCATTTATATTCCTTCAGGTATATACCCAGTGATGGGGTTGCTAGGTCAAATGGTAGTTCTTGAAGTTGTTTGAGAAGTCTTCAGATGGTTTTCCACAGCAGCTGAACTAATTTACATTCCCACTAGCAGTGTGTATGTGTTCCCTTTTCTCTGC
Source organism: Homo sapiens (assembly GCF_000001405.40). NCBI lineage: Eukaryota > Metazoa > Chordata > Mammalia > Primates > Hominidae > Homo > Homo sapiens. The sequence continues at coordinate 39,381,762 of NC_000015.10, read as the reverse complement.
AACCTCACCGGCCTCTGTTATTTTTTGACTTTTGAGTAATAGCCATTCTGACTGATGTGAGATGGTATTTCATTGTGGTTTTGATTTGCATTTCCCTAATGATTACTGATGTTCAGCATTTCTTCATATGCTTGTCAGCTGTGTGTATGTCTTTTTTTGAGAAGTATGTTCATGTCCTTTGCCCCTTCTTTTTAAATGGGGTTTTTTTTTTTGCTTGTTGATTTGAGTTTCTTACAAATGCCAGATATTAGTCCTTTGTCAGAGGCATAGTTTGTAAATATATTCTCCCATTCTGTAGGTTGTCTGTTTACTCTGTTGATAGTTGCTTTTGCTGTGCAGAAGCTCTTTAGTTTAATTAGGTCCCACTAGTCAATTTTTGTTGCAATTGCTTTTGGAGTCTTTGTCATGAAGTCTTCGCCTGGGACAATGTCCAGAATGGTATTTCCCAGATTTTATTCTAGGATCTTTATAGTTTTAGGTTTTACATTTGAGCCTTTAATTCATCTTGTGTTGATTTTTGTATATGGTGAAAGGAAGGGGTACAGTTTCAGTCTTTTGCATATGTCTAGTCAGTTATTCCAGGAGCATTTATTGAATGGAGAGTCCTTTTCCCTTTGCTTGTTTCTGTCAGCTTTGTCAAAAATCAGATAGTTATAGTGCATAGCATAATTCCTGTGTTCTCTATTCTGTTCCATTGGTCTATGTGTCTGTTTTTGTACCAGTACCATGCTGTTTTAGTTACTGTAGCCTTGTAGTACAGTTTGGAGTCAGGTAATACTATGCCTCCAGCTTTGTTCTTTTTGCTTAGGATTGCTTTGGCTAGTTGGGCTCCTTTTTGCTTCCAAATAAATTTTATGTATTTTTTTCCCAATTCTGTAAAAAATTTTATTATTAGTTTGATGAGAATGGTATTGAATCTGTAAATAGCTTTGGGCAGTATGGCCATTTTTTACAATACTGATTCTTCCTATCCATGAGCATGGAGTATTTTCCCATTTGTTTGTGTCATCTCTGATTTCTCTTAGCAGTGTTTTATAATTCTCATTGTAGAGATCTTTCACCTGCCTAATTAGCTGTATTCTTAGATATTTTATTCTTTTTGTGGCTATTGTGAATAGGATCACATTCTTTTTTTTTTTTTTTTGAGATGGAGTCTTGCTCTGTTGCCCAGGCCGGATTGCAGTGGCACGATCTTGGCTCACTGCAAGCTCCGCCTCCTGGGTTCATGCCATTCTCCTGCCTCTGCCTCCTGAGTAGCTGGGACTACAGGCCCCCACCACCATGCCCGGCTAATTTTTTGTATTTTTAGTAGAGACGGGGTTTCACCGTGTTAGCCAGGATGGTCTCCATCTCCTGACCTCGTGATCCGCCCGCCTCGGCTTCCCAAAGTGCTGGGATTACAGGCGTGAGCCACCATGCCCAGCTGATCACATTCTTGATTTGGCCCTCAGCTTGGACCTTATTGGTGTATAGAAATGCTACTGATTTTTGTACATTGATTCTGTATCTTGAAACTTTGCTGCAGTTGTTTATCAGATCTTGGAACATTTGGGCAGACACGGGGGTTTTCTAGGTATAATGTTATATCATCTGTGAAGAGAGATAGTTTTCCTATTTGGATGCCTTTTATTTCTTTCTCTTGCCTGATTGCTCTGGCTAGGTCTTCCAGTACTATGTTGAATAAGAGTGGTGAGAGTGGACGTCCTTGTTTTTTTCTGGTTTTTAAGGGGAATGCTTCCAGGTTTTGTCCATTCAGTGTGATGTTGGCTGTGGGTTTGCCATAGACTGCTGTTATTATTTTGAGGTATGTACTTTTGATGCCTAGTTTGTTGAGGGTTTTTAAACATGAAAGGATGTTCAATTTTATCAGAAGCCTGTTCTGCATCTGTTGAGATGATCATGTGGTTTTTGTTTTTAGTTCTCTTAAGTGATGAATCATGTTTATTGATTTGTGTTGTTGAATCAATCTTGCATCTCAGAAATAAAGCCTGTTTGATCGTGGTGGATTAGCTTTTTGATGTGCTGCTGGATTCCGGTTGCTAGTATTTTGTTGAGGATTTTTGCATCTATGTTCATCAGAGATACTGGTCTGAAGTTTTCTTTATTGTGTCTTCGCCAGGTTTTGGCATCAGAATGATGATAACCTTTAAAAGGTGTTGTGAATTTGAAAACCACCTCTACTGATAGGCCTTCCTTGTCCACTCTCTCTAACGAAGCCAGCCAGTATCACTCTACCAAATCCTTCCATTTCATTATCTATGTAGTACTTTTCACAATCCTGTATTTTTCTTGTTTGTTACTATCTGGATCCACTTTTGGAATGCAGTCTACCTTGTTTTCTGCTGTGTCCACAGGGCCTCAAACAGTGATGAACACAGAGTAAGTTTTAATGGTTAGTTGTTACATGAATGTGTTTATAGAAAGGCAGACAAATGATAGTAACCCCACTAACAGCTGACTGGTTTGGATTAGATTGTGATATTTGAAAGAATCAAAGCTCTTGCTGATGGTGGCAGACATTTCAAGTTTTTCCCATGAATTCACAATGATATAAGACTGAACTTATTTCTGACTGCCATTGTAATGCACAGTGTATTATCAGCTCACTAAAATATGCTTTCATTTTCTTGTAATTAATATTGAGTAGGGCAGTAGCACCAGAAACAGTGCAAAGCACTGCAGAAGCGGGAGTAAACTGGTAAAAGGGCTAACATTTATGGAGCACTTATTATATGTCATGAATACTTGTGTAAATTTTTCTGCTTGGATATTACCCAATTTATTGATCTATTCTTCTTTTGATGAACATTTCCTGTTTATACTGATTAACATTTTAACTCATGTCTCCTCGTGCACACATGCAATCATTTCTCTTAGGGTATTGGTTCTTAATTTGTGGTCCTTGAACAAGAGCTTAACCTCCATTAGATTACTGAGTCAGAATCTCTGTGGATTGGACCCAGGATCTGGGTTTTAATAAGCTCTCCAGGTGATCATGATGCACATTAGAACCACCTGGAGAGCTTTTAACAAAACCTAGGGTTTGAGCCCTACCCAAGAACAATTACGTCATGATCTTGCAGGATGGGGCGCTGTGATTCTGTGGTGTTGCCAGAGTTGAGAGCTATGGCTATCAGTTACATAAGTAAAAGTTGGATTTTCAGGTCCTAGGGGATGGGGTTGTTAAATTTTACTAAGTGAATTCAAATTGCTTTTACCAAATGGTTGTTCTGATTTATGCTCCCACCAGCTCTTGATGAGTATTCTTGTTGGTCCACGTCTTTACCAAAACTTGTATTGACTTTTTAATTATCGGTGTTTTGATAGGTGTGAGATGGTAAAATTTTAATTTGTGTTTGTTTGATTAGTAATGAGATTGAGCATCTTTTTGTATGTTTAAAGGCCACCAATAATTTTTTATTCTGTGAAATGCCTGTTCATGGTCTTCTGCTATTTTTTCCTACTAAATTGTCTTCTTATTGATTTGTGGTAATTCTTTATTTGTCCTGGATACTAATTCTTTGTTCATTATGTACAGTGGAACTTTTCTATATTTTGGCTTTTTATTTTCAAGAGGAGGTACTTTTATTAACAGAAATTGTAAATTTTAAGTAACTGAATGGTTTTTTTGTCCTATTAGTGTTTGTGGCTTTCTTTCTTTTTTTTTTTTTTTTTGGTATCCTGTTTGAGAAGTCTTTCCATATCCAAAGTTCAAAAGAGATTCTTCTACACTTTCTTCTAAAAGTCAGACTTTTACCTTACACATTTAAGTACTTAATCCATTAGTGGTCTGAAGTAGGTCTCTGTTTTCGCTTATTTTTCTTATGGATTAACAACTATTAACTAATTGTTTACTAATTAACCTATCTTTTCCTTACCAAACTACCATGCCGACTTTGTTTACGTATTTGTTTTAGATAAATGCATGGGTCTGTTTCTAAACTATCTATTCTATTGGTCAATTTGTTTACCCAAGAGCTAGTACTTCATTATTTTACTTATTATAAATTATGGATTATAATCAGCCCTGACCCATGGTAGAGCAAATGCAACTACTTAGTTTTTCTCCAAGAACATCTTGCATTTCTTTTCTTTTTCTTTTTTCAGAGACTGGGTCTTGCTCTGTCACCTAGGCTGGGGTATAGTGGTATGATCATAGCTTACTGCAGCCTTGACTTTCTGGGCTCAAGTAATCCTCCTGTCTCAACCTCCCAAATAGCTGAGATTACAGGCATGCACCACCACATCTGGTTAATTTTTTAAATTTTTTGTGAAAACGAGGTTTTGCTTTGTTGAACAGGCTGGTCTTGAACTGGCCTCAAGTGATCCTCCCACCTCAGCCTCCCAAAATGGTGGGATTACAGGTATGAACCACCATGCCCAGTCACATCTTGCACTTCAGTGGCTTAACAATTAGCTTGTCAGGTACCATGAAAAGTATTGCTAGAATTCTGATGAAAAAATGCATTGAATCTTTAGTTCAATTTGTGAATGTAGATCAACTCTAATAATGTTGAACCTCCTATTTAATGAGGATAGTATGGCTCTGTTTAGGAGTTCTTTAATGTCTTTTCATACAGTCTTACATTTTTCTACATACAGTCCTTCCAAAATTTCTGTTGGATTTGTCTGAATTTCTTATATTTTTGTCGTTAGTATAAATAGTATCTTTACTTTTTAGCTGCAATTTCTAACTGCTGGCATCTGTATATGAAAATGAAATCGATTTCTGAATTAATCTTATGTGTGGCAACTAATATAAATTCTTTTATTAATTCCAATAATATTTTATAGATTATTTTGAATTTTCGATGCAAACAATTACATCATCTGTAAATAATTGTTTTCTTTCTAACCCTTATACTGTGTGTGTGTGTGTGTGTGTGTGTGTGTGTGCATGTTTTGCTTTACTACTTACTGGGACATTAAGTTGCATAAAAGTAGCATAAATGTAGTAATAGTGAACCTTTGCCTTGTTCCTGATTTTAAAGGCACTGATGTTTTCAACATTTTATCATTGAGAAATATATTTGTGGCAGGGTTTTTTGTTATTTTTTCTTCTGTTGTTCTCTGTTTTTAGCTAGTCTTGAGCAGTTTAAGAAAGTTCCCTGCCATTCCTAGTTAGCTAAGAAATTTATCTTCTGTGGTTGAATTTCATCAGTTATTACTTCTGCTTGTTTTGAGATAATTATTCAGGGTTTCTCCCCACCTTTAGTCCATTAATAGGTTGAATTACCTTAATACAATTTCTAATGTTGACTTAACTTTGCATTCTTAGAATACACCCCCACCTGGTCATGATTCATTTTCTCTTTTTACATTGAGCAATCAGTTTTTCTAATGTTTTTGTTGAGGATATTTTTACTTTATTTTCACCGGTCAGATCACCATGTAATTTTTCTTTCTTGTACTGTTCTGTGTCATGTTGGTATTAAGGCTTTACTCACCTCACAAAATATTTTAGGAGAGTAGACCATTTGCTACTCTCTGAAAAGCTGGTATAAGATGGTGCCTCATGCCTGTAATCCCAGCACTTTGGGAGGCCGAGGTGGGCGGATCATGAGGTCAGGAGATCAAGACCATCCTGGCTGGCACGGTGAAACCCCATCTCCACTAAAAATACAAAAAATTAGCCGGGCATGGTGGTGGGCACCTCTAGTCCCAGCTACTCAGGAGGCTGAGGCAGGAGAATGGCATGAACCCAGGAGGCGGAGCTTGCAGTGAGCCGAGATTGCGCCACTGCACTCTGCCTGGGCGACACAGCGAGACCCAGTCTCAAAAAAAAAAAAAAAAAAAAAAAAAGGAAATTATCTGCTTCTTAAGGTTTGCTAGGATTCTCCTCTAAAATAATGTGTCTTGATACTTTATTTTTGTAAAGATTTTGCTTTTGCTCATTTTACTGAAATATCACATATACCCAGAAAAGTTTAGCATTCAGTGAATTATTATAAATTGAGCACACCCCTTTAACTAGCACCCAGATCGAGAATCCAAACACTGCCAGCACCAGAGAATTGGGCTGCCATACCCTCTTACAGTCCTCCCTCAATCATAGTTTGAAGTAACCTGAGTTTTAACACCAGGTATTTTTAGTTTCGCCTGTTTTTAAACTTTACATTAATGAAATTATATAGTTTGCATAAGTCAAGATGTTTTGAGAACTCACAAATTTCTTTAATGCCTATGGAGCTATTCTGACTTTTTCTTCTTTATCTTCTCTTTGATAATGTATATTTTTGCTCACTAAGTTTTCAAATTTGTGTGTGTACAGCTGTTCAAAGTATTTTTTTAATCAATGCAGTATCAGTGGTTAAGTTTCCATTTTATTTCTTCCATTTATTTTAAAAGATCAGTTTTGTTAAAAGTTTGTCTATTTTTATTAGTCTTTTAAAAAGCCAGCTTTTGACTTTCTTTGCTGTATAGTTTCTATTACGTTAAATTCTGTTCGATATATTTTTCTCTCTACTTTCTTTAGGTTTATTCTATTGCCATTTTTGTCTCATTAATTTTAACTGTATTTTCTGCATAAAGATAATTCTAAAATGAGGTTTTCTAAGTACCATTTTAGCTGCATCCAAAGGGTTAAGGAGTAATTTTATTATAATTTAGTTCTGTGTTTCCCCTCCACCATTCTCATCTCATTAATTTTAACTGTGTCTTCTTTTTTACATATTTAAAGATACTTTTAAAATGAGCTTTTCTATATATCATTTTATCTGCATCCAAAGGGTTTTATTAAGGAGTATTTTTATTATAATTTAGTTTTATGCTTCCCCTCCCCCAAATTTCGTTATATGTTCTTTGACATATGATGTGTTAAGACTTTTTTTTTCCAAAATAGAATTATCTTTTGGATTTCTAATTTTATCATGAATATATGCAGGCTGTATAATACTGAAACTGCAAAATTTGGGGACTTGCTTTGAGACCTAGAATGTATTTAATTTTTTTTAAAATGGTTTATGTCTACGTATGTAGCATGTCTGTTTTCCGATTGTTGATTGCGGTGTCCTAAATACTATATTCACTAGATTTATCTTTTCAGTTGTGTCAGTTAATCTCTATCCTTACTGTAATCGTGAGAATGGGTTGGTTACGCAGCAGTAACAAACTCACAATTAAGTTTATTTTTGGCTCATGTTCCATATTATCTTTATTGAGGAACCAGCCTGACAGAGGATCCCATTCTTTGCTCTCAGCAGGGAAAAGACTTCTGCAATCTCACCCCAGTCACTAAATGCTTTTGTCTGGAAGCAGCACATATACTTTCTGCTCATATTTCACTGGCCAAAGCAAGTCATATAGCCACAAAAGCCCCATCTAACTTCAAGAGGGAGAAAAGTATTTTCCCGCCATGTACTATGAAGGAGTAATTTTTGTGAATAACACAAGTGACTGCCACGCTTTCTGATTTATTGGGTTCACTATGTCTATTGACTACTGAGAAAAGGGGTTTAAATCTCCATATCATGATGATAGAATCATGATATTCTTATATATTATTACATTTTTTCTTCATATAGTGTAAAACTATATTATTGAGTTGCTATAAGTTAAAATTCTACAACTTTCAGGGAGAATTGTATAGTGATCATCTTTGCTTTTCAAAATGTTCTTGCTTTAAATCCCATTTTGTTTGTTATTAATAGATACCTTTGCCATTTGGTGAGCTTCATAGCTGCCTGGCATATAGCTCCCGTCTTTCTGTTTTCAATGTTTTTATATCCTTTTGTTTTAAGTGTATATCTTGTTAAAAAGTAATTAAAAAAACTATTCTTGGATTGTTTTATTGTCCTAAAAATCTCTACCCTTCAAGAGAAAGTGTATTTCATGTACATTGACGGGTTTTGCTGGTATGTTTAGAATTTTTCTACCACCTAATTTTGTTTTCTATTCATCTAGCCATTCCTTCTTTTTTTCTTAATTCTATTCTCCCTCCCTCTTCCATCTTTCCCCCATTTTCCTGTTTGTTTTCTTTTCTTTTTCTCCTCCTTCCCTTCCTCCTTTCCTTTCTGACTACCTGTCTTCTTTGCTTTGTTTTGGATTGATTGAGATCTTTTTGTTTTTTTAAAATGTATTACGTTTTCTCCATTAGTTTGGGAGTACATAGTATTTTAATCTTTTAGTGTTTACTGTATTTATTTTAGCATGCATATATGCTAACAAAGTATGAATTTAACAATCTTGTAACCGTACTCTTGACTAATAAAAGGATCTCAATACCTTGATAGTCAAAGTTTGAGTCATTAACCAGCAGCCTGGATATATCTGGGAAGTTTATAGAGATAGACAATTTCCACCCTAGACCTACTGACTAAGAATCTACATTTTATCAAGATCCCCTAGTAACTTGTATGCATATTAGAATATGAGAATCTCTGCTTTAGAATATATTAACTCCAACTGTAGTCCTTCTAATTTAGATGCTTTTGGTGTCTAGACTTTATCTGGATCATTTTTCACTCTCAAATTAGACTTTATTATTTCCATTTTATGCAGTTAACATTTGTTTACCACAAGTTTGCCATTTTATTTGCTCAGTATTCCTTTTTGTCACATTAGATCTTCCTTCTCAGAGCCTTCCCTCCTTTCTAAGGCACATCTTTTAGTAATTCCTTTCATAAGTTGCTATTGGTATTGAACTCAGTTTCTGTTTATTGAAAATGTCTTTATTTTCTATTGTTTTAACAGTATCTCTTACTGGATAACATTTCAAGGCCAATAGTTATTTTTTATTTTTTTCTCAGCATTTTTAATATATTTTTATTTTCATTGGACTTTCTTTGTTGTTGTTGAGAAGTCAGCTGACAGTCTAATTGTACTTCCTTGGTAATTAATCTCTCTCTCCCACTTCCTGCCCTCTTTCTCTTTGCCTTCTTTGAAAACCTTTATATATACACATACATACATACATACATATACACACACACATATATACTTATATACACACACACACACATATATACATATATACACACACACAGATATACACACACACACGTGCACACACACAGACACACAATTTTCCAGATCTGATGAAAGATACCCATTCCAAGGTTTAAAAAACCTAATAAATTGTAAAGCTGAATATATATATATATCTGTTAGGTTTCCTGAACCTAAGCATAGGTATCTTTAATTGATTCTCGAAAGTTTCTAGTCATTGGTATGGTTTAGATCTGTGTCCCTACTCAAGTCCCATGTTCAACGGTAATCCCCAATGATGGAGGTGAGGCCTAGTGGGAGGTGATTGGATCATGAAGGTGGTTTCTAATAGTTTAGCACCATCCCCCTAGTGCTGTTCTCATGATAGAGTTCTCATGAGATCTGGTTGTTTAAAATTGTGTAGCACCTTCCCCGCTTCCTTTCCTGCTTTGGCCATGAAAGATGTGCCTACCTTCCACCATGATTGAGAGTTTCCTGAGGCCTCCCCAGGAGCTGAGCAGATGCCAGCATTATGCTTCCTAACAGCCTGCAGAACTGTGAGCCAATTAAACCTCTTTTCTTTATAAATTACCCAGTCTCAGGTATTTCTTTATAGCAGTGCAAGAATGGACTAATACAGATAATTGGTACTGAGGAGTGGGACATTTCTATAAAGATACTTGAAAATGTGGAAGCAATTTTGGAACTGGGTAATGGGCAGAGGTTAAAAGAGTATGGAGGGCTCAGAAGAAGACAGGAAGATGAGGGAAAATTTGGAGCTTCCTAAAGACTTGTTAAATTGTTGTGGCCAAATTGCTGATAGTGATATGGACAATGAAGTCTAGGCTGAGGAGGTCTCAAATGGAAATGAGGAACTTACTGGGAACTGGGGCAAAGCTCACTTTTATTATGTGCTAGCAAAGAGGTTGGCTGCTTTGTGCCCCGTTCTAGGAATCTGTGGAATTTTGAACTTGAGAGTGATTTAGTGTATCTGGCAGAATACATTTCTAAGCAGCAAAGCACTCAAGATATGGCCTGGCTGCTTCTAACATCCTACAATTTATATGTATGAGCAAAGAAATGATCTGAAATTGAAACGTATATTTAAAAGAGAAGTAGAGCCTAAAAGTTTGGGAAATTTGCAGTCTAGTCATGTGATAGAATAGAAAAACCATTTTCTGGGAATGAATTCAAGCTGGCTGTGGAAATTTGCGTAAGTAAAGAGGAGCCAAATCTTAATAGCCAAGACAATGGGGAAAAGGCCTCCAAACCACTTTAGAAATTTTCACAGCAGCCCCTCCCATCACAGGCCTAGAGACCCAGGAGGAAAGAATCGTTTCATGGGCCAGGGCCAGGGAGCTGCTGCCCCGCACAACCTCAGGACACTGTTGCCTGCATCCAAGCCACTCCAACTCCAATTGTGGCTCAAAGAGGCCCAGATACAGTTTGGGCCACTGCTTCAGAGAATGCAAGCCATAAGCTTTGGTGACTTTCACGTGGTGTTAAGCTTGTGGGTGTTGCGGGAAGTCAGGGACCCTGAATGGAAGGACTGGCTGAAGGCATGACAGAAGAACATGGATTGTGAAGATTTCATGGACATTTATTAGTTCCCCAAATTAATACTTTTATAATTTCTTATGCCTGTCTTTACTGCAATCTCTAAACATAAACTGTAAAGATTTCATGGACACTTATCACTTCCCCAGTCAATGCCCTTGTGATTTCCTATGCCTGTCTTTACTTTAATCTCTTAATCCTGTCATCTCATAAGCTGAGGAGGACGTGTGTCACCTCAGGGCCCTGTGATGATTGCGTTAACTGCATAAATTGTAGAGCATGTGTGTTTGAACAATATGAAATCTGGGCACCTTGAAAAAAGAACAGGATAACAGCAATGTTCAGGGAACAAGAGAGATAACCTTAAACTCTGACTGCTGGTGAGCCGGGCAGAACAGAGCCATATTTCTCTTCTTTCAAAAGCAAATGGGAGAAATATTGCTGAATTCTTTTTCTCAGCAAGGAACATCCCTGAGAAAGAGAACACGCCCCTGAGGGTAGGCCTCTAAAATGGCCCCCTTGGGTGTGGCCATCTTCTATGGTCGAAACTGGAGGGATGAAATAAGTCCCACTTTCCCATAGCGCTCCCAGGCTTATTAGGATGAGGAAATTCCTGCCTAATAAATTTTGGTCAGACCGGTTGCTCTCAAACCCTGTCTCCTGATAAGATGTTATCAATGACAATGTGTGCCTGAAACTTCATTAGCAATTTTAATTTCGCCCCGGTCCTGTGGTCCTGTGATCTCGCCCTGCCTCCATTTGCCTTGTGATATTCTATTACCTTGTGAAGCACATGATATCTGTGATCCACACCCTATTCATACACTCCCTCCCCTTTTGAAAATCACTAATAAAAACTTGCTGGTTTCACGGCTCGGGGGGCATCAAGGAACCTACCGACATGTGATGTCTCCCCTGGATGCCCAGCTTTAAAATTTCCCTCCTTTGTACTCTGTCCCTTTATTTCTCAAACTGGCTGACACTTAGGGAAAATAGAAAAGAACCTATGTGAAATATCGGGGGTGAATTTTGCCCAATACCTGGCTGAATTTCCCCTGATATGTGGGTGCACAGAGTGTAAGAGTTGAGGCTTGATAGCCTCTGCCTAGATTTCAGAGGATGTATGGAAAAGCCTGGATGTCCAGGCAGAACCCTGCTGCAGGGGCAGAGCCTTCATGGAGAACCTCTATAGGGCAGTGTGGAATGGAAATGTAGGGTTGGAGCCACCACACAGAGTCCCCACAGGGGCACTGCCTAGTGGAGCTGTGGGAAGATGGCCAACATTCTCCAGGTTCCGGAATGGTAGATCCACCAACAGCTTGTACCATGTGTCTGGAAAAGCTGCAGGCACTCAAAGCCAGCCTGTGAAAGCAGCTGTGGGTGCTGTGCCCTGCAAAGCTTCAGGGGCAGAGCTGCCCAAGGCTTCAGGAACCCACCCCTTGTACCAGTATGCCCTGGATGTGAGACATGAAATCAAAGGAGATCATTTTGGAACTTTAAGATTTAATGACTGCCCTGCTGGGTTTCTGACTTGTGTGGGACGTGTAACCCCTTTCTTTTGGCTGATATCTCCCTCTTGGAATGGGAGTATTTACCCAATGTCTATACCCCCACTGTATCTTGGAAGTAAATAACTTTTTTTTTTTTTATTTTACAGGCTCATAGGCAGAAGGGACTAGCCTTGTCTCAGATGAGACTTTGGGCTTTGGTCTTTTGAGCTAATACTGGAATAAGACTTTGGGGGACTGTTGGGAAGGCATGATTGTATTTTGCCATGTGAGAAGGACATGAGACTTGGAAAAGGGAAGGGGTAAAATGATACGATTTGGATCTGTCTTCCCACTCAAATCTCATGTTTAATTGTAATCCCCAGTGTTGGAGATGGGGCATGGTGGGAGGTGACTGGATCATGAAGGTGGTTTCTAATGGTTTAGCACCATTCCCCTAGTGCTGTTCTCATGGTAGAGTTCTGACAAAATTTGATTGTTTAAAAGCGTGTAGCACCTTCCCTGTCCCACTCTCCTGCTCCAGCCATGTAAGACGTGCCTGCTTCCCCCTTTGCCTTCTGCCATGATTGAAAGTTTCCTGAGGCCTTCCCAGGAGGTGAGCAGCTGCCAGCATCATGCTTCTAATAGCCTGTGGAACTGTGAGCCAATTAAACCTCTTTTCTTTATAAATTACCCAGTCTCAGGTATTTTTAGACCAGTGTGTGAACAGACTAATACAGTCATTATATCTTTGAATATTGTCTTTCCCCCATTGTTTCTCTTCTCTCCTTCTAAAATTCTCATTATGTGATTGTTGACTCTTCTACTTTAGTTGCCATGTCTCTTACTTGTATATCTTCCATCTCTTTGTGTGTAGCTTAGTTCTGGGTTATAGCTCATATTTGTCTTTCAGTTTACCAATTCTCTCTTCGCCCATCTCTTCTGAATAGAGCCTGTAGCCCCACTCAAATGTGCAGGTACTCTCAAAGAATATGTCAGCCCTAGCCTTGACTTATTCTATAATCTCAATTTCATGTCACTTTGGGGCAATATTTTCCCGTTATTTTATGTCCCAGTTAACCATGACTTTGAGAAATGTTTATTATATTTTATCCAGTATTTTTATATTCTATACTAAAATAGATTTTTCTACAAATCTTTTTCACCGTCTTTTTATAAATGAAAATTTAAATTTTGCTTGTCACTTATTCTATTATACTTAGTATATTAATTTGTATTTTGAGACAGGGTCTCACTCTGTTACCCAGGCTGGAGTGCAGTGGCATGATCACAATTCACTGCAGCCTTGACCTCCTGGGCTCAGGTGATTCACCCACTTCAGCTTCCCAAGTAGCTGGGACTACAGGTGCATGCCAGCATGTCTGGTTAATTTTTTGTATTTTTTTATAGAGACTGGGTTTTGCCATATTGTCCAGGCTGGTCTTGAGCTCCTGGGCTCAAATGATCCACCTGCCTTGGCCTCCCAAAGTGCTGGGATTATAGGCAGCAGCCACCATGCCCAGCCTATTAATTATTTTTATACTGTGATTTATTATTTTTGTTCAGTTTTATCTCCTTGTTGGCAAATTCCTATCTGATTCATTTTGAGGTTTCCAAGTTAATTTACTTAAACAATATTTGTTAAATGAATGATGGAAAGAGTTGATTGAATCTTGTTATATTATCTAAGACTTCATTGTGGGGAAGTATGCAAAAAGGTAGTCCCATAAATTTAACCATTAAGGACTCAAGCACACAGCCAGTATGGTAGGAGGAAATGCCGGTTCAAGTCCTAACTTTTTCATCTCCTGTTGGATATCTTCCTAGATTGCAGAAAATTAGAAAAACAAGATATTTTCTCTAGGTGCTTCCAGAATTGTGCAAAAATTGTTTTCCATGAATTTTTTGTCTTGAATTCTTTTTAAAGGACTATTAAAATTATGTTCAAGTTCCAGACCACAAAAATGCAACTGCAAATAAATAATGTGATCAAAGAAGACACTGAAGGATAGATGGCAAAACAGTCTTAGAAAATTATCCTCTCTCTTCTACCACTCTTATCACATAGCAGCTGTTGGTCATATAAATTTTAGTTGAATATGGGCTTTCCAATTTTTCCACATTTAATCAATTAAAGAGTAAAAACTAGACATCTACATAATATTTGAGCCAAATACGAAAATTTATTATAGTCAAGAAAGGACAACTTACTAACATTATCCAAAGATGACTAAGCCTCTCAGAAGACTAGGTGCATTTCTCTCCTCATTCCATGATTTAGAGGCTTAGATAAGTCTTAGTTCAAAGTGAGTGTCCACCCTCAATCTCCAAAGACTGCCACACTTGAAGGTCATTTCCATGCATGAAGAAACAATTTTCAAGGCTACAGTTATGGCAAAAATAAAAATTATATACATTCCTTAAGATTGGGAAGGGTTTTTACCCAGTTGAAGGATCAATCCTTGATGTAAGTGGAACACAAGGTGAAGCATTCATTAAGACTGAAAAGACATCAAAATAACATTGATGAGTCTGATAATAACGATATTTATGTTTCTACGTATTTCCTTCTGGCTAATTAGAATAGATTTTAGGAAGCTTTACAAAGTGAAGTTCAGCACTCCACTGACAATATTGAATCTTTGATCTCTCCTTCTATTCAATTTCTGCAGTATCTGACAATACTGGCGAAGACCAGCTCATCAAAGATGCTCGCTTTTTTCCTGGTTTCTATGTTGGTAAACTCCCCTGGATCTCCCCCAGTCTTTCTGTTTGCATCTTCCACCTCCCCACCCCTCTCTACACCCCACTCCCAGCCTTTAAATTTTGGGATAATAGGAAATTTTGAAGTTGGCCATGAATCATTTCATTGTGTATCACACTTGAATTAATTCCACATTTTTACCTCTATATATTATCTCTTTTATTTCTCTAGGTCCATGTTTCTAATAGTCTACTTAATACTTCTGGCGGGACATCCCCCAGATAACCTTAGTTCACTGCACAAAACAGAAACCATAATTTTCTCATTTCATACCTATTTGCCCAATCTAGAAATCTTAGCTTTCTTGATGTCTCACCTAATGTTCCTTACCATTCACATATAATTATGAACAAAATCTACTTAAATATGCAACCAACAGTTGTATTTCTCTGTTTTGCTTATGGTATTTCTTCCTTTTGATACCTTAATAAAAATCTAGCTCATTGTTCAAGAGTTAACCCCAAAACTGATAGTTCTTAATATCCCTCAATGGAATTAATCACTTCTTATTTTTAGTTTTCCTGTTTTTTTTTTTTAAACATATCCCTCTTATTAAGTAAAATATAATTGACACCCTTTACATATGCAAGCACATATAAATCCTTTTGGATAAATTGTAAGATTAAAGCCTGTCTTTTATTTGTTTGTGGTATGTAGTATTAGGCTTTCAATAAATATTTTTTAGGATGAAAAAGGTATGCATGGAGTTTTTTTTCTGTTTCAACCTCAACTAGAAAAATCTATCTCTAGTGAAAAAATAGAAGACAGCTCTCAATGGGAATTACTAAATGACTCTTGCTTTTAAAAATTCCTTTATTTTCTATGGGCTCTAAAGTTAAATAGAAAAAGCAAGTTTAATATGTATCAGCTTTTAAACAGTGATGAAGCAAAGCAGGTAGAAACCAAAATACCACCCGCCCCCTCCCCGCCCACACACTCTTAGTTTGGCCAATGCAAGACAGACCAGTATCAATTTCAGTTCAATGTAACATCTGCTTAGCATTTGTTATATACAAAGGCAGAAAGTACAGATGAGACACTTTTTGAAAGAGTTCTTCTTTTTGTACTCTTTTTGCTTTACCATTTTTTTTTTCTTTAACTCAGAATGACTCTTGTCCGTAACCAAGCAAATTTTAACGTTATATTATTGGCTACTGACAAGATTTTCATTGATAATGTTATTGGCTACTTGCAATGTAGTTGCATTTTCACAAAGACAAGCTTGAAGGTGCCATTGAAGCAGAACGTATAAGGACAGAAATCATATGGATAGTTCTGATAACCTTAGGAATGTTTCAAGATAATATAGAGTGATAAAGATTCATTTATTATTCATAAAGGTATCCCAAATATCAAACTTAATTGAACTTGAATACTTTTTAAGTAAGTTGTTCAAAAGAAGTAATCCACAAACTTTCTTTAATGATTCCTAAAGCATGGGCACAGTAATCATAAAGTTCTCATAAATTCTCAGAAAATTTTCATAAAATTCTAAGTTGTATGCAAAATCAGAAACAAAAATAATCCTTTTAAATTTACTGTTTGTATTTGCTACCTACTTTCAGGATCTAGTAACATAACACACTTTTATTGCCTCTGTGAACCACAATGCACATGCCGTACTGTCTACCGCCAACAGGAAAAAACTACTTCTTGACACATGCAATTTAACAATAATTGCAGGGACCATTCATGTCTGAGTCCTAGAACTGGAATTTCCTGCATTATGGATATTTCATGTTGGAAATGTTGCTGGTTTGGCAGAGTAAAAAATAGATGGCTTTGGCTCTGTTGGGAAATAACACCCTGAACTGGATCACTGTGACATTCTAGAGGTTTAACCTATAAATTTGGTTAGCTGGAGGATGAGAATCTTTGTTAGATATCTGTAGATGTGCTATAAAAGAGTTACAAATTGGCTGTACATTTTAAAATCCTTTTTAGGAAAAAATGAGGAAAAAGCATCTAAGCTGTTAATTTATGTAACAATTTATCTTACATGATGGTGGTATCAGTAGTTGTCCAAGAAGAGACAGCTATGTCACAGGTTATGCCCATCAATAACCAAATAATTCAGTCAAATGCTTGTGATACGATGGGCCTGTGCTAGGGATGAGAACACAGTGTCCAGTAAGACAAAGGGTAGTGCTCCAAGAGATGATACACCAGTGAGTTTAGCCTCAGCAAATCTTTCAGTAGTCATCAAGTTAGATATTGCTTGTGAAGGTGGGTTGTATTCTAAGTTAAAAGATAATTGAGCTCCTAAACTTGCATAATAGTGTGGCAACTTCTACTTGGGCAGATATTTAGAACTAGGGTGATCATATAAGTTATCACCGAAACTGGGGTAGTTTTGGATAGAAAGGAGGGGCTGCTCCTAATTATTCTGGGGCAGGAGGCATAAACCAGGGAAGTACCAACCTATATATGGTCACCCTATCTAAAACCAGAGATGTTTGTTTAATAATGTACACTACTCAATTTGAAACTTTCAACAGGTGGAGAAACAGCAATTTATCTGCTTTCCTTAGTGACTGGCCAACAGAAGTGACATTTAATAGAAGTATGATATTCATTCTTCCAGGTGTCTCAAGTTCATCATTTCCTGATGATCAGGAAAGATCAGAAATCCACATCAATGAATCACATTAGCTGTCTTCTTAGATGATACTTTCCTGCTTGGAGCCTGTATTAAATGTCAGTATGAGAGAGAGCTGTGCAACCATGTGACTTTGCCTCTCTGTTTGTGATAAAAATATTGTTGAAGATTTTTCCCATTGTGTCATTTAATGGCACTTAAAAGAGTCCACATGATTTCTCCTAGGATGTTTGTTCTCTTTTCAAGAATAAATGAGCTTCTTTCTGTCAGATAGTGATTTAGATAGGCTTCCCGTTTGTCCTTTAATGTCTGGCTCCCAGTGTTCAGTCATAAGAATCCATCGCTGAGGTGAAGCATTCATATTTTGCTAATTTTTGTGTTTGGCTCTATTTCTTTTTTTATGTGTCATTGTGTTTCTTCTGAATTAGTTACATTCCTGAAACTTGACCTTTAGTGTTTAATGTTGCTTCATCATCAAATAAAGTTTGAACTTTTGACCTGGTACTCATGGTCCCACGTGTCTGATCCCAAACTCCTGGTCATTCTTATTTGCTGCTACTGCTCCTCATGTGCCCTTTCTCCAACTGAACTATTTGCTCTCCCCAGTACATGCCTCCTATTTTCTTGCCTTCATGCCGATGTTCGTGCTGTTCCCACTATTTGGGGACCTGAGGAAAATTGAAAAGTGTATTAACAGCTATAGCGGGATATGGAGCAGAAAGTTTATAGGGGAAGAATAAGATTGTCCATCAGAACGTTTGGAACCCATTGGAAGAGAAAATGTGAAACACCCTGAGCCCTTCTTTACTGCACGTGCTCTGGCATGATGCCATTATCCTTTCCATATGGGAAGACTTGTCCTTGAAAGTTCACCTTTTGAATGTGCAGAGACTCATTTTTGTTCTTATTTGTCTGGGGTGTGGGAGAAAGGGGGCGGCACGGAGATGGTGTTGAGAGGGCAGGAGTCACACAGATCATGTGTTGGGCACAGGCGTGCTAAAGCCATCTGTTTCTCTTTGGATAGTCATCCAAAACCTTTTAGGCATTTGCCACCCCACACCCCACCTCCCAAAGCCAAAAGCTTGCGCATATGCCCCAAGGAATAGGATCCCAGGAATTTACCTCATGTTTATAATCCTATAATCTTCTTGGGTGGGGAGGAGAGAATGGGAAGCCATTGGAGTTATTCCTGAATATGACCAGGCATTTGGGGTCTGAATGTTTTTGAGAAGTCATGAGAGAAAAATGTGAAAAGAAAATACGTATGGGGCAATATTCACAAACTCTGATTTTTTCCATGACCCCTTCTTTATTTATTTCCTCCTTTTTTGTTTTTCTTGTGCATTTTGTAGGATAGAGTCTTGGCTCTATTTCAAGCACATTGCAGAGGAATGGTGGAAAGGGATTGCGGTTAGCTAGGTTATCCTGAAAAACAACAAAGAAATTGAATACTCAACTTGGCAGTGGCCCAGACGTCTTCCAGTGGATAGTGGTCTGCTATAAGCACAAAAGACCCACGCACAGGGGCTTGAAAATGTGGTTAGGCCTATTTACTTTTCAGCACAGAAGGAAATTAGAAACAGAGGTCTGGATTGCCACTGAGAGGCAATTTTGAGTTAATTAATGAAGCGAGGGAATCCAATGGCAGTAACAGAGTCAGTTTTCCACTTTGGGCCTGGAAGCAGGACCTCAAGTGATTCTAGTAATCTGAATCTTGTGTGGCTGCCCAGGGAGCTGTCTGCCATTTCAACACACCTGGCTGCAACATTGTAGAATGCAGACCTCCTTACCTGTTTTTGTATTGTGCTGTCACTAGTGGTTAGAAAATATTTTGCGAAGGTAGCTGTACAGTGACAATGGCACTGAGAAATATTTACATGTTAATTATGATGACAGCAGTTAGGGTAATGGTTAAATGTTAGAGAAAAGTCATAAAGACCAAGACTGTGAAATAAGATGACAATATTGATACTGACAGATAAATCTTAAAATAATCTTTCTGCTAGTTGGCAAGTTCACTATAGATAGAGGTCGTGTCTTGCCCAGCTTTGAGCCAACAGTGCCTAGCACACTGAAAGCGTCAATAAATGAATGAAACTCTTCTCATTTGTCTCCTGGCCCTTGAATTGTCCTCTTACAGATGTGAATCTAGTGGTTAAACTATCTTTTTTTTTTTGAGACGGAGTCTCACTCTGTCATCCAGGCTGGAGTGTAGTGGTGCTATCTTGGCTCACTGCAACCTCTGCCTCCCGGATTCAAGTGATTCTCCTGCCTCAGCCTCCCTAATAGCTGGGATTCCAGGTGTCTGCCACCACAACTGGCTAATTTTTTTTTTTTTATTTAGTGGAGACGGAGTTTTACTATGTTGGCCAGGCTGGTCTCAAACCCCTGACCTCGTGATCTGCCCGCCTCATCCTCCAAAGTGCTGGGATTACAGGCATGAGCCATCATGCCCGGCCTGGTTAAAATATCTTTAAAATGTCTTTGAGAGAATATTTTATAGCCAACTCAGTAACTTCTACTCCCGATGCTTATATTCTTAAAGCATTCATTTTGCATTTTAACCTACATCCTACCTGCCGTTATTCAAAACTTTTGTTTTGTTCCGTCCTTCATGAAACTAAATGTCTCCATCTTCCATATAAAGTGGTCTCCTAAGTTAAGTAAATGGTCCAAGTGAGCCACTGCTGTCCTCAAACAGTGAGAGGACCCAGCATACATGAGTCACAAAGCCACATGAATGACAGACACACACATACACACACACACGCATAATGTGTTCTAGAGAAGCAACAATGAAAAACATGTACATGACTATGTGGATGTTTCCTTGGCTAGTATGTTTTTCTGTTGATGCTTTGCTTCTAAATAATATTGAGCTCCTAATCTTGCATAATAGTGTAGCAACTTTTTAACTTTTAGGGGTTAGTTTTTAATTTTCTTGTACCTTTTTAATTTGAAAAATGTCAAACTTAAAAGAGGAAATTCCTATATACTCTTCCTCCCCCCAGGTTATCACCATTTCATTTGATTTTGTTCTCTTTCTCTGCATGTGTTTTTCAATCTTTTTTTTTCATTATTGTTCCCTCAAGGAGGCATTTTAGACCTTTTTTTCCCTAATTACCCCATGGAAGTTTAAGACCACAGACATATCGTGTATCTGTTTGTGTAGTGTGGCCTTTTGGGGAGCCACAAACCATTGTATCTAAGAAATTTCTATCCCCTAAGAGCCGATGTTTACCCTCTAATTTGTCTGTATCACTTGAGAGTAAGTTGGAGACATAGTGTACTTTCCCCTAAATATTTCAGTATTTATTTTCTAAGAACAAGGGCTGCTTCTTACATAACCAAAATACAAATATCAGAATCAAGAAATTGAACATGGGCATAGTATTGACATAGTATTATTATTTAACCCACAGTCCATATTCAAATTCTGTCAATTGTCCCAATAATGCTCTTTATAGCTACTTTTTCTCAGCCAGGTTTCAATCCAGGATACATAGGGCAGTTAGTTGTTGTGTCTCTTTAGTCTCTTTTATTGTAGAATATTTCCTCAGTCTTTCTTGATCTTGACATTTTAAAAGAGTACAGAGTATTCTGTAGAATGCTTCTCAATTTGGTTTTGTCTAGCATTTTGTCTGGATTAGATTCAGGTTATACATTTTTGGTGAAAATGCCATTAAAATGATGTTATGTCTTTCTTGGCACATCGGGACACACATGATGTCAGTGTGTCCCATTACTGGTGATGTTGACTTTGATCATGTGCTTTAGGTGGTGTCTGCCAGTTTTCTCCACTGCAAAGTTACTATCTTCCCCTGGTAATTAATAAGTAATTTGTGGGGGAAATACTTGGATGCTGTGTAAATATCCTGTTTCTCATAAAACGTTATCTGCTGGGTTTAGCATCTATGAATGATCTTTCAACCCTGCCATCCTTCTATAGTTTTTAGGTGGAATTCTGCTGTAGGAAAGAACTTTCTCTTTGCCCTGCTTATCTACTGGACTCCTGAATTCTAATTTTATTCATTAATTCATGATCTGGAACAGAAACCTATAGTAGTGAACAGAGGCTAAAGGCAATTAGCTCATAAGAAACACACAGAACATATCCACACACACATACTAAATGTGTATACACACACAGGACATATATATACACATATACTAAGCGTATACACACACACACACACACACACACACACACACACACACAGAGACACAAAAATATTGGAGACAGCTTCTAAGACCATTTGCTGATGAAGGCATTGCTTATTCCACAAAAGGCAGAACACGTGTGATGGACTTCTCAGAGAAAGCCGAAATCAGTATTCACAGCTTCTAACAGTAAATTGAACATGAAAAAACTCCACTAACTACTGATCATTGGACCTGATTGCTTGTGGTTCTGGGAGAGAGAAGAGACATCTGCACAGGAATTGGAGCCAGGCCCTGCCGCATGCAGCCATCAGCCTCAATGTGACACTATGAGCTTTGGCTGGGAATAAGACACTACATCTTGGCTTGGGGACACAAACCTGGAGTACTACCAGAGTAAGGCAACCAACCCAAAAGCTACTTGACAGGGAGAGGAGTCTACCAAAAAGAAACAAAACAAACAAATTCCCTCCCAAACAAGGTAAGCTTTCAAGAAAAATTACAAAGCACACAAGAATATTTTCTGGCATGAGGATAGTCAACAGACCCAAGAATCTGTGGAGTCCATGCATGAAGAACCAGACATAATGGTGCAATATTAAATGTTAAAATAAGGATTCTTGAATCATCAAATAAGTAAAAGAGGGAAGGGGAACAAAGAATTCTTAAGAATAGATAGGGATTAAAATATAGAAACCTTGGAAGTGAAAAGTGTAGTCATTGAAATAGAAATTGCAAGTGATAAGGTGAACTGTAGACTAGACATCTGGGCCAGTCTAGGGTGAGGCAAGGAAGGTATCCAGGGTGCAAAATGTAAGAAGGCACTCACTGTCGCTGCCAACCCTGAACTAGCGCATGCCCAAGAGTGAGTGACTTCTTACATTGTACACTCTGAGTACCTTGCTTGTCTTACCCTTGTCCCATCGCTGGTTGACACAGTGGAAGGGAAAATTATGAACTGAAGATAAAACTAAAGGAATGACTGGGATAGCAGATAAAGAGGTTTAAAAATGAAAAGAGCAGCTGAGAGATCTGGAAGAAAGCTCCAAATTATATTTTTTAAATCCCAGAGAAGAGAAAAATAAAGAGTAAAAAAAATATTGAGAGGTAACCTGAAAGTTTCTACAAGTAAAAATGTTAACCCTTTGATTGAAGAATTTCATCCTTATAAATGAAACTTTAAATGATTTATGATTCATTGCTGAAATATGAAGGGCCCAAATTCCTAATGATCCCCTGACCCTGGCCAGTTTAATTGGGTTGAGTAAATTCTATTTAACCTCAGGGCATTGGCTCATTAGAGAGAATTATGTATGGTACAAAGATTATATTCTCAGTTCTACTTGTCTGGTTGGTAAACAGTCTGTGACTGGTTTCTAGTACTCAGCCACTTCCTAGCAGCAGTGGCTCTATGGTGACTCGACTGTATCATCACTCACTGAGGGGAGGTAAAAGCCTTTTGTTGGCAGCTGTAGTTCGGAGTTAGGCTAGATGCGTGTTTGAAACCACCCACCTACAGGTCTTTCCTCCTTGCTACTGTGTGTGAAATGTTTTCAGCTCCCTGTGCCTCTGCTCTGGTAATAGGCCTCCACTGGCAAGGGAAATGTGTTTTGCTTATCAGACTGCAACACTAACAGCACAAATCATTCAGTAGAAAGTATGCTTTAGTCCTTGAAGCTGTTTGGTTTTCTTTGCTCCTTATCACAACTAACTATGTAGCTACAGGCAGGAAGCCTGACCATTTGGGCCAAGTCAGTGCACACTTAGCCAAAGAGATGGGTCATTGCTTATTTCTGGGCTCTCTTTAGTCCTCAGGCCAATTTGGGACTAGAAATGGATGCAAAGTTTACCTCCCCATTTTTATGGGCTTTTTATCACATGGGTGGTAAACAAAGGCTCGCTTCATGAAGAACTTTAGGGCAGGTGGAAATCCTTAGGTATAGGGGAGGGAAAATTTTGAAAGAACAATTTGAGTAACCCTTGTGAGGCTTCTTGTTTACTTCAAGATAATTAAAATGTCCTGGTTGAAGGAGAAAAATATGCTTTGAGAATTACTCATTTGGTGTTTTTGAATTAAGGGTTTGGCATCTCTTTCCACGAGTGAGTAATTTCTTTTGCCGTGAGTGTCTGTGTACAGATAACACACCAAAATAATACAGAGCCTGCAGCTGAAACGTACCTGGGAAGAAGTGCAGAGCGTCACATGTGAATTGTGGCTCAGCAGATGCTAAGTCAGAAATCTCACTGGAAGGTTTAGGACCTGAATTAAGACACTGAAGGATTGGATCAGGGTGTGTGTGTGTGTTTGCATAAGAGAAAGAGAAACAGTAAAAGGAACAGAGACTGAGAAACCGAGAGATAGGGAGGCCAAAAAAACAAGAGACAGGAATAAAAACAGATTACCCTTGAGAGTTCAGTTAAAAATTAGAAGACTGGACTAGGTGAGAGAAAAATTGCCTGGTCATCATCAAAGTACGAATATAAACCTAAAATAAAGATCATCCATGTGTCAGCTGTACTACAAATGTAGAAATTATACAAAGGGCTGTCCCCTGTTCTAAGCAAGTGGAATGGGGCGTGGAGAGAAGTAAGGTTTGTTGTGGTTGTGTAATACAGTAGCACAGGATTACAGGGAAATGACTTTTTCTAGTGAGATCCTGAGACCTTACTTATGAAGTCTCAGGTACCCATTTTGTGCGGCTTCACTGAGTATCATCTTGATGGAATGGTGTGGTCTGGAGAGCCTCAAAATTATTTAAATGTTGGCCTTCCTAACTTATCCCATCTCAAATAGAAAATGGATATATGCCAACTACACAATATATTCATTTGGACTCAATACAATAATCAGGATATTAGGATAAAGCTTTTACATTTCAAAAGTTGCTTTCACTTATGGTATCCTGTTACATTTTTAAAACAAGTCTGTGCTGGGGAGGTATTAACCTTTCTCAGACAAAGAAACTGAAGCACAGAGATGTAAAGTTACTTTTCTAAAGCCACAGAGCTAGAAAATGGCCAAGCAGGACTTGAATCTAAGTTCACTATTCTGCTGTGCCATGCCTCTGATTGCCTGCCATGTGAAATGCTATTTGTGGTTTTGCATTTTGTTCAATTTTCCATTACAACTATGTTAACAAAAGAATGTTAGCGTCCAGGTTTATAGAAAATTACCATATCCAAATTCTCTGCTAGAAGTTGAGGGAGATTCCTAATTAATTTTTCTTCTGCTACACTTGTGGCTGGGGGGCAAAGAGTATGCATTTGGGAGGAATTTTCTCAGTGTTCTAGGCTGAACGAGTAAATTCTAAGGTTTGGTGACCTTACATGTTGAAAATCATTGCTAGATCAATTATTTAAATTTAGTAGGTTTTAGGGGGCATCTTCTGAGATCCATTTAAGACAGTTTCTTGTCAGTTTTGTGAGAATTCATTTGACTTTCTGTTAAACTTCTTCCAACCGTGACAGAGTGGCCAGTTCCTGGCTAAGCAGAGTGGTCAGACTGGGTTTAGCTCATCTCTGGGTTATTGGTATAGTTGGAGGGAACACGGCTCAGAACAGAATGTGAGAAGAGAGCTCCACATGGTTCCACTTCGAGACGGTTTATTTGGGGATTAGAATGAGCCTCATTCCATGTTACCCTCCCTAGTTCCATAATCTCAAAGTCCATTTGAAACTCAGAAATAGACTCAGAAACAGATATTTTTGAGGATTAGAAGAGGCTTAATGGAGACATAATCATCTTCAATTTGGCCTAGATCACACATGTTAAAGATGGAAATAATAGATGAAAGAATGATTGGGTGATTAAAAACCAATGTTGGCCTATTGTGTGGCATTACAAACGAAATTCCCCCAAATACTTATTCCATGGGCTATGGTTTCATATCGATGGATACTGATGATGAATACAATTGGACAATTATTTTTCTTTTTGATCCAATAGCTGATTTTGGATAAATGGCTCTCACAGAAACAGGTAAGAAGCAATCTTTTTTCAAATTTCCTGTGTTTAAAGCTTTGGCAGAGTCGTCACTAACCCTGACATTCAAGTCCCCTAAAATCATTTTGCTTGCTATGGGGTACTTTTTAGAAGACAAGATTTCAGAAGGCTGACAAATTGGTTCCATATATCTGAGGAGTCTGCATTCATATTTTTAAGAGGGTTGTATGAATGTTAAGGCATCTCAGAGTTGTCCTGCCAGAAAGCTGGCAAGGTCGGGGGAGTAAGTTGATGCTTTTCAATTCAGTTAACAGTAATTCAGTATCAGTTATGTGTCTGGATCTCTGTTAGGTGATTTGACATTTCATTTTCTCATTTCTTGTTGGTATTTTGAATGATATCACTGCTTCCATTTCATAGAGTAAGAATGTATTAGGCCGTTCTTGTGTTGCTATAAAGAAAAACCTGAGACTGGGTAATTTATACAGAAAAGAGGTTTAATTAGTTCACAGTTCTGTAGGCTGTACAAGCATGGCACCAACATTGCTAGACTTTTGGGGAGGCCTCAGGGAACTTTTACTTGTGGCAAAAGGCAAAGCAGGAACAGGCATATCACATGGTGAAAGCAGGAGCAAGAGAGAGAGAGTTGGTGGGGAGGTGCCGTATACTTTTAAACAAGCAGATCTTCTGAGAACTCCCTCACTAATGTGAAGACGGCAGCAAGTCATGAGGGATCCACCCCCATGATTCAAGTACCTCCCACCAGGCCCCACATCTAGCACTGGGAATTACATTTCAACATGAGATTTGGGTGGGGACAAATAAACTATATCAAAGAACAAAGAGGCTCAGCGATGCGTCCTTCCTGGCATAGCTTATAAGTGGCAGAGGCAGGATTCAAATCCAGCCTTCGGACATGAAGCCATCTATACTCTCTGTTACACCCCTGTGGGCACACAAGTCAGGGGACTCTACAAGGTTTCAGGCCAAATGAGCTCTAAGTCACTAGAGAAACCTTATTTCTTCCAAAATTATTTTTCTAGGCTGAAGAATAAGCATCTTTAGAATTTCTGCATCATGGCATTCTTTTTCTATAAAACAGACTTCTGATGCAAGGCCTGGGAAACAGGTTTACAGGTCTTTACCTTTATAATCAGGGGAATTCAAGTCACTGCCAAGTATGATCTAAAATGCTCCCCAAGGGATGCTTGTAGAGAAAAAATAGAACCATTTGTTTATTTAATTTATCCAAGCAGAAAATGAAATTGGGAAGCATTTTACAAAGCAGTTTTAGGGTATAGGAAGACTTTGTATGTGATTCAAATAGCCAAATAAGGTGGGGGGAAAAAGAGTTAACTCTGGGAGGGGAAGTCTAAGAAACCAAAAAAGCAGTCATCATATGCTCCCTGGTTCAGCAATGGACTATGTTTACATGGTCATAATAATGATGATA
The DNA here is from genome assembly GCF_000001405.40 of Homo sapiens. Taxonomy (NCBI): domain Eukaryota; kingdom Metazoa; phylum Chordata; class Mammalia; order Primates; family Hominidae; genus Homo; species Homo sapiens. The sequence goes on along the minus strand of NC_000015.10, from coordinate 39,354,873 downwards.
AAACTCTATTAGGAAGATGTGTGTAGAAATGAAGGTGGGGAGGTGACATGTGGGTCCCTGAAGTGGCTGCTTTAATCCAAAGGACTTGGACTGTGAGTATGGTTTTTGGGTAAAATCTCACCCTCAAAGAGTCAACAGCCTAGTCTCTACCTGGCTCAGGAGAATTATTCTCCTTTATTTTTTAATACTCTTCAAGGCCATTTAATTCTTAGAAAAGGTTCTATAATTTTTAACTTACGCTCTGAAGCTAGAAAAATGCCTCTAATTTCCCTACAACTTCCATTTTCAAAAACTAACCAGAGATATTACTATAAAGTTTGTCATTTGTTTATAAAATAATACTAGATCTTTAATTATTAAAATGGGTACAAAGTCCAATTTTACAAATATGCTGGTTCTGATGAACTTTTCTGATGGAAATTTGAACCATGAAGTAGCCAGGACAGTGACGGGAGACATGGCCTCTGCACAGGCAGGTCACTTCCTCTTTCCTGGACTAATTTACTCATTGGAGGAGCAGAGGAGCTGAACTGAAAAACTTTACAGATCTTTCCAGCATCACAATTTACGGTGGTGGAAATGGAGACCCCCCTCCATGTTTCTGCAGGCCCAGTTCCCTGAGTGCCCGCTTAGTACACTTCTGTGGGGAGTACACTCTGGTCCTGGCAGCTCCCAGCCAGCAGGACAGGGATTCCTCCGAGGGCCTGTGAGGAGGAGGTATCCCATGAAAGTGGAGCTGGGTTCCTACCGCAGATGTGAAGGATGCTTGTTGTCCTAGCAGGCCAGCCTCTGGGGCAGCACTTTTCTGGAGAACAGTCTTCCTTGTTATCAGGAAAAAGAGGCTAATGATATCCTTATGTGTTCATACTTGGCTTCCACCTGGATAAGTGAGTGATCCAGCTTGCTGAGAGTGTTTACAGTCCACAGAGACAAAAGAGTTTTTGGAGCCTGAGGTGAACACAAAATGGCAAAAGGCAAAGGTTTTCAGAATTCCATGGTCAAATCTGGGGCTAACAGATGCAGCCAGGAATGCTTCCACCTACCAAGCTGAGGATCTCACGGTTTCTCAGCTCAATTCTTTCGACTGCTTGCATCCCAGCAAAGGCTCAAAGAAGCAATGTGGTCTATTGGTATCGAGGACTCTGGTGCTGTGCTGGCCCCAAGGCCCCCGAGCCTGCCATCATTTGAACTCTTTGGCTAATTTTGTTACTGCTTTCAAACTGTTTAACCCGAGGAGAGGGCTCCCTCTGGCGCTGTCTCCTGAGGCCTTGGAGAGCTGTGTCCCTCTCAGTTGTGGTGTTGATTTTCTACAAGTGATTGAGAGCTGGTGTTTTGGTTTGCAGGGTCATCCCTCAGCGGTAGGAGAAGACAGGTGAGAGCCGGGGAGGCCACTCCTACCTGCGGTTCTAGAACCAACCATCCTGACGAAGGACTCTATTTAACTTGCTTCTTATCTTTCACATCCACCATTTTCCTCTCCTTATCCTTCCCGTGCGAACTTCATTAAAACAGGACGACTTCCTGTCCCCAAATGCCCTCAGCATTTCCCACGTTAGAACCTTTGCTCAGGTAGCCTCTGTGCCTGGAATGCCTGGAATTTCGTCCTCTGATTTCAAAGTCTCTGATTCCCTCCAAATTTTAACTCTTTTTTTGTTTTGTTTTGAGACAGAGTCTTGCTCTGTCACCCAGGCTGGAGTGCAGTGGCGCGATCTTGGTTCAGTGCAACCTCTGCCTCCTGGGTTCAAGCGATTCTCCTGATTCAGTCTCCCAAGTAGCTCCAAATTACAGGCATGTGCCACCATGCCCAGCTAATTTTTGTATTTTTATTAGAGAGGGGTTTCACCATGCTGGCTAGGCTGGTCTCGAACTCCTTACCTCAGGTGATCTGCCCACCTTGGCCTCCCAAAGTGCTGGGATTACAGATGTGAGCCATTAACTCTTCATGGAGGTTTAGTGCTTCAGGCTATTGGAGCTTGTGTCAGGCAGCTGGCCTGATGTCTTGTGCCTCTCTGCTTGGGCCCTATGTTGGCTTCTAGCAGTCCCTCAAAAGAACCACATTAATTCCTACCTTTTGTGACAGGTCCTTTATTTTATACATGCCATTCTCCCTGCCTGAATGCCCTACCCTCACCATCCCCACCACACCCCTTTTGCCTGGGAAATGATGGCTTGTCCTTCACTTCTTAGTGTCAAGGTCACTTTCTCAGGGAAGTCTCCTCTGAAGCCCCATCCTCCAGCTCTGTGCTTTCATAGGACCCTGTACTTCCCTTCATTGCATTTATTAGTATTTTAATGAATTACTTAATTTTGTGCCTGTCTGCTTGATGACTATGTCCCAGACTAGATTAAGCTTCATAAAGACAGTAGTATATTTTTCATGGTCTTCCCTGAATTCTCAGTTCCCAGTGTTTAACGTGTAGTAGATGGTCAGTAATTTCTCCCTCAATTAATGGATGTTAAATTGTGTATCTCCTATTTGAGTCTGAGTTCCTTCACAGCAGGTGATGGCTTCTGCTGCCGGGGCCAGGTCTAGGGGCTCCGGCTGGGCTTGGGATATATATATGTATATGTTGTATTGTGATAATAAACATAACATAACATTTACCACTTAACCATTTTTTAAGTGTACAACTTAGTGGCATTAAGTCCAACCATGTTGTGCAGTCATCATCAGACCTGGATTCTGATAGCCAGACCTGTAAGAATCTGTATGGGAGAATAAGACCTATAAGACTCTGTATGGGAGAAGCTGGAGGCAAAGGGGAATCAGAGTGCAAAGTCAAAAGAGAGCTTTCGGAATTAAGGAAGAAGTGAACAATGCAAAACATTAAGTCGGCAAGATGGGCAGTGCATAAGAAAATCTAGATCTTGGGGCAGGCACCATGGTTCACGCCTATAATCCTAGGACCTTGGGAGGCCAAGGCTAGTGGATCATTTGAGGTCAGGAGTTCGAGACCAGCCTGGGCAGCATGGCGAAAATCCTGTCTCTACTAAAAATATAAAAATTGGCTGGGTGTGGTCATGCATGCCTGTAATCCCAGCTGCTCAGGAGGCTGGGGTGGGAGGAGGATCACCTGAGCCTGGGAGGCAAAGGTTGCAATGAGCCAAGATCACACCACTGAGCTCCAGCCTGGGTGACAGAACCACTGTCTTTAAAAAAAAAAAAAAGCTCTAGAACTCTACAGAAGTGGCTTGAAGTAAGGTCAGAGAGGCAAAGAAAGTGGGTTCTAGAGGGAGTTTATCCCCAGAGGGACAAACGTGGTGATGGGAAACCTTCTGTGGGCTTGTAACTGAGTTCGTGGGTGGATGTGCTGGGATGCCAGGGCTGCTGCGACACCAGAGGCCACTTCTTCTTCACCTCTCTATACTTAGAATCTCTTGCAGAGTTTGGTGCTTGAGACGGCATGTAACAAAATGTTTTAATTAAACTTATGCTTTATGGCAATTGCAAAGGATGTTTGGGATGTGGCTCCGGCCTCCTTAACCCACAGGTGAAGGGTATCTGAAATGATCAGTTGCCTCTAGCCTGTTGCATCCCTGAAAAGCTGTTCCAGCTTCTTAGCTTTCAGATGGTAATAATGCTGAGGGGATTGAAGAACCGTTGTTGACAAAATACAGGTTTGCCAAGTTCACAATTTTTACCCAAGAAGCAGGTTGGCTGGGGAATTAGGAAGCAAATGAATGCTAACCTCTGGTGTAGCAGAGTCTGTGAGCCTCCTTGCCCTTTTCCCCTCCTGCCCTGCTGAACTTGGGGGTTGTGGGGTGGTGCTGGACGAAGGACCTCTTTGTAGCCTCTGACAGGTTTTATTTTCTGCCCTTTGGCTCCCTTTGCATCGTTGACAGACTTGCATTCAGTTGCCAAAACCTTAGGAGGGAGAGAGCACGTCCTTGCTCTGACACTGTGGAAAGGGAGGGGGCAATGAACGCTTCTCTGAGAAGGCAGGAAGAGGGATGGCTGTCATTCTGCAACTGCCCTCTTTAGCTGGAAAACCTGCTGCAGCTGAGTGCAGAGTCAAGGCCCTCTGGAAGGGAGGGAAAAGGCAGGCATTTCAGGCAATAGGACAGTGGGGATAAGTTAGTGAAGATGGGAATTAGCATAGAGTGAATAAATAAGCCTGAGGAATACAGAGGGAGCAGGTGGTGAAGAAATGGGCAGTATGGGTAAATAGACAATCTGTGGCCACACGAGAACTAAGCAGAGATGTAGAGGTTTGATGCAACAAGTTACAGGGAGATATTGAACATTTTCAAGCATTAAATAAATTTTCTTGGAAGCTATTGTATTTCATATCCTGATATAGGCTCTGGGATATGATGGTAGGAGAGATTAATGTGGGCCTTCCCTTAAAGAGCATAGAGTTTAGAGACGGGGGCAGGTAAGCACCAGGGAATTACAATGCAGTGCCTACATGAAAATGTACCTTAAAATTAATGTAAAGAAATGAATGAATTAGAAGGTGTAGAAATCAGAATCATGGAGGCCTGATATGAAGCTTTTGCAATAATTGGATACATGTTATGAAGACCTTGAGTGTATAGTGGTGGGAATAAGCAGAAATGAACAGAAAGAAGGTACATTTCTAAGAGGGGACAGTATCTGAAATGAAGTTTTGTCTAACTTTGCATTCAGTGTAATATTTGAATGAATGAATGCTGAACTTTCTGACTCTGGGTTATTTTAAGAAGGTGGCAAAAGTATAGCTACATGATTTTGAAGTTGGGTGACAGAATGGAGATACCGGTAACAGAACAAAGAAGCTGGGGAGAGAGGAAGAGGGGTAGGAAAAAAGGAATATGCTGTGGTCTGAATGTGTCTGCCAAAATTCATATGCTGACACTTAACTGTCCACGTGATAATATTGAGGTAGAGCCTTTAGGAGGTGATTAACTTATGGGGGCAGAATCCTCACAGATGGGAATAGGACCTTATAAAAGAGGTCGAAGGGAGCACTCTTCTGCCCTTCCACCTCTTCTGCCATATGAGGACACCTAGATTGTACGATCTATGAGGGATGGGCCTTCGCTGGACACTGAATCTGCTGGACCTTGATCTTGGAATTCCCAGCCTCCAAAACTATGAGAAATTTCTGTTGTTTATAAATTACCAAGTTTAAGGCAGTTTGTTATAGCAGCAGACATAGACTAAGACAGAAGGGAAAGGAAGGTGTTGCATTTGGCTTAAGAAGACATGTTGAGTTTAAAATGATGGTGGAACATCCCAGAGGAAGTGTCTAGTTTGTAGTTAGAGAATAAAGCAAGCAAGCAAAGAAATAAACAAGTCTTGGAAAGGAGTGTAGGACATTGCTTGTTAGAACAGGCTGTGAGATATTCATTTGGAGTAATTAGTCGGGTAATAATAATGGAATACATCAGACTGAGTTCCATGAGAAAGAAAAATAAAACTATAAAAAAGAGCACAGAATTAAGGATCATGACTTAGAAATTACTCACACTTTTCTCCCAATGATTGGGTTCTGGATTTGGCCTTGCTGCTGGACTTCTTGGTCCCATATGTCTAGGGTGAGGTCTTCTCCTGGCTGCTCACCAAGTTCATCCTCACCTCCTACATCTTTCAATGTTGCTTACTCTATGCTGGGGATTCAGCCTCTACCCAGGTTAACACCCAAGTAGCTGAACCTCAGCTAGTGTTTTCTAGGCTTTTCTTCCCAACAGCTAGACCCTAGCCCAGGGTCACTTAGCTATAACTAGGATCCTAATTTAAATTAGATTAAAATCGTCTCCCCACAAATTCTCAGACTGTGCCAATTCCAGACACCTGTATTTCACCACGGCCTAGATATTTCTTCTGTCGTTCTTTTCACATCAGACCATATGGACTGGACACAAATGCTGGGACCCTGATCTGCCTGCCTAGTTGCACCCTGTCCCTTGCCCCATTGATGTTCATGTCCACATTTCAGACCTGCCCTGGTTTTTTCTCACCTCTTTTCCCACTGGCCCCAGTTAAACTGCTGTCTTACCTCCAAGGTAGAGGGCAAAATAGAGAATACGCGATCCTTGGCATGACCTTCCTCTGGTCCTAGAGAAATGAGTCCCCACTAGGATTCTGTGAATCTGTCTGGATTATTTTATTGTCTTCTTTTTTTTAAATTTGGTAGTCATCTCAGTAGCTTTGAGAAGAACCATCTTTTTATGATGTTCCCACACAGCCTGGAAACCTTTGCAAAATGTTGTGGCCTTTTTGACTCTCAATTATCATCTGAAAATTCCTCAGTGCTTGTCACAAATGAGATGACAATCTAATTAGGAAGCTTGATTCTTCCAAAGACGTCAGCTTTCCAGAAGAGAAACAACTGAAATCATCATGGAAACTAAAAACCATTATGTTTTAGATTTTCTGAAAAATAAGGTGTAATGTAATTTTTTAAATTAGTTGTGAATTTTTCTGAATGTTGCAGCCATTATCCATCAGGGAAGTAACCTAAAATTGTGATAGGAAATCTCATTTGTCAATTTTGCTTATAGAAAATAGTTTTTGAATTACGTGTTTATGAATCAAAATTCAAAATGAATAAAAGGGTATAAAATAAAATGTAAGTCTTATCACGTCCCATCCCCCAGTTTCCTAGTTCCCCGCCCCACCATTGTTACCACTTGTATAATTCTTTCAGAGATGGTCCTAATGTGCACGCACACACACAAAAACACAAACACATGTATCATCTTTTTTTTTTTCCTTTAAATAGTGTATTATGCAATATTCTGTTTTTTTTTTTTTTTTTTACTTTCCAGTATCTTAGGGGCTATCATTAGTAAGTTTACACAGTGCTGCTTTATTATTTTCAAAGCTATAATAGCATTCTGTTATTTGAATATATATAATTTATTTAACCGATTAATAAATAAGTGTATGTGTTAATGTATTGAAGAGCATTTATATCATTTACAATCCAGGCTATTAAAATAATATCGTAATTAATATTTTTATACTTACTAAGATGACCAAGGGAAAGTGAAAATAGTGTACCTATGCAAGTTTTATTATAGGATAAATTCCTCAAAGTGTAATGTTTGTTTACAGAAATGAGGACATTTTAAATTTTCAGGGATACTATTGTTACCCATTTATACTCCATCAATTCCTACTGATGTATGAAATCTGTCTCTTTGCACCACTGGACAAAGTTACAACACAAAGAAGCTTAACAACAAAGTTTCTATATGAAACTTTATCTTAGTAGAATAAGCATTAATATTGCGAAATAGCAGAATATTTCCATTAAAAAAAATGTTAGACATTTGGCCTAAGGCCATACAGCCCTTCCCAGGTAACTGTAGGGGACCCTTGTGGATACCAAAATTCATGGATTCTCATGTCCCTCACATAAAATGGCCATAGTGTTTGCATGTAACCTATATACATCCTTCTGTATATTTTAAATCATCTCTAGATTACTTATAATACCTAATACAATGTAAATGCAATGTAAATAGTTAAACCATAATATATTTTTAATTTGTATTATTTTATTTTTGCATTGTTATTTTTTAAAATTCATTTTCAATTTTTTTTTTTTTGAGATGGAGTTTCGCTCTTCGTATCCTGGCTGGAGTGCAATGGCACGATCTCGGCTCATTGCAACCTCTGCCTCCCGGGTTAAAGTGATTCTCCCGCCTGAGCCTCCCGAGTAGCTGGGATCATAGGTGTGCACCACCCTGCCTGGCTACTGCTGTATTTTTAGTAGAGATGGGTTTTTGCTGTGTTAGCTAGGCTGATCTGGAACTCCTGACCTCAGGTGATCCGTCTGCCTTCGCCTCCCAAAGTGCTGGGACTACAGGCATGAGCCACCACACCCAGCCATTTTCAAATATTTTTAATCCATGGCTGAATCCACAAATGCCAAACCTGCAAATATGAAGGGCCAACTCTAATTAGCTGCAGGCATGAAAAATGGAATAAATAGCTCTCTATAGTTTGATTTGAGGGGCTCAGAAGACATTGGTATTTTTTCCTTAATATCTTATTGGTGTTTTCTACCAATATTGTCTAATAAATATTTGATGATTTTCAATTAATAAAATCCACTTAACCTATTTTATGTCATATTTTCCTCACAAGAGTCCTTGGAAATAAACAGGGCCTTGTATTTCAACTCTTTTTGTCCAGATCAAGCACTTGAGCATTAAATGTTTATTTATTTGTTGAAGGTCAGCAGACCAAAGATTCAGGAATTCTTTCTTCTGTGTCTGTGCTCCATACCCTTTCCCTTTTGTGTTTGGAATTAGACTTGCCTGAAGCATGCAAAAGGAAAGAAAATATTATTTCCTAGTTATTTTCTTCTTCTTTCCCCTAAATTGTGACTTTAAAAGTTTATATTTTAAGGTATACTTTTCTTTTTTATTTTTGAGAAAGAGTCTCCCTCTGTCACCCAGGCTGGAATGTAATGGCGTGATTTTGGCTCACTGCAACCTCCGCCTCCCGGGTTCAAGCAATTCTCTTGCCTCAGCTTCCAGAGTAGCTGGGATTACAGATGCTCGCCACCACTCCCAGCTAATTTGTGTATTTTAATACAGATGGGGTTTCACCATGTTGGCCAGGCTGGTTTTGAACTCCTGACCTCAGGTGTTCCACCTGCCCCAGCCTCCCAAAGTACTGGGATTACCGTCATGAGCCACTGTGCCCGGCTTAAGGTATACTTTTCTTAATGCGCAAAGTGTGCTAAAAGTTTGAAAGTAAATGCAAATTTTATGAATTGAATAAAAAAGCTATCAGAGTTGCTCATTTTTCTAAACAAAGACTCTAGTAAATCTTTTTGGAAAGAAATATTTTCCAAAGAAAAAGAAAACTCCTATTTTACTTGTAATGAAAATCTGAATTATAATATGTATGTCACTTGAAATGTTTTTTCTTTGTGCATTTTTCTAATGTTCCCAAAATAGTCCTTAGAAAAAAAAGGGGACTTATTAAACATTATTGTCTGACTCCCTAGATTATTTTATGGTTAATTATTCTCTATTCTTTTGCTCTTACATATAATTAACTTTTGGGACTATGTAGTGCATTAAGAAAAATCCGTCTTTTAATTTAACATAATGATTAGATATCATCATATTGAAAGGCCAGAAAAACTCCACCATTTGCCACATAAGAGGGATTCATTAATTACTAAGTTTTGTTGACTAGCAGAAGACTAATCCAGTATCATTTGTGGTGCTATCTTTTTGTTTTTTTCGGAATAGATGCAGATTTTACCATTTGTTCATGACATGTTGATATTCTTTGTGTACCACGTCATGCAGTAAATATGAATAGCAGTATGAAAACAGCACATTTATGTGTTTAAAAAGTAAGTTTTGGTTTTCTCCAAATTACTTTATCCTTTGGTGTTATGAAACATACTGACACTAGAATTCTTTCTAACAAGAATTTCCTCCTTAATGGGGAGAAAGGATAATGGCAATTGAAAACAAATGTTGCTTAGGCATTTTACAACATTGTAGAATTTCCACTTAGGGGCACATTGGATTCTTGACCAATTCGGCTCAAGAGTTAGGGATTCTTTGTTTTGAGAACAAAGACATTACGAGAGATTTACGTGAGAGGCTCTTTGTTATGGCCTAAGCATCTGCTGAATTGTCACAATCCACTTGGCTAAATCACTGTTTTATGTGAGTTCAGTACTTTTCTGTTATTAAAAAAAAGGCAATGAAAGCACTGAAATTTAGGAAAAGATTTAACCAAAGCCTCTGGGAGAAGGGGAAAAAAATGGAGAGCACAAGGTGATTTAGAAAAGAGTGTCAGCTCTAGAGAGTTGAGCCCTCTCATTGTTACCTTTGACAATAGACTTTACCATGTTTCCTCATGAAACAAAACAAAACAGTTCTTTTTGTTACCTGATGCCCCTGGTATCATCCTGTTCCTTCAACAACAAACTCGAGGAGATTTCATTTGCATACTCAGTGTGGGTACCTTCTGGCTACTCTCTAGCTATTCATCAAACTTTGTGTTTTAGAGCAGGGGTTGGCACACTTCCTGTAAATGACTGGATAGCAAATATTTTTGTTTTGTGAGCCATATGGTCCCTGTTGCAACTCTTCAATTTTGAAAGCAGCAGACATTGAACTCCGAAAGAGATGATTTGTAAACAAATGAACGAGTCAATGCATATTTACTTACACAATTAGTGAGTGAGCTGGATTTGGCCTACAGGGTATGGTTTGCCAACTTTTGTGTTAGAGGATGGGTAACTTTCCATTTATTCATTGTTGATTTATTCATTAACTTAAGTGTTTATTGGGTACTTACTAATTGCCAAGTACTGTAAATAACTGTATTCTAAACTTCACTTTGCTTTAACAGAAGAGAACCAGCAAAGCAAACTTATCAAGCAAATTAACAATGGCAACACTATCTGAAATAATTAATTTTCATAAAAACGGAGTGTAAAAAATGGAGTATTAGCCTGCATTTTTATTGAAATGAGTTCTTTGGGTAAAAACATAAAATAATTCTCTATATAGTCAGAATACCATCAGTCTGTATTGAAGGTCTGCTTGAATACACTAGAGCAGGGTTAGATATTTTGTGCATATCTCACATAACTCAAGGGTAGGTATACTGGTCAATGGAGTTAATAGGTATGAAAATGCAAGGACATTTTGCAATAAAATACAGTGTTATATTTTAAGTCTATTCACACGTTACTATTAAGGACAAAGCATGCACGCACATACAATCACAGATTAAATAACATGCATGTGATGCTTATAATGCAAAGCTGGTGGATGTATTACTAAATTAAGTTTTTGCAAGTGTTCCAGGTCCGTGAAGTTGGTTTTATCTCAGCCACCTTATCCTCTCATAGATCAATGTATTTCCTCTGAAAAGTAAGGTGTGTATGAGAAAAGAAAAGGAAGGAACATCTCCATTTCTGTCTAAAATGGAGAGGGTTGAATCACAGTCTTTCCATAGTAAAAAAGGCAAAACTCTTGTCAACCTTTTTCATAAAAATGGATTATTAAAATGGATTACAGCAAACCTTGATACAAAAATTTTACAAATATGCTAAAAAAAGTCACAGGCTAACTTCTCTTATTCATAAAAATACCAAATAAAGTATTAGCAAAATGAATCCATGACATTTGAAAATGATTTTGTATCATGAACAACTTGAGTTTATCTTAGGAGTGCAAGGTTGGTTTGACATTTAAAAATTGATGTAATTTATTACATAAGCATGTATTACAAAGGAAAAGAACCATATGATCCTATTAGTGGATGCAGAAAATATTTGATAAAATTCAATACCCATTGAAATGGCTAAAACTTAAAAAAAAAAAAGTCTTAGCTTTTAAAAAATCTATGGGAAACATTAATTCTGGTTAATTGTGAAATAATAAAAGATATTCTACCTGAAATTGGGAATGAAATAATGACATAAATTGTCACTACATCGATTTAACATTGTACTAGAAGTCACCAGTGCAATAAGGCAAGAAAAATAAATGTAAACTATAAAGACTGAAAAGGGAAAGATAAACTGTTCCTATATGTGTATGCAGAGAATTTAAAGAATCTGTAGATAAACTATTAAAATGTCGAAGTGATTTTAACAAGGTCACTGAATACAAGGTGAATATACAACAGTTAGTGTCTATGTATCTACAACAAACAACTAGAATTTGAAACATAAAGTAATTAATACCATGCCAAAAACAGTAAATACCTAGGGACAAATGGAATAAAAGAAATGCAAAACCTCTAACCAGAATATTTAGAAGCTTACAGAGAAATGAGAGACCTAAGTGTGTGAGAGGAAATAATTTGTTCATGAATTGAAAGACTCAATCACTTATGTATTTCCCCAGTTATATATACCTTCTTTGAAGGTGAGAGGAAAAATAAGTTTTTTTTTAAAAGAGAAAAGGAAAGATGTTACATGCTTTATCTGTGCAATTTGAATATCCCCAGTTCAACTATCATATTTATAGGATGCTTACCAAGTTTTGGGCATTTGGAATTTAGGGATGAATAGGATATGGCCCATACCCTTGAGAACCTCAAGAAGTATGTATATGTGTATAAACTCAAATAATAGAATGAGATTGGTGAGACAAAGTGAGATGGAAGATTCCCACTTTGTTATGGGGTATTCATCCTTCTTTGCAAACTTTTCTACTCATAGGCTGCTTTTCAAATTGGAATATGTGTAAAAGTTATTCTAAAATGTGTTTAATGTGCATATTCCAAGGCCTTATCCCCAGAGATTCTGATTTGGTGGATCTGGAGGCTCAGCAAAATTAGACCTCAATGGCTGCTGAACAACATTTTGGAACTACCCTTGCAGGCGGTCTTCCAAGCTGGTATTTTAGAGATAACCCTAACAAGGGTGTGGAAGATGAACTGGAAGAGTGGAGGAAAAGGGGGTACAGCGGGGAATCTCACGCAAGAAGGAACATGAGGAGATGATTGCAGAAAGTCAAGAGAGAAATGACTTTAATGGATCACTTCTCCTAGAATTCCCTGTGTCTGTGTGAGTCGGGTGGCTCCCTTTGTGGTGAGCATCCTGAGTGTGGGAAGCTCACCCTTTTGGCATTTTGTAACTTTCAGTGCCCAGCATGGTATCCTGTGATTTCTCAGCTGGTGCTTATGAGTGAGTGAGAGATCTGGCCTACCCATGCAACCTTTTTGGGGCATGTGCATTTTGTTTCTGGGATGCTTCAGCTCCTCCTCATTTCTCTTTTGCCATCTTGGGTTCATTGATACCCCTTTCCATGCAACGATACCCTCAGGTGTCCCTGGCCCTTGCCAAGCTAAGTCTGGTTTGTCCTGGCCTATTGTGCCCTGGTAAGACGTCTTCTCTTCTCTTCTCTCCCACTCTCACTCTCACTTATGTATCCTCAGTATCTAGCTCCATGCCTGGCTCATAGGTGTTCAAGGAAGAGACAAAGAATTCATGATTAAAAATACGAATGAGTAAATGAATATGAGGGCAGGCAGGTGGGCAGGCCTTTGGGCATGTAGACTTTCCTCCTAGGAAACCAGCAAAAAGTCTGCTCTGAAGGCAGTGAGTGAGAGGATTAATTCTAGCAGCAAGGCTACCAGTGCCCCCAGCCCAACTGAGCTAAAATTACTCCCTCCTGCCAGCCAGTTAGATCCAAAACCAGAGAGGGGAGGGCATTCACTCCAGACTGCTCCCTGAACAGACACACGCGCCTGACTTTTGGAAATGACAATTGTCTATGAGGCAGGACATAATTTATGGAGATTTGTTGGGTTGGATGTTAGATATTTCCTAGGATTTTGGAGTCCAACATTTGTTCTTCGGATTTAAAGGAAAAATAATGACGTTATAATTCAGAACAAAGCTCTGCCTCTGGGAGAAAAATATATGCAAAAGATCCCTCGGTAAGTGCTGGAGAAGGCAGGGGCCGGCACGCTGACTCTTGGCAAAGCCAGCTTGGCCCCCATGCCGGGATGAGCAGCCAGGGAGACCTGTGCAGGATCTCAGACCCCAGCTCACACAGGAGAGGCTGAATATCCCTGGGCTCCTCTCTGCATTCTCTGTGGCAAATTCAGAAAAGGGATTAAGTAAGAGTTTTATCCTCTTCTTCCTGCTCCGCAATTTAGCCACTGATACGGTAAAACGATCATTTGAAATGAAAGCCCCTTAATGAATATTTAGCTTTCTCTGTTTTGCCACAGATTATTTTAACATTCCTTGGAGCCTCCACCTCCCTCCTTATTTTACGAACTTTCACATTTTAATGTCAAAACAACTCTAAGAAGTAGAAACAGCTTGCCCATACAGCCTGGCTCTGGGAAGCTAACGTATTTTGCAGTCACACTCCTGTGGTTTGGTGATTAGGGTCAGTTTTAATGCGTTGTGTCTTGCATCCACATGGGGTTTAATTTTCCATTTCAGAGCATGTCACCAGTTTCATATAGATTTAATGTTACTGAGCTTTCATATTACTTTGATTTTCTTTCTCGAGTAATTTGTCCTCTCTTGGTTCCTACTCGTAATCCTGTTTTTTTTAAATTATTTTATTTTATTTTTTTAAATTTTTTACCTACGTGAGCCTTAATTTCTCCATCTGTGGAATGTAGACAACATTGCCATTTTCCTAATTCGCTTTGAGGATTAAGCTAAATTGATGTATTTAAAGCACTTAACACAATACTTGGCACACATAAGCTACTCACCAACATTGGCTCTCAATTTTGTCCATTTCTACCTAATAGAGGCACTGAGCCAAATACCAACTAACTATAAATTTTTCATGGAGAAAAATATTATACCAAGTTTTATGGTGTGTCCTCAAAGCTCATGCCATGTTGTAATATACTTGTTTGCAAAAATGTGTGTGTGTGTGTGTATGTGTCTCTCTCTCTTTTTCATCAGACTGTCTTCCTTCTGGGCAAGATAGCATCTTACTAAGTCCCGAAGGCCCAGCAGGTATATAGAACCAGCACCATGTTCACATATAACAATTACTGTCTTACAAGCAGAAGTGCAGGAATCAGAAAGGCCTGGGCTTTAATCCTGGGCTGTGGATTCCTTGGCTAGTTAATTCTCTGAATGTTGATGTCCTTATCTGTAAACTGGAGATAGTAATGCCTGCCTTTCTAAGTTGTTCTGAATATTAAAGAGGCAATCAATGGGAATGTTTAGTTAGGCACTGGCTCTTAGGGTATGTGCTAAATAAATTATAGTTTATTAAGAAATAAGTCGATAGCATATAATTGTTTTTAAAACCACTATGCACTTTCCTCTCCACTTCATAACCACTTAATTTTCATTGATATGAGAACCTGTCAGAGTCCTGCCTAATGAAAGGGAATCCTTTCTTCCCTGAGTAACATGCTGCACATACAGGACCTCAGGGGTCCTTGGTGCTGACCAGTGAAGTGTCTGCCTCTAGCCTCTTCCTCCATGATGGGTCCTTCTCCATGTAGCAGTCAGTATGGCCTTTGTAAAATGTTGATCTGATGATGCCACCTCACTGCTTTAAATCTTGGAGTGACTGTCCATTCTTTTGAGACGAACAGAACTCCTCAAGGCTCCACATTGGCCCTCTACACCTTCCTTCTTCCTCTGAAGTTACTTTCTTTCTCTTGTCTCCTCTCTAGCCACACTTTTCTTCTTTCAGTTCTTGCTGACACAAGACATGTCTTTTTCCTTCTGTTCAGAGTGCTGTTATTCCCTCAGTGACTTGTTAACTCCCAGTCATCCTCAGCCTTGCTTAGCCTAACCTTGCTTCTTGGGAAGCCTGTCCTGAGCCATCTAATATGGTCAAATCTAATATCACATTCTCTCCTTGCAATGAATGCCTTTCTTTGTAATATTCTCTACAGCCACGGTTTTATATTTGGTAATCTTTATCCCCACTGAGACCTTACAAAAGCTCGTGTGATTATTCGATTAATATATATATCCTGTACTGTACTGTGGGGTCCAGGAGGTAAAGGACCTCCTTCCGTTTTGTGCATTATTGTACCAAAGACTCCTATTCAGTTGGTTTACACTGGTCTGGCCCTGCCAGTTACTAAACTTCTGACACAATTCCATGTGAGTAGGCAAATAACTGACTCCTATATACCCTGAGTGCCCCTTCTGCCACCCCAGCAGCCCACCTGAAAACTGTGCCCACCCCCTCCCCTCACACAATTCAAGAACAAAAGGTGCAATGCATGGCACAGCAGGGCTCTTCGAAATGACTGGCGCTGGTGCCATGCCCATGTCTTGCCGTTCTGAACTATTTTGAACATCACATGGCAAGTGTTTGATAATGTCACCTGATAAACATTTATTAGATGAAGAGGTTGAGAGGATGCTCACTGAAAGGAAACTCAGACGTGGCTTCAGACTGAGGCTCAGCTTGCCCTGCAGCCGTGGCCTGGGCTGCAGCCTTGATCCTTTATTCCCAAGTGCCCAGAGAGTTTCTTCACCAGAGGCCTTTCTTCTGACTGAGTGCACCATTCCTATGATGGTTGGGGTTTGAGGCCTGGGATCCAAACTAGAAAATGTGGCAATTGGAGAAAAACAACCCCCAAACAAGTTCATATTCTGTCCTCTGAACATTTGCTCCATGATGGATGGGTTGACAGAAGTAAGGAGAAATATGGTTGGCAAGAGTTCACAGAAGGATTTATTGTGTCTTCTATTTCCGCCTCAGGCCAGTCTTTTTCTTTTCCTGTGTAAAATAATTAAATGTTGAGACAAGAAATAAGTATTTTTTTCTTGTTTCGCGAAACAGGGTAAACTTAGAGCCCTTGCTACCCAGGGGGTATGGAAGACGGGAAGATGAAGGATGGTGCTGGGCCCATGTTGGGAAGGTGTCCTAATTGTGATGGCAGGGAAGGAATTTGATTGCTTCTCAAGGAATCTCTATTTCACAATTCCGAGAGGCAAAGTCCCTTTGGCTAAGCCCTGCTGGCCTGCCATGGCATTTGGAAATTGTGCAGTGGTAAGACACGTGTTAAGGTCAGTGAGGGCCCCCAGCTCTCAGGGCTTTGATTATGATTCACCAGCATGGGGTGAAGCAGATGGAAGACATAGGTCAAAATTAAACAATAGCACCTGTGCAAAGCAGTATGCCACCAGGTTAAACCTTACCAGAATGTTATTGATTCCTTCATTATTTTAAGCGGGGATAAAAACGTGAATGGCATACAATGTTTTCCCTTATTTTGGCTTTGAAGAGAAGATAAAAATGTGCAGAAATAACAGTAATATGCAGTAGAATAGAAAAGTGCTCAGGGAATTTAGAAAAAGATTATTTTCTACAGGGGCATACACTTTCATGGGGAAGATATAATTTGGGGTTTGAAGGGCATGTAGAACTTGAATATAAGAAGATAAAGAAGAAACCATTTGTCATAAGTGTTTAGCAGAGAATGGTCTAATCAGAGCTGTGACAGTGGTGTGCTGGGTGAGTTCAGGACGAGAGGTGAGGGAAATTGGGCCAAGGGGGTACAATTATATTGGTTGGGGCCATGGCAACTGAAGGCCTGGAAAGGTGGTGGTCAGCAAGAGAATTGTCTGTTCACAGCCTCTGGAACGTGAGTAGACTTGGAAGGCAGGCCGCGGAGAAGGGGCAGCGGAGGTGGGGATAACAGAGCCATTAGCATAGACCTGATATATCAAATAAAAAAGGATAGGTAAAGAGGGAACATCGGGTTTAGTTTAGTTTTTCTGAGCTTAAGAAGCCAACAGGATGGAGGATACAGATATGAGATGGACAGTTAGAAAGATTAGAGCTGAAGGTGAAGGTCACAACCAAGCTATAGATTTGGGGGTGAAATTTATGAAAGTGAAGGGAAGCCACAGGCCATGATGAGACTGTCTGCAGACAGACTTTAGAGAGAAACTGGGCAGTGAAGGGAGTACTGACAGCAATTCAAAGGAAACAGGCATAGTGATCTGGGA